>NC_000014.9:39005652-39308682 GCF_000001405.40 Homo sapiens
ATGCACAACTGATAAGACAAACGCTTCCTGTCTTGAGTTCCCCATTTGGGTAGTTGTCCCAGGGGTCTGATCTTCTCCCCAATCTCACAAGCTTTGGGCAGGTCATTGGGCCCTCATCCCTGAAGTCAGGCACTGGGCTGAATCTATTCTGGCTTTAGGGTTCTGAATATGTGATGTCTCATCTTCTGCTGAAGGGTTTTTCATGGAGTACTGAAAACCCTTAAAGCAGAATATTTCAGAGTGTGTTCTGTGACTTGCAAATTATTCTGTGAGGAGAATACGATGATGCGGGAGGCACAGAACTAGGTTTCTGTGGTCAGCTAAGTTGTGGAAATGCAGTAAGATCCATCTGTCTTTTGGAATCTTGATCCACGTGAACATAGGAAAGGCTCTGAGAAGCTCTTCATTCACAGACACACACACACACAAATAGATAAATTGGACTTCAACACAATTAAAAACATTTGTGCTTCAAAGGACAATATCGAGAAAGTGAAAAGACAACCCAGAGATTAGGAAAAAAATATTTGCAAATCATATATCTGATAAGGGTCTAGTATCTGGAAAATATAAAGAACTTCTACAATTTAACAATGACAAAAAAATTGATTTTTAAAATAAGCAAAAGACTTGAATAGACATTTCTTCAAAGAATATATATAAATGGACAACAAGCATATGAAAAGATGTTCAACATCACTAATTATTAAGAAATGCAAATCGAAACCAAAAGGAGGTACTATCTCACACCCAATAGGATGGCTGCTATCAAAAGCACAGAAAGCAACAAACATTGGCAATGATATGGAGAAATTGGAACAGAATCTGTGTGCAATATTGATAGGAATGTAAATTGGTGCAACAGCTATAGAAAGCAGTATGACAGTTCTTCAAAATATTAAAAATAGAATTGCCATATGATTCAGCAATTCCACTTCTCAGTATACACCCAAAAGAATTGCAAGCAGAATCTCAAAGAGATATTTGTACACTCATGTTCATGGCAAGATTATTCACCATAGCCAAAGGTAGAAGCAACCCATCTGTCCGTCGACAGATGAATAGATAAACAAAATGTGATATGCAATGAAATATTATTGAGCCTTACAGAGAAAGGAAATTCTCATACATGCTACAACATGGATAAACCTTGATGAAATGCTAAGTGAAGTAAACCAGCCACAGGAAAAAAAAAAAAGAAAAAGAAAAGGTCACACGGTGATTACCATCAAAGTCAGAAGAGTATTGCAGTTAAGAAGAGCATGCTTGGTATGAGGCATGTGGGGAGCCTATGGGATGCTGTAATGTTCTGGTTTCTTTTTTTTTTAGAGATGTGGTCTTGCACTGTTATCCAAGCTGGAGTGCAGTGACACGCTCACAGCTCACTGCAGCCTTGAACTCCTGGGTTCAAGAAATCCTCCTGCCTCTGCCTCCCAGTAACTGGGACTACAGGCACACACTACCATGCCTGGCTAATTTTTTTATCTTTTGTAGAGATGGAGGTCTCGCTGCATTTCCCAAGCTGTCTCAAATGAAGTCCTGAAAATGCTCCTGACTCAGCTTCCCAAAGCACTGGGATTATGTGTGTGAGCCACCACTCCCAGCCTACAGTGTTCTGTTTCTTAACCCGAGGTGATAAACAGTTTATTCCCATGATTTCTCAAGGTGTATATTTAGGATTTATACCCTTTTCTTCATGTGCATGTATTTTTATTATTTTTAAAGTTTTATAAACATATTAGCAGAATTAAAATCTAGGTTGAGGAAAAAAACAGGTTTAATAAAAGAAAAATAAGGATAAACTTGTATACTCATATAGAATATAAAGGAAAAAAACTAAAGAGAAAAACAATGAGAGCTAAGATGATGACCATGAAAGAAAGAGAATTAAGAGATGGAAATTTAGGCAACTGATGTTCCCAGAAAAAAAGTCCAAAATGAAACAGAAAGGTATAAAAGGTACTAAGCTTTATAATTGTATAGAATTTATAACTTTATAGAATTAATTCACTGAATCCTTACAATAACCCTATGAGGAATACCATTTTTAGGTTCTTTATACTACTGGGAAAACCAACGTCAAAATTTCCCAAGGCCTTATGACTGGTAAGTGAGAAGCAGGTCAGTGGTAGACAGAGGCCTTGAACCCCTCCCTGTCTGTGAGGTCCTAAAGTCAGCTCTCTGAGACACTGTATCACACTGTCCCCTATTATTTCCTGTTCCAGATTAAAATATAATGTACTGCAATATTCCATGCCAAAGAATGGCAGTAAAATATTTTAAAAGACTTTAGGGGAAACTCGTATTTTGATCCAAGAATTTTATATGCAGTTGTCTTAGTCCATTCAGGCTACTATTATAAAATACCATAGACTGGATAGATTATAAACAGCATTTATTGCTCACAGTTCAGGAGACTGGAAAGTCCAAGATCAAAGCACCAGCAGATTCGGTGTCTGGTGGGGGCCTGCTTCCTCACAGACAACCTTTTTCTCACTCTAACCACACATAGCAAAAGAGGCAAAGGGGTCTCTCTTGGGCCACTAATCTCATTCACGAGGGCTCCACCCCCATGACCTAATTACCACCCAAAGGCCCCACCTCCTAATACCATCACTTTGTGGGTGACAATTTCAACGTATGAAGTTTAGGGGGACATAAACATTCAGACCATAGTAGCAGCCAAGTTGTCTCACCCTTGTGAAAGCAACAAGACAAACTCAGATATCTTAAAAAATACACCCATTCATGTGTAAATCTTTTTTAAGAAGATGTGTGAAGACAAATTTCAATTGACTGAAGAAAAAGCCCTAAAAGGAGATGAAAATGAAGAAGGAATGACATTACTCCCAGACCTCCAAAATGACTGAAACAAAGATACATTACATTGTAGGAACAGGTTTTTTTAAGAAGAAAAACTAGGATGGGCGTGGTGGCTCACGCTTGTAATCCCAGCACTTTGGGAGGCTGAAGCAGGCGGATCACTTGAGGCCAGGAGTTCATGACCAGCCTGGACAACATGGTGAAACCCTGTCTCTACCAAAAAAAAAACACAAAAATTAGCTGGGAGTGGTGTTGTGCACCTGTACTCTCAGATACTCGGGAGGCTGAGGCAGGAGAATCACTTGAACTGGGGAGGCGGAGGTTGCAGTGAGCTGAGATTGCTCCATTGCACTCCAGCCTGGGCGACAAGAGGGAAACTCAGTCTCAAAAAAAGTAAAAATAAAGAAAAAAAAGAAAAACTAAACTAAAGCAATGTCAAAACATTCTTAATAGATACAATTTTTTATATTTTTATAATAATCTGGAATTTTTAAATCTAGATTTTTACAATTAAAAAAAATTTACAATAATCCAGAATACATTAACAAAAATGGGTGAATGAGGAACAATGAGCAGCAAGAAGGTGGAAGGTAATGGAAAAACATGACTTTACTCTTTAACAACTGGAGAAATGTAAGTTAAAAAGTGCTTTTGGACATGAGGACACATCAAGTTTGACCTTTGAACATTTGAACAGAAAGTACTGGACAAGCCAATAACCAGGAAAATATTTCAAGTTCTGGCCAGAGAGTCTAACCCTGGTTTTTACTTCCCCTCCATCTAACACTGGCCTGTAAACATCTGTCCCCCACCTCCTGAGTGTTCAATTCCGTTGAAGTGCTTTCAAATATCCTCCAAGTTATACCCAAAAACTATGAATCTGAATGTTCCCAAATGTTTCTTTCCAGCTGCACCAGAGTTGTGCTGAGTTCCACCTAGGCAGGTCCCAGTGGTCTGCAGTACTCTTGATTTCTTCAATCAGATAGTAGGCATCTCCAGACCCAGGAATGACTCAGCTTCACTTTGAATTTGAGATTTTATACTCTGCATCACTCCTAAATCATTTAAGAAAGCTGAAATAGCTTTTCCGTTTTCCAAACTCCCCAGACCAAATATAGTGCTGATTATACCCAACAGGTATTAAATAGGGGGGTGATTGCAGTTAACAAAAAAAAAAAAAAAAAAGTGCTTTTGAAAACTAAGTACTGTAACAAAATTTAAATGTGTGTTTATCTCCAAAGAAGGACAAATAAGATCCATACTTCAAAACAATAGAAATGCAAAGAACTATCAAAACAAAACTTGAAACAAGATGATAAGTAAGACCTAATGCATTAAAGTCAAAGGGCTGCGGATTGAGTTCAAACTGCTGTTTTTAAGAGGCTGTTATAATATAAAATGCCATAAATGGGATAAAAGTAAAAGAAAAGGAAAAATATATGAAAGACAAAGGCAAACAAAAGAGAAACAGAAAAGAAAATACTAATTTCAAATTAAAATGAATTTAAGGCCAAAAGCTTTACATAGGGCAAATACTATCATTTTATATTAAGGTTTCTTTGTATCACAGTGACAGTCCAATCCTTACATGCTGACTAGAATTGTATTGAAACACATACAGATTTCTTAAAAATGCAAGGATATGTCTTCAGTAACTCAGTCATAATAGGAGATTTTGACAGTCTCCACCTTGACAAATCCAATAAGAAAAAACTAAACACGACACAATGTTTTAAAAAATACATACTATTTAATGAATATATATCAAATTATGTATCCCACAAGTCAAGCACCACCTTCTAAAAACCTTCTAAGTAAAAGAAAAAAATCAAAACTACTGTTACAATCAATTTAGAAATAATCAAAATGAGAACACTGCAGTACATATAAAAGGATATGATATTACAAATGAGGCACTCAGGGGAAAAAAATTGTAAGCACTTTAAATATTAAGCAATTTTAAGTGTCAAAATAATGAACTGAGAACTTATAAGAAAACAGTAAGGCCACGTGCAATGGTGCATGCCTATAGTCCTAGCTACTCAGGAGGATGACGTGAGCCCAGGAGTTTGAAGGAGTTTGAAGCTGTAGGGCTCCATGACTGTGCCTGTGAATAGTCATGGCACTCCAGGCTGGGAAACTCTGCAAGATCTGTTTCTAAAAACAAACAAATAAAAGCAATAAAACCAGTCAAGGGTAAGCACGAGGAAGGAATTAATGAATAGGAAAAGAAGAAAGTAATAAATAAGAAAATAGAAAAATATTAAAACTGATGTATTACCCCCAAAGATGGTTCTTTGAAAGAACTGATAAAAGAGACAAACTTCTGTTGAATCTAATTAGGAAGCAGATAGAAAGTACTCATAGAAGACTACTGGATTCACATCAGGAATCCAGATATGAGAACTTTTTTAGATAAAAGATTAAAACTTAAATAAATCAGGATCAAATAATGAAATACCGTTTCACACCAGTTAGCCTAGCAAAAATTATAAAACTCTAACAATAACAAAGGCTGTGCATATGTAGTTGAATAGCTAGGCTAGACCACAGCAAACTGCTTTGGTTTTGAGGATAAGCAAGCCTAGAGACTTCAAGTAGTTCAAAGTTGCTTTTATTTTAGTCTACTATGCAAACAGCAAATAGGCCGTGTGGAGGATGTCTATCTGAGATGCAGGTGGGTGGATGTGGCTCCCTGTTACTTCCCTTGCATTTCATGGTGGCACACTGGAACTTCAGTCCATCAGGTCAGAGGACCATAGAATAGAGGGGTCCCTGATTCTTTATATCCCTAAACACATTAAAACCCAGAAACAACTTTTTTCACTCAAAAAGCCAAAGTGCCCATGCCTAGTGTTCAAACTCCATGACTTGACATCCTTGACATGGCAGCTCTGGGGCAATGCCCGTTGTCTGCACTGCAGGATCCTGGAGTCTTCCATTTGTGTCCACTTGAGATTTTTAATGCAATGGCTTGGCCATAATATTTCACAAGATAACCCACTACCCATCCATTTTTTAATTCATTTATTCAACGAATATTTGGCAGCCTTTTATGTGCCAAGCCACGTAATAAGTTCTGGGAATGCAAAAACTTTGGACAAAAATAACTGCCCTCAGTATGGGCAGCACATTCTAACAGGAAAGACCAATACTGTAAAAAAAACAAACAAACAAACAAACAAAACAAACAAAGAAACCGTGTAATATTGACTGTGTACAGATAGCCATAAGAGCAAGTCATGGGAATTCAGAGAAGCTTTCACTGGGAAGGTACCTTTAAGAATGAGCTTTCTAGCCAAAGAGAGGTGACTCCAAGCAGAGCAGCCTTCTCCTCCAGATCCTATCACTTCCACTGGCCTCCTCGGAACATCATCCCTCTTGTCTAAATCCTATCACTTCCACAGGCCTCCTCAGAACATCATCTCTCGTGTCTAAATGACAGGTATTTCCCAGACACCTCCTTGTTGATTGCATTCAGCCTGACACTCTTCAGGCTTCTCCATTCTGTACATTTCCCTGCTTTATTCTGCCATGTGATCCTCATTGCCTTCAAGAGAAAATCTAAACTTCTTAACCTTATTGATATGGTTTGGATGTTGTCCCGTCTAAATCTCATGTTGAATTGTAATCCCCAATGTTGGAGGTGGGGCCTAAAGGGAGGTGATTCGGTCACAAGAGGGGATCCCTCATGGCTTGGTGCTATCTTTGTGACAGTCGTGAGTTCTCATGAGATCTGGTTATTTAAAAGTGTGTGGCACTTCCTCCTCCTCTCTTGCTCGGGTTTTCACCATGTGAGGCACTTGCTCCCTCTTTGCCTTCCACCGTGAGTACAAGCTCTCTGAGGCCCTGAGCAGAAGCCAAGCAGATGTCAGTGCCATATTTCCTGCACAGCCTGAAGAACTGTAAGCCAATCAAACCTCTTTTCTTTATAAATTACCCAGCCCCAGGTATTTATTTATAGCAACACAGGAACAGCCTAACACATCTGACTTACATGGATCTTCAAGATCTGGCCTATGTTTATCTCACCAGTATCATTTACTGAATTTTCCCAGTGTATTTAATTGGGAGAGACAGAAATTACTCAACTAAGATCACTTTCTAGACTCTTGCAAGTGAATTGCTTGCTAGATTTTCTTGCAGCTACCAACATTCTCTTTGCAACACGTGCCTGATATAGGACCAGAGCCTGGGAAAGTGCTATACACGTTCAGTGATGGTGATGATGCAGTTGGGAATGAGGTGCTGGAAGTAGACTATAGGTCCATTAAAAATAAGTGAATCAGGGCCAAGCGCGGTGGCTCACGCCTGTAATCCCAGCACTTTGGGAGGCCGAGGCGGGTGGATCACTTGAGGCCAGGAGTCTGAGACCAGCCTGGCCAGCATGAGGAAACCCCATCTCTACCAAAAATACAAAAAAAAAAATATTAGCCTGGCGTGGCGGTGCATGCCTGTAATCCCAGCTACCCGAGAGGCTGAGGTATGAGAATCACTTGAACCCGGGAGGCAGGGGTTGCAGTGAGCTGAGATCGTGCCACTGCACTCCAGCCTGGGTGACAGAGCAAGACTCTGTCTCAAAAAAAAAAAAGACAAAAGAAAAAAAAAGAAATCAGGAGCTTTGGAAGAGAGAGAGAGGAAAGTAGGAGACGGTTAATAGTAAAAGAGGGAGATTTGGGACATGTCTGAGGCCTTGTGCCTCAACCTAATATCAAAATGCCTGGTGGAGGAGATAAATAGTAGAGATTCCAGGTAAGTGTGAAAATCTCCAGTGAAAAGGAGCTTGTATTTTTCTTCCTGACTGGAGTTCTATTCCACCAACAGACAGCTATATAAGTAGATAGTAGCAGGGAGATGGCCCAAGAGAACACCTGCTCACCCTCACTCACATGTACCAGAGTATGGCTGGGGAGCTGGGAAGAGCTTCAAGAGGTTTCAAAACCCTTAGTGAAGGGTCCAGAAGGTGTCTGAAAATTACAAGACAAAACACTGAGCTTAACCCAATTGAGTGGCTGTGTACAGCACACAGCCAGCGGCCAGAGGGTAGACCAGATGAGTTTTGGAAGACCACCGGGCCACTGTGAGCAGATGTGGAACCTAGCCAGCAGGGGGTCATGGCTGGCCTCTCCTGGAGCACCCCCAAGAGAAACAGCCCACAAGATACAGAAGTAACAGATAGTGAGGAAAAGGCTGATGGCCAAAAGCCAAATGGAATTGCCTTCCAGCCAAAAGCCAGTGATGACCAAACGCCTCTTCCTTGATCTTAGGACCACATGAAAGCTCCACAAGGGTTTGATCACTCTCAGGAAAGGGGCAGAAGAGGGGCACAGATTCTAGAGAAAACCACTTGGGTTTACATCTCAAGTCTGCCAGTAAGCGCTGTGTGACCTTGAGCAAGTTTTTTAAACAATCTGTGCCTTAGTTTCCTCATTGACAAAATGGCAATAATAACGGCACCTATCTTATGGGTTATCCTTCGCACATAGAACCATGCTTGGTGCAGGATGAGCACTCAATTCATGTTGCCAGGTAGTAATAAAAACATTATTAGACATTATCAGTAAAGACATATTAGTAATAAAGATGTTATTAATGCACGTGATGATATATTTGTATACAATCTGTACAGTGCAATCTGTGGGTATCACTACTTACCAGTTGTGCAACCTGTCACAGGTCTTTGAGCCTTAGTTTCCTGGTATGTAAAATGTAGATAATAATGTGGATGTAGGGTACCAGGGTCAGGCATGGTGGCTCACACCTGTAATCCCAGTGCTTTAGGAGGCCAAAGCAGGAGGATCACTTGAGCCCAGGAGTCAAGACCAGCCTGGGCAACAAAGTGAGACCTTGTCTCTGCAAAAATAATAATAATAATGTGGAGTACCTGATAGACAATGAAGAGTTGGAGAGTAATGCCTCTCATTTGAATGACAGCCAGCACTTACAGGGCATATATTAAGCGCCAAGCAGTGTTCTAAATATATTATAGGTACTCAATTGTTTAATCTTCATACAACTCTATGAAGTAGGTGCCTATGATTTTCCCCATCTTGCAGCTGAAGAAAGAGGCCCAGAGAAGTTAAGAAATGTGTCCAGTGTAATTCGACTGGGAAATGGCAAAGCTGGGCTTTGAATCTGTACAGTGTTCCAGAGTCTGTGCTCCTATACATTTCACCCTGCCATTCCTCTGCTGTTTGCATTTGTGCTTAAAGTCAACATCAGTGGAGTCTTGTCCCCTAAAAGATATGGAACATATCTGTTTTTCCTTCTTCACTAGATGAAAATATATTTGATTATATTTTAAAAAGAAAATGTCTGAATCTAAACTCTGCTGCATTACCTCTACTGGAAATAGCAAATACTCAGACATAGATACTTAGAAATATCTGAGACACCACTATTTCTAACGTTTACCAAGCTGTTTATCCCCACAGAAGAAGCCCCCCACTCAGATAAGTAATTCACTCAAGCATGGAAACTGAGTAGGAGAGAATTTTTAACATTTTAGAATCTTCCACTAGATATCACTTTCTGACATAAATTCCCCTGACTATGGGTCTAGTGCTTTTGCTGGATCAAAAGTATTACTGCACTTTTAAATCTATACTTAGGTTGTGACCAAAATGAAAATGTGGCCAAAATATTAAATATTCTGCAAGAAATAGGTTAAAAATGTGGTCACATGTGAAGATGCTAGGATGAGGTGACCTCAAAATCCCACCCAACCTTTCTTGTTGTGCTATAGAATCCATAATTGCTGCTTTTAAAACAGTTGACTTACAGAGCATATAAAGAATTTCATTTATTTATAATTTTTTATGGGAACTCAGACTTTGAAAGTCTTTCATGCATGGTGTGCAGCTGAAGTCATTTTTCAATTTTGTACCCTTTCGGCAAACTATGTTTTACTTTTGGGGTCCAATTATTTCAGACATGAGCAAGGATTACCTTTTAAAATCAAGGACTAAAGCTTGGGTGTTGATAGAAAAAAATCACATAAAGAATTATTAATAGAAAAGTTCAGAATTTAAAGTGGAGAAAGATACTAAAAGCCTTGAGTTTCCTATTACAGAAGGAGCTACTGCCTCCCTGCGGTGATGAAGTGTCAGTGCCTTCAAACTACATTTGTCTCTTGATTGAAGTTTAGTTATCCTTAGCACTTTCAGATATGAAAAGCTTTCCTCTTTCTTTTTAGTTTATCCCTCTCGAATTTCTTTCTTTCGTCATTCTCTTATTTGCTCAAAGAAGCTTTAATAATATTAAAAAACAGAGTGAATTTAAAATGTTCACTCAGTTCAAAAGCTATTTCAGCAACCCTACAAATAAGTACAAAGTGAAAATAATAGAGAGAAATGTAATATCTCCCAATAGAACAAAAAAGCGCAGAATAATTTGTGACTCCCAACACAAATTTTCACAACCCTTCTAAAATTTAATAGTAAAGAACACTTGGCTAGAAATAAAATTGTAATATTAATTTTTTTAAATCACAAGATTCAGAAATAAGGGAGAATACACGCTAATGTATATAAGTCATCTAACACATGGAAAAATATTTCATTGATTATTTTAAATGAAATTACAATTTTCTTTCCAGGGAGTGTTTTGGGAAGATAATTGATTAAATCCTGTATGCTTCTCTCCCCGCAGATATCTGAGTGGTAGGTTAGTTCTAACTTTCTACAATCATGAGCAAGTGCTATTTTTAGTACAAGGTACTGCTCCATAAGTCATATTTATCCCTAGTCTATCAGCAGGTATGTAACCTACATACTACTGCATATAACATTATTGAATGATAATATCCCTGAGCTATTTTTTTAGCCACAACTGCCAAAAAATACCTACTGATGTTATGCAAGATGTTATAAAGTTGTGCAAAGGAGTGTCCATGTTTGGCTCAGACTCCAGGCAAGTAGGGCATTTCTTCACTAGAACACCCTTCCTGTGGCTACAGCCCACAAAAAAATCCCCACACTGCAGAGTGGACACAGCAGGCAGAAAGAACACGAACACACAACACTGCAGAAAGCTGTAGCAGCATCTCATTATTTTTATTAACAAGAATAGTAGACAGATGGCCTCATCCAGCATTTTGGAGAAAAGCATGGCCTTTCATTAGAATCCGTTGATAAGGATTCAGCTCTTAAGGTCTCTCTCTCTCTGTCTCTCTCTGTCTCTCACTCTCTCTCTCTCTCTCTCTTTCTTCACGGGCTGTCACTCTGCTGCCTAGGCTGGAGTGCAGTGGCATGATCATAGCTCCGTTCGGTTTTAAACACATGGGTTAAATCGATCTCCCACCTCAGCCTCCCAAGTAGCTGAGACAACAGGCATGCACCACCATTCCTGGCTCAGCTCCTAAGGTTTAGTAAATCCTGTGAGTAAAAATAAACGTCTAGGTAAGAAGTGTATATCCCAGAGCCAACACAGTGGGGCAAGCATTGAGTGGGTGGGGCCTAGGAGAAACTCTTCATGTGCTGGGAGAAGAACACATCAGAGAACAGAACCATTCCCAAGACATACTGATGAGCAAGTATCCCTGAGAGAAGAACCAGAGAATGACAATGGAATTCTCCATGTGTGTATCATTTATACTTTTCTTGTGGATAAATGTATAACAAGTGGCTTGGACTAAGATGCCAAGATAACAGATAGCAAATTCCAAGTGAGCTATAAGATGGATTACCGGTTATACAGGGGTAGAGCCAAGATGGCTGAATAGGAACAGCTCTGGTCTACAGCTCCCAGCGTGAGCGACGCAGAAGACAGAAGATGGGTGATTTCTGCATTTCCATCTGAGGTACCAGGTTCATCTCACTAGGGGGTGCCAGACAGTGGGCGCAGGACAGTGGGTGCAGCGCACCTTGCGCGAGCCGAAGCAAGGCGAGGCATCGCCTCGCTCGGGAAGTGCAAGGGGTCAGGGAGTTCCCTTTCCTAGTCAAAGAAAGGGGTGACAGACCGCACCTGGAAAATCGGGTCACTCCCACGCTAATACTGCGCTTTTCCAACGGGCTTAAAAAACGACACACAAGGAGATTATACCCCGCACCTGGCTCGGAGGATCCTAGGCCCACGGAGTCGCGCTGATTGCTAGTACAGCAGTCTGAGATCAAACTGCAAGGCGGCAGTGAGGCTGGGGGAGGGGCACCTGCCATTGCCCAGGCTTGATTAGGTAAACAAAGCAGCCGGGAAGCTCCAACTGGGTGGAGCCCACCACAGCTCAAGGAGGCCTGCCTGCCTCTGTAGGCTCCACCTCTGGGGGCAGGGCACAGACAAACAAAAAGACAGCAGTAACCTCTGCAGACTTAAATGTCCCTGTCTGACAGCTTTGAAGAGAGTAGTGGTTTTCTCCCAGCACGTGGCTGGAGATCTGAGAACGGGCAGACTGCCTCCTCAAGTGGGTCCTTGACCCCCAAGCAGCCTAACTGGGAGGCACCCCCCGGTAGGGGCAGACTGACACCTCACACGGCCCGGTACTCCTCTGAGACAAAACTTCCAGAGGAACGATCAGGCAGCAGCATTTGCGGTTCACCAAGATCCACTGTTCTACAGCCATCACTGCTGATACGCAGGCAAACAGGGTCTGGAGTGGACCTCTAGCAAACTCCAACAGACCTGCAGCTGAGGGTCCTGTCTGTTAGAAGGAAAACTAACAAACAGAAGGGACATCCATACCAAAAACCCTTCTGTACGTCACCATCATCAAAGACCAAAAGTAGATAAAACCACAAAGATGGGGAAAAAACAGAGCAGAAAAACTGGAAACTCTAAAAAGCAGAATGCCTCTCCTCCTCCAAAGGAACGCAGCTCCTCACCAGCAACGGAACAAAGCTGGATGGAGAATGACTTTGACGAGCTGAGAGAAGAAGGCTTCAGATGATCAACCTACTCCAAGCTACAGGAGGAAATTCAAACCAATGGCAAAGAAGTTAAAAACTGTGAAAAAAAATTAGACTAATGGATAACTAGAATAACCAATGCAGAGAAGTCCATAAAGGAGCTGATGGAGCTGAAAGCCAAGGGTCGAGAACTACATGAAGAATGCCGAAGCCTCAGGAGCCGATGCGATCAACTGGAAGAAAGGGTATCAGTGACGGAAGATGAAATGAATGAAAAGAAGCGAGAAGAGAAGTTTAGAGAAAAAAGAATAAAAAGAAACGAACAAAGCCTCCAAGAAATATGGGACTATGTGAAAAGACCAAATCTACGTCTCATTGGTGTACCTGAAAGTGACGGGGAGAATGGAACCAAGTTGGAAAACACTCTACAGGATATTATCCAGGAGAACTTCCCCAATCTAGAAAGGCAGGCCAACATTCAGATTCAGGAAACACAGAGAACGCCACAAAGATACTCCTTGAGAAGAGCAACTCCAAGACACATAATTGTCAGATTCACCAAAGTTGAAATGAAGGAAAAAATGTTAAGGGCAGCCAGAGAGAAAGGTCGGGTTACCCACAAAGGGAAGCCCATCAGACTAACAGCGGATCTTTCGGCAGAAACTCTACAAGCCAGAAGAGAGTGGGGGCCAATATTCAACATTCTTAAAGAAAAGAATTTTCTACCCAGAATTTCGTATCCAGCCAAACTAAGCTTCATAAGTGAAAGAGAAATAAAATATTTTAAAGACAAGCAAATGCTGAGAGATTTTGTCACCACCAGGCCTGCCCTAAAAGAGCTCCTGAAGGAAGCAGTAAACATGGAAAGGAACAACCGGTACCAGCCGCTGCAAAAACATGCCAAAATGTAAAGACCGTCAAGGCTAGGAAGAAACTGCATCAACTGACAAGCAAAATAACCAGCTAATATCATAATGACAGGAACAAATACACATAAAAATATTAACTTTAAATGTAAATGGGCTAAATGCTCCAATTAAAAGACACAGACTGGCAAATTGGATAAAGAGTCAAGACCCATCAGTGTGCTGTATTCAGGGAACCCATCTCACGTGCAGAGACATACATAGGCTCAAAATAAAGGGATGGAGGAAGATCTACCAAGCAAATGGAAAACAAAAAAAGGCAGGGGTTGCAATCCTAGTCTCTGATAAAACAGACTTCAAACCAACAAAGATCAAAAGAGACAAAGACGGCCATTACATAATGGTAAAGGGATCAATTCAACAAGAGCTAACTATCCTAAATATATATGCACCCAATACAGGAGCACCCAAATTCATAAAGCAAGTCCTTAGTGACCTACAGAAAGACTTAGACTCCCACACAATAATAATGGGAGACTTTAACACCCCACTGTCAACATTACACAGATCAACAAGACAGAAAGTTAACAAGGATACCCAGGAATTGAACTCAGCTCTGCACCAAGCAGACCTAATAGACATCTACAGAACTCTCCACCCCAAATCAACAGAATATACATTTTTTTCAGCACCACACCACACCTATTCCAAAATTGACCACATACTTGGAAGTAAAGCTCTCCTCAGCAAATGTAAAACAAAAGAAATTATAACAAACTGTCTCTCAGACCACAGTGCAATCAAACTAGAACTCAGGATTAAGAAACTCACTCAAAACCGCTCAACTACATGGAAACTGAAAAATCTGCTCCTGAATGACTACTGGGTACATAACGAAATGAAGGCAGAAATAAAGATGTTCTTTGAAACCAATGAGAACAAAGACAAAACATACCAGAATCTCTGGGACACATTCAAAGCAGTGTGTAGAGGGAAATTTATAGCACTAAATGCCCACAAGAGAAAGCAGGAAAGATCCAAAATTGACACCCTAACATCACAATTAAAAGAACTAGAAAAGCAAGAGCAAACACATTCAAAAGCTAGCAGAAGACAAGAAATAACTAAAATCAGAGCAGAACTGAAGGAAATAGAGACACAAAAAGCCCTTCAAAAAATTAATGAGTCCAGGAGCTGGTTTTTTGAAAAGATCAACAAAATCGATAGACCACTACCAAGACTAATAAAGAAGAAAAGAGAGAAGAATCAAATAGACGCAATAAAAAATGATAAAGGGGATATCACCACCGATCCCACAGAAATACAAACTACCATCAGAGAATACTACAAACACCTCTACACAAATAAACTAGAAAATCTAGAAGAAATGGATAAATTCCTCGACACATACACCCTCCCAAGACTAAACCAGGAAGAAGTTGAATCTCTGAATAGACCAATGACAAGCTCTGAAATTGTGGCAATAATCAATAGCTTACCAACCAAAAAAAGTCCAGGACCAGATGGATTCACAGCCGAACTCTACCAGAGGTACAAGGAGGAGGTGGTACCATTCCTTCTGAAACTATTCCAATCAATAGAAAAAGAGGGAATCCTCCCTAACTCATTTTATGAGGCCAGCATCATCCTGATACCAAAGCCTGGCAGAGACACAACCAAAAAATAGAATTTTAGACCAATATCCTTGATGAACATTGATGCAAAAATCCTCAATAAAATACTGGCAAACCGAATCCAGCAGCACATCAAAAAGCTTATGCACCATGATCAAGTGGGCTTCATCCCTGGGATGCAAGGCTGGTTCAACATACGCAAATCAATAAATGTAATCCAGCATATAAACAGAACCAAAGACAAAAACCACATGATTATCTCAATACATGCAGAAAAGGCCTTTGACAAAATTCAACAGCCCTTCATGCTAAAAACTCTCAATAAATTAGGTATTGATGGGACATATCTCAAAATAATAAGAGCTATCTATGACAAACCCACACCCAATATCATACTGAATGGGCAAAAACTGGAAGCATTCCCTTTGAAAACTGGCACAAGACAGGGATGCCCTCTCTCACTACTCCTATTCAACATAGTGTTGGAAGTTCTGGCCAGGGCAATTAGGCAGGAGAAGGAAATAAAGGGTATTCAATTAGGAAAAGAGGAAGTCAAATTGTCCCTGTTTGCAGATGACATGATTGTATATCTAGAAAACCCCATTGTCTCAGCCCAAAATCTCCTTAAGCTGATAAGCAGCTTCAGCAAAGTCTCAGGATACAAAATCAATGTACAAAAATCACAAGCTTTCTTATACACCAATAACAGACAAACAGAGAGCCAAATCATGAGTGAACTCCCATTCACTTTTGCTTCAAAGAGAATAGAATACCTAGGAATCCAACTTACAAGGGATGTGAAGGACCTCTTCAAGGAGAACTACAAACCACTGCTCAATGTAATAAAAGAGGATACAAACAAATGGAAGAACATTCCATGCTCATGGGTAGGAAGAATCAATATCGTGAAAATGGCCATACTGCCCAAGGTAATTTATAGATTCAATGCCATCCCCATCAAGCTACCAATGACTTTCTTCACAGAATTGGAAAAAACTACTTTAAAGTTCATATGGAACCAAAAAAGAGCCCGCATTGCCAAGTCAATCCTAAGCCAAAAGAACAAAGCCAGAGGCATCACGCTACCTAACTTCAAACTATACTACACGGCTACAGTAACCAAAACAGCATGGTACTGGTACCAAAACAGAGATATAGATCAATGGAACAGAACAGAGCCCTCAGAAATAATGCCGCATATCTACAGCCATCTGATCTTTGACAAACCTGACAAAAACAAGAACTGGGGAAAGGATTCCCTATTTAATAAATGGTGCTGGGAAACCTGGCTAGCCATATGTAGAAAGCTGAAAGCTGAAACTGGATCCCTTCCTTACACCTTATACAAAAATTAATTCAAGATGGATTAAAGACTTAAATGTTAGACCTAAAACCATAAAAACCCTAGAAGAAAACCTAGGCATTACCATTCAGTACATAGGCATGGGCAAGGACTTCATGTCTAAAACACCAAAAGCAATGGCAACAAAAGCCAAAATTGACAAATGGGATCTAATTAAACTAAAGAGCTTCTGCACAGAAAAAGAAACTACCATCAGAGTGAACAGGCAACCTACAAAATGGGAGAAAATTTTCGCAACCTACTCATCTGACAAAGGGCTAATATCCAGAATCTACAATGAACTCAAACAAATTTACAAGAAAAAACAACCCCATCAAAAAGTGGGCAAAGGATATGAACAGACACTTCTCAAAAGAAGACATTTATGCAGCCAAAAAACACATGAAAACATGCTCATCATCACTGGCCATCAGAGAAATGCAAATCAAAACCATAATGAGATACCATCTCACACCAGTTAGAATGGCAATCATTAAAAAGTCAGGAAACAACAGGTGCTGGAGAGGATGTGGAGAAATAGCAACACTTTTACACTGTTGGTGGGACTGTAAACTAGTTCAACCATTGTGGAAGTCAGTGTGGCGATTCCTCAGGGATCTAGAACCAGAAATACCATTTGACCCAGCCATCCCATTACTGGGTATATACCCAAAGGATTATAAATCATGCTGCTATAAAGACACATGCACACGTATGTTTATTGCAGCACTATTCACAATACCAAAGACTTGGAACCAACCCAAATGTCCAACAACGATAGACTGATTAAGAAAATTTGGCACATATACACCATGGAATACTATGCGGCCATAAAAAATGAAGAGTTCATGTCCTTTGTAGGGACATGGATGAAATTGGAAACCATCATTCTCAGCAAACCATTGCAAGGACAAAAAACCAAATACCGCATGTTCTCACTCATAGGTGGGAATTGAACAGTGAGAACACATGGACACAGGAAGGGGAACATCACACTCCGGGGACTGTTGTGGGGTGGGGGGAGGGGGGAAGAATAGCATTAGGAGATATACCTAATGCTAAATGACGAGTTAATGGGTGCAGCACACCAACATGGCACATGTATACATATGTAACAAACCTACACGTTGTGCACATGTACCCTAAAACTTAAAGTATAATAATAATAAAATTTAAAAAATATATTTAAAAAAAAAGACAGATTACCACGGAGAAAAGTAGATGAGGTGGTGCATGTTTCCACCTAGCACAGGACCTAGCCATTGTTAAACAGGGTTTTGTCTATGGCTTATAGTGACCTTTAAGTCTATTAGATAAAAGTGACCCGAAATCAGTCTGCTAGAGTCTTTACCATTAGTTGGGGAGGCTGGAAGAGAGTATAATTAGTCTACTTAATTATCATTATTCTTACTAAGGAAACTTTTTCCTATCAAGTCATTTCATAGGTTCAGCAACCAGTCTATGGATTAGGTGCCCTTAGGAAACTTGATCCCACCCCTTTGCTTAAGGAAGAGACGGAGGCTGGCTCCTTAGTCCAGCAGAGAGATGCAAGCAGGAGGATGTGGACATGCTGATTGACATGACTAGTATACTAATGTTAAGAATTAGGGTTTTCTACTCTGTACAGATAACTTTAGACTTTATTAATTAACAGATCTTATCTGCTATGGGAACAGATCCAAATTTAACATACAGCATAGCTACATTATAATTAAACACATTTTGTGATCACATCCTTCTTAATAAATAAAAGTAAGCTCTGGACATGTTTAAACATGTTTCTATTTGACAATCACAGCTTCAGTAATCTATTTAATAATAAGAAATCCCCGAATCACTCCACAGAGCTATTATTTTGTGGAAGGTCCTGCAGAAAGGGGAGGATTTTTAACCCAGTTAGTTTCCTTCAACAGATACAGGCAGATTCTTAAGTGTTACAGATAGCTAATGATACCAACTTAAAACCAAAAGGGGCAGATGGGGAAGCAGATGTAGCTGTCACCGTATATATAGGCTGAGTACGCACAGCAGGTGCACTGAATGTTCTTGCCAAAGAACCTGCAATAATAAAACATTAGCTCCCTGAAACCATGCTGGACTTTAGACTCCAAATGGAAAATAATCATTAGAGTCATTTACAACAAGCCATGTCAGAAGTGTGTATGGCACTCAATAAGTAAATATAATTTAAAAGGCCCAATGTAAATATGCAAGAAGATAAGAAGAGTCACCACATAACAAACACAAAAATAGAAGTCTGTTGGTCCAAAGTCTGCTCAGAGACTGTCACATTTACTTCTCTAACTCCAGGCAGAGTGATGTCTATCTATACTGTAATAGTTAGCTAATCAATTAACAAACATACCTAATTAAGAACATTGCATAACATGCCTTGGCAATGTATTTTATGGTCCTAAAAAGTAGGAGATATCTTCCTTAAAATAATTAAAGACCTTTTTTTTTTTTGAGATGGAGTCTCACTCTGTTGCCCAGGCTAGAGTGCAGTGGTACGATCTCGACTAACTGCAACCTCTGTCTCCCGGGTTCAAGCAATTCTCCTGCCTCAGCCTCCTGAGGATCCGGGATTACAGGCATGCGCCACCACACCCAGCTAATTTTTGTATTTTTGGTAGAGACAGGGTTTCACCACGTTGGCCAGGCTGGTCTCGAACTCCTGACCTCAAACGATCCACCCTCCTCGGCCTCCCAAAGTGCTAGGATTACACTTTGGGAGTAAACTGAGCCACCATGCCTGGCCAAAAGACAATTATTAATCAAGCCATTTCACAATTTATTACTTAGAATCTTATTTTCTCAACATCCCTATTAAATTAAGAACCTAACTCTGGGTTTTCATCAAAACCCTGAATTCAATGATAACATTCTCTTCAGTTACATGATCTTGTACTACCATTAATATTTCAGCAACCTGATGGCCTTTTTAATAGAAATACTCCTTGCTGAAAAAGATATACTTGATAAATCAATAGGCTTAATGTTCTCATTAAAAATAGAATTTTAGAATTAAACATTGCAGGAGACCATACAGGATGGCATAATCTGTGCTCGACAAAGAAGGATTGTGTCTGACTGTGCTCCCTAACTACCTTATTAGTATTTAGTAAATAATTAAAGAAGAGCAATTTCATCTATTCTCATAACTTCAGCTATTATTCCATGCTATGGCTCCCAAAACTGAGTCTCCTGAGTCCAAAATGCACATTTCCAAGTGACTGCTGGACTTCTTCCTATGGGAATCCCAAAACATGACAACGCTGCTCTTAGCTGACATTGCCATTTACATTGTGGTCTGCCTGCCACAGCAGCAGCACTGATATCACCTGAGAGCTTGTTAGAATGCAACGCCTCAGACCTACTCGATGGAAATCTGCATTTTATCATTATTCCTTGAGGATTCATGTTCAAGTTTGAGAAGCACTGCTCTGTGATTCTTTCATCTCTTCTTTACAAATGTTTTCAAACATGCAGAATACCTAACCTATTAGCATCTCACAAGGATTTGATAAAGATTAATTTTTAAACCTCTGCAGATTTACTTTTAAATTGCCTTGAAGAAAAGGCTCTAAGCCACTAAATAAAGTGAAATGTGATCCTTCCTTATTGGAGGTTCTTTATTCAGTATACTTATCACTTCAAAGTGACATCTTTACTGCTACTCATAAGTAATCTTCAGATTTGTTATTCTTAGAAAAAGTTCTAATCTCTACAAAAATTGTTGATTTTGTCAATTTTCCTATTTTGCCAAAACAAACAGTGCCGTCCCCAGAACAGGTTAAATGTACACACAGGATCATTCTGTGGATGCTTCACCCTGTACCCTGTTAAGGCAGTTGAGCAAGATCTTGACCAGAAGAGAAAACAGCAGCTTCCCCAGCACAGCAGGCCACACTTTCCACAGGAAACAGACTCATAACACCAAGCTCTACAATGTACTTTTCTTCACTTAAATACACAGTTATTGCAGTTGGAAAATATACAGTTCTGTGGAGAGTGTGTCCACGATGTCCTGCTTGGGAGCATTCTTCTAATTGGCAAACACCTGCTACATAACTGTCTACCCACTTTCTTTTAATGACAGTATCAAAGACTGCCAGATGGCCTTTTAGGTGAAAGCTAATAGCCCCTCAGATTGTGTTATTGTGTAAAATGGAGTTAAGTATTTCCCCATAAAATTCTGGTCAAAGTTGACTTTGGTATGTCATATACAAATCCTTCCTAACTCAGCAACATTCTTTTCTCTAAAGGTAAAAGTCACTCACAGCATTCAGCAACTTACAGCTGTGTTGTTTGACTTATCACTGAAGGTATTTTACAGAGGTCAGGTGACCAACAGTGATATTGTGAAGGGATCCTTGAATGAATTGGGTAAAGAGATAGGACTTAACAATTTCAATTGACCCTTTTAACTCCGAAAGTCCAGTTTCCCAAACTGTATTCATGAGTGGTGAATGTATGATGATTGTTACATCAAGTCTCACTTGAAATTCATTAGAGGAAAAGTAGATGGATCTTGATCATTAAATAACTAAGCAATTATGCTTCTTAATTGGCCTGGGCAAAAAACTTTGAATAATTTTTAAGACTAACATAAAAAAAAAACACATGTATTTTACACTTATCAGAAGAATTGATATTCAATTTTCTTCTTAGCTTTAGAAATGGATTAATACTTTCAAACTATCACTTTTTTGCTTTTATGAACGACTCCATTGATTCGTTTTGCTCATCTCATTAAAATTCTGATTTTAAGCCAGGCACGGTGGCTTGCACATGTAATCCTGGCTATTCAGAAGGCTAAGACAGAAGGATCACTTGAGGCCAGGAGATTGAGACGAGCCTGAGCACTACAGCAAGATCCTGTCTCTAAAAAAAAACAAACAAAAAAACAAAAAAACAGAAAAAGAAAAATTCTGACTTTATCATTATCTCCTTTCCCTTTCTTTCTTTAGATTTATTTGTTCTCCTTTGCTGTTTTCTTGGGTTGAATGCAACATTTACTTCTTTTCAATTCTTTCTCCAGTTGCATTTAAAACAACTTATTTCTGTGTAATAATCCCTTTTCAATACAAATTTTGGCATATTTTTACTGTTCAGTTCTAAACGTATTATGATTTTCATTGAAATTTCTCAACTTATGAGTAAATCAAACCTGATTGATTGGTTTCCTAACGATTTAACAAGGATAGAGCAGTAGGTTTGAATTGTATTATCACCCCATGCCAGCAATTATAAACAAATGCAGTAATAAAATACTCCAACCTGAAAAAACTTTTATTGGTCTACGATCTATACAATTGCTGTAGTTACTCCCTGAGTTTTAATAATGTGTGTGTAACCGTCTGATTAGTACATTTTTATAAGTTATCTTTCAATAAACATTGTGTTCTACATGGAACTTAATTCAGAGAACCCCCAGTTATACAATGTGTCCTGAACATACATGGATACCCTTACATTTAGAAAGTAAGTTAGTAACAATTTTTGAATAATTTCCCCTCTCTTAGAGTTGCAGTTTGTGTCTTGAATATCTATGGCACTACATTTTTTTTGAACTGTTTTTTAAAACTAAAGGACTAACCAAAAAAACATATCATTCCATCAGTGGTGCAATTTAAGTTTTTCCCGCTGTGAAGTTTTAGATAAGATTAATCGGAGACCAAAATATTTGCAAACAGTACAAATCAGGCTTGAACAATGTAGAGTAAAATACTGAGCTTTAAAATTGCTCCTTAAAAATTAGTACACAGAAAATGTAGAAAAAGGTAGGCAATAACAAAATGTAAGAAAAGACATATAGAAAAAAAAACCGAGTCTCAAAGAAAAGCAACAGAAGATGCTGGTCAGTATAATCCATAGGTAGGGAAGAAAAAAAAATCAAAAATATTTAGTAATGTAACTTCAGTGTTGCATACCTTAATATTATTCTATTCACTGAATAATAATACATTACGCCTAGAACAGCAGTTGTTTCAATAGATAAACAAAGGAGGAAGAATAAACAGAAGAAAGGAGACTTAATTTCATAAACTATTAAAAAGCAAACAAGAAAAATAGAAACATCTGTAAAATAACTTGATAAAATCATCAAGATGAATGCAAGTCAAGCATTTGAAGAGCACAAAAAATACATATGCATGTATACTGGATACATGGGAAATGAAAATAAAAATGTAAAATGGATGTTAGAAAGGAAATAATATACAGCTGGGCGAGATGTCTCATGCCCTGTAATCCTAGCACTTTGGAAGGCCGAGGCAGGAGGATTTCTTGAGGCCAAGAGTTCAAAACCAACCTGGCCAACAAAGGGAGACCTCGTCTCTATTTTTTTTTAATTTAATAAAAGATAAAGAAAGGAAATAATCCTAATTTGTCAGCAGTTTAAAAATAACTGAAAAAATACCATGTTCATTTAAAATAAAAGCAAGTGCAATAAGCCATGGAATTTAATTTGTAGTGGCCAGTAAAGAATGCATTTGCTTTTGACACTATATAGATACCAAATACCACACCTAAATTAATGCTTGGGTACAACTAGAACCCCTCCCCAATACACCTTTTTAACTGTGTCTTTTATACCATTTTTCTAGGAGAGAACTGGGGTATGATCTGATATATAGTATTCAATGTTACCAGGCCAAAGTGTCTGGACTTTATTGGGTGGGCAAAAGGCAATTACTGAATGAGACCTGTATTCAGAAATAGCACTCTTGTTGCAGTGTGTAAAGTGAATTGAAAAGAGGGATAGAGAATAGGAGACTGGAGAAAGTAGGCTAGTTAGGAGGGTATTTCACCAAACCATGTGAGATATAATGAAGGCAGAATAGCAGTAGGATAGAGAACTGGAAACAGATTATGGAAATACTAGAGAGGTTGAATTTGTACAACGTGGTTACCAAAGATGTTGAGGAGAGTAAGAGTTGAAAATGATTCTTTGGTTTCTGGCCTGAACTGGACAACTAAGTACACTCATTAGATGCAGTCTCTGAGTCTGGGGATATGAGAGGGAAGTCTATCAACTGGGGAACTAAATAGAGAAATGTCAGCTCAGTTTTGGAATCTGCCAATAAAAGAATAAATTTATCCTGTTACACCAAAATATCTGTGTACACAGATGATGTCTAAGATCATTTTTAGAGATTATGCCAATAGAGGTAGTAGGTTCAAAAATGAATTCCAAAATAGTTCCGGGTAATATACCAAAGCCTCTCAGTGCTGCTAATAATTTAGCAAATATTCTTTACCTGTCCTGCTGTATTAGTCTGTTTTCACATTGCTATAAAGAACTACCTGAGACTGGATAATTTTTGGAGAAAAGAGGTTTAATCGACTCACAGTTCCACAGGTTTAACAGGAAGCTTGACTGGGAGGCTTCAGGAAACTTACAGTCACGGCAGAAGGTGAAGGGGAAGCAAGCACGTCTTACCATGGCAGAGCAGGAGAGCGAGAGAGCAAAGGGGGAAGTGCCACACACTTTTAAACAATCAGATCTCACGAGAACTCAATATTATGAGAACAGCCAAGGGGGAAATCCGCCCCGACGATCCAGTCACCTCCCACCAGGCCTCTCCTCTAATTTGACATGAGATTTGGGCAGGGACACAAATCCAAACCATATCATCTACGTTCTTTAAAAGGGTGCTGTGGTCTAAATGTTTGATTCCCTCAAAGTTCCTATGTTGAAACCTAATCTCCAGTAGACATTTAAGAGGTGGTGAAACGGGAAAAGTCCCCTTATCCCCCTGGCAGGGTGTACGATGGGGGTGTGGCTGGCTTCCTCAGTTCCCCAATGCTCCAACCTCAAGGAGGAGCACGCAGACAGGCAGGCTGTGGGACTCCGACCCCACAGCAGTGTTCAGGGGTGAATGTTCACAGCTGAAACCCAGCGTGTGTTACAGTACGCTCTTTCACTTTAGGCATCTGTAGGCAGTTTGTGTCAGCTCAATTAGATCTCCTGCCTTATCTCAAGGACAGAGGGCTTTCTGTATCCCAGGGTTTCTTACCTTGGTGTACGGGAAGAATCGGATCCCACGTGGGCTTGGGGAATGGGTGCAAGGTTTTATTGGGTGGAAGTTCTCAGCAGATGGATGGGGAGCCAGAAGGGAGATGGAGTGGGGAGGTGGTTTTCCCCTGGAGTCAGGCAGCTCAGCAGCCCGGGCCCTCCTCCGGCCACCCCAGCCAAACTCTGTGTCGTTCCACTGGTTGGCCTGCCGGTGTCTACTGGAGTCTCCCGGTGTGCTCTTTGCCGGCATGCCCCTCTCGACGTCCTGCTGCTTTTGTGTTCTTCCGCCAATGCATTCCTCTTGATATCCAGCTGCATGTGTTGTGCCCGCTAGGGTCTTGGGGTTCTTAAAAGCACAGGATGGGGGCATGGTGGGCCACAGTGGTCTTGGGAAATGCAACATTTGGGCAGGAAAACAGAAATGCTAGTCTTCACCTAGGTCTGTAGGCACAGGCCTGAGGGTGAAGCCCTAGCCAAGGACCACGCCCTTCCCTTCCTGGCACTTCTCTGCCTCCCTCCCAGATCAGTGGGGCCTTCAGGAAGTGACTAGAGCATGAGGGGTACATCCTCATGAATGGGGTTACTGCTTTTACAAAAGGTGTCTGTGGAAGCTTGTTCACCTCCCTCCCTTTCTCCATGTGAGGACGCATAGAAGGTGCCACCTACAAAGCAGAGAGCCATCACCACACACCAACTCTATGGTGCACCTTGATTGTGGACTTCCCAGCCTCCAGAACTGTGAGAAATAAATTTCCATTGTTTATAAATTACCCAGTCTAGGGTATTTTGTTCTAGCAGCGCAAAAGAACTAAGACAGGGCTAAACATTCAACAGTCTATGTAGGTAGATAATAATTTAGAAATAGACACATTATACACAAAAATGATCCCAGGTGATTGCTTTTAAATGGTGAACTAAAAGGGTATATTTGTTCATCCTTATCCCTAAATTCAGCTGTAACTGATTTAGAAGTAGAGGACAGTTTAGGGCTAAGTACCAAGACAAGAAACAATGGCACAACACTTAAGAACATAACTTAAGAGGCCAAGCACTTAAAGAACATAACTTAAGAGGCCAAGCAAATTAAACAGGTGTCATCATTACAATGTCTTTCCTCAATTCAAAATACGTGAACTTGGCTGGGTGCAGTGGCTCACACCTGTAATCCTAGCACTTTGGGAGGCTAAGGCAGGTGGATCACTTGAGGTCAGGAGTTCAAGACCAGCCTGGCCAATACGGTGAAACCCTATCTCTACTAAAAATACAAAACTTAGCCAGGTGTGGTGGCAGGCGCCTATAATCCCAGCTACTTGGGAGGCTGAGGTAGGAGAATCGCTTGAACCCAGAAGGTGGAGGTTGCAGTGAGCTGAGACTGTGCCACTGCACTCCAGCCTGGGCAACAGAACAAGACTCTGTCTCAAACAACAACAACAACAAAAAACTACATGAACTTCTATCTCCCTTTTTAAAAACACACTAGCCTTACAACAAAAATGAGTAACTATTGGGAGTGATAAAAAATACTCTAAAATTGATTGTGGTGATGTGGTTACATACATAACTTCACGAAAATACTCAAAACTATTAAATTGTGCACTTTAAGTGGGTGAAGTGTATGATGTGTGAATTATATCTTAAAGTTGTTATTTTTTAAATGAGTAGCTTTTAAATCTAATGATTTTAAATACTCTAATTTTACATTAGGCTTCTCAGGTTTTACTAGATTTCAAAATAGCCAGAAAAACAGTGAAAAGTATATTTTATTGGCATTTAGGCCTAGCGTAGTTCAATTCAAATAAAATATAACAAAGCAACTTATTTAAGCTAATTGAATATAACACATAAACAATTTTTTCTTAAGTTTCTGCTTTACCATCATATGATTGTGTTCATGCAAGTACAATCATTAAAACTGTCCTCCTAAGCATATATCATAGCACCACCTTTTATTTGCAGTACTTGATATGTAAATTTCATTGTCAAAACATATCTGGCTTTATCAATGTAAACATATTTGCTACAAGTAAACTTTAAAGGTAAAAGTGAATACTAATGAATAAATCAAAATAGAACTGAGCATCACATGATATAATTAAGCAAACATTATATAATACTGTTTCAATAAGAACCACAACTTAATACATTTCACAAAAAGGAAGGAAAAACAAAAAGTAATGTGTAAACTGCCAAAATAGTGTTAAAATACTGAAGGATATAATGCAAAATTTACCTCTGAAAAACAAGGGGAAAACAACAAAACCATGCTGTGAAAACTAAATTTGGTTTAGTAGTTACAACCGTCATTTTACTGCAAAGGCTTACTAAAATGCACTCCAACAAAACCATTTATTTTCTATCTCCCCTTTTAAAAAAACTACTGCGTTTAGTCACATAAGTTGGATATTTTGTGGAAATTTCACATTTTTTGTCAGCTGCGGGATTGTTACCCAAAAAAACCTTTCATCTCTAAACTATCTTTCCAAATAACCAAAAACATTATCATCATGAAAATTACCATTATAAAATCAAATAATTCCTAAACAAATCATAAAAATAAATCTGCCTTAACCTAGTAAGTACAGAAAAAGTGTATACATAAGTGCTGAAAATTACAGAAAAATATTCAATGAATAAGCAAAAATGTTCACATTTATCATTACTATTGTTTTTTTGCTTTCTGGCTAAAATTAAGGAACAAGTTTTTAAAAGGTGAGCAAGAAAATTCAGTGCCACTTTGGGTCTGTCTGCAATATACAAATGAGTTACATCTGTAGTACGAGGCAGACTCTATTTTTTATTAAACATAATTAAGTTATAAAGACTTCAAATTTCTAGAACCAGCTATAACACTGTGGTAAGCAAAATAAATTTGTTCTTATTGCTCTCATTATAATTCCAGCTTAATCTACAAATGTGAACATTTTCCATATGTTGTCTCAAACCATACTAATACAAAAAATATAGAGCAATATCTGTTGGTTTCCACAGATAAATGGAAAAAGGAAAAAATGAAATTTGAATATTATTTCATCTTCTTAAGTGTCTTTAACATTATTAGCACTTCAAGCAGCACTGGACACAGCAAGTTTCTTCAAGTGATCCATAAACACTTGTAAACTAACATCATCTGTAAGAATAGGTGCTCCAGACTCCTAGAGGAAAAAAGATATTTGTTATGATTAAAGCATAGGGTGATATCATGGAATTTATACACAAATGTTTAAAATAGACAAGGAAATCATTTGAAATGCCTATGGTCCTATTAAATAAAAAGAATCTAACTGGCCTCCGTCCCTGGTTGCTGGGAGGGAGACTCTACATCCTTAGAATTCCCTGATAATAGGAGTGTCTTTATTCATAGGCTGATGGGATCACATAGGAGTTTATGCTATGAGATGAGATGAATCAGGATGGCGGCTAGTCACCACGAAGACTAACAATGGAATTAGAGGCTTGGTGCTTTTAAAAGAAAGCCTGACCTCCAGACCCTTTCTCCCTGGCATTTTAAGAGAAATCCCAGCTGGAAGGAAGCAAACTCATAATATCATTTTTTAAATAAACTATGCTTCTCAAGTTTTCAGGTCGTTTTAATTGATTTCTGTAGGTTCCAAGTAATTAACAAGAGTTAGGGAAAATTCCTATTATCCATTTTAATAAAAACTGTATTGACAGAATGATCTTGGTAACCCAATCCATTAACAATGAAATTTTACTTCAGCAAGAGAAGGTATTTCTAGAAGATTTTTAATCTGAATTTTACATTTTTCTTCTTATACTCAAGTTCTTATTAATTATAAATATTCAAAGTCTAAAACAGGGAAATTAAGTAATTTCAGCAAATTATTGGCAAATGTGAGATGAGAACTTATAGCTCCTGTGATTCTAGTCTGGCATAGCCACAAACATGCCATAACCTCTCCTGAATAAAGGGAAATCAATTTTATCATATGTTTATTCAAAAGAACTTGAAAGATTTGATAATGAAGGGAGGCAATCCCTTACTGGGATTAAGGGCATAGAGTCTGGATCCAGAATGCCTAGGCTCAAATTCTGGCTCTGCCACTTCCTACCCATATGACTGAATAAGTTATTTAAACTATGTCTTAGTTTCCCCATGTGTAAAACAAGGATAATAACAGGACCTATCTTACACAAGTTGTTGTAATGATTAAATGAGTTAAATTCTATAAAGCAAACAGAACAGTACCTAGTACACACAGTAGACATACATGTTTTAGCTATTTCTATTGTTCCTCCTGTTCAAAAATCTATAACAATGAAATACTTTTCTTTATTCTATATGCATAGCTAACACAGAAAAGCACAAGTCTCAAAACTGTAACCTAAACCAGTAACAACCTCATGGCTCTTACTTTTTTCTTCCTGTAACTATGCCTGATTTTATTTTCATTTTACAATGTTTTCCATCTCAAGTCACCCAATCTCAGAGCCATTTCTCCTAGTCAAGACAAAATATAAGGATTTCCTAATTTATATACCACAGAGCTCCTGCTTGAAATGATAAATACCAATGCTCATTCGATTTTATAAAAAATTAGCAGTTAGCTGATCTCAACTTTTCAAATGGACCCTTTTTCTATTTAAAATATATCCAGGATTAGGCAGAAAGGTACAAGCTTTACATTATTTAGTATATGAGGCACTACAGCAACAGAGGCCTCCAGCACTGTCACAGAAGTGTTGCAGTGGTGCCCTCTTACGGCCGTTCATGGATAATACTTATCATAGGGTCCTTGATTTCTGACCCCCAAAAAATCCTGTAAGCTATTAGAGTCCATTAATTTTTAGTAAAATTCTTGGTTACTGTTATTTCCTTTAAATGCAATCATCAAATTAACTTGATTAAAAATTCAGAGTCTGGAGTTAGACCTTGGTTAAAATCTAGACCCTGCCACAGTTTAGCTACATGATCTTGCATAAAATACTTAATCTATATGAGCCTCAATTTCCTCTCATGAAATATAGGATTACTAGTATCCACCTTATAAAAGTTAATTAAATGAGAGTACACTAAAAGCATAGTGACTAAAACAGTAGATTCAGTGTATTAGATATTATGATTATTAAAATATTGACATCATTACTCATAAAAATCTTAAGAAAGACCTGAGCACTCTTATTTATGCCTGTAATGCCCCTACTTCCAGGCAGTAACAATTACACTTCAGAGTTTAAAATAGGTTTCCTTTCCCATGTTAAATATAAGAAGTGACTTTTTTTTCCATTGATAATAGTGAAAACTAATAGCTAACATTTACTGAGTATTACTGTCCATTTCAAGCATGTTTTATTAAACTCTATAGACAAGGAAGTGAAAACAAAGAGAAGTCAAGTAACTTGCAGAGTCTGCATTTTCCATTACCAGCCTTCCACCCTTCCAAGATTACTTTTTATAACCTCCCCAACTTTTAGAACTTTTGGACCTGGGATTCAATTTATTTACCTATATTACAAAAACTCTTAACTCCTAGCCACCTCCACAGATTTCCAATATTCTAATCTCTGCTCTCTCCTGTCCAGATCTATTGTATTCAATATATGCTATGTTTAAGGTCCTATGGAAAATCAAAAATGAAAATGACAGTTATTGCCTCAAGTAATTAATAATCTAACAGGAGCAATGCCATAAAAAATGGAGGCGGGAAAAGGGATGACAGGACAGGGATATTACACAAATTCAATCATGCAATTGTAGGACGGTGCTATGGTTTGAATATCTGTCCCTTCCAAAACTCATTTTGAAAATCCCCAATGTGGCAGTATAAAGGTGGGGCCTTTAAGAGGTGACTGGGTCATAAGGGTTCCGCCCTCATGAAACAATTAAAATCTATTCATGGATACTCCCAGGCACAGTGGCTCACACCTGTAATCCCAGCACTTTGGGAGGCAGAGGTGGGCAGATCACGAGATCAGAAGATCGAGACCATCCTGGCCAACATGGTGAAACTCCATCTCTACTAAAAATACCAAAAAAATTAGCTGAGTATGGTGGTGTGTGCCTGTAGTCCCAGCTACTCAGGAGGCTGAGGCAGGAGAATCGCTTGAACCCAGGAGGCAGAGGTTGCAGCGAGTCGAGATCGCGTCACTACACTCCAGCCTGGCAACAGAGCAAGACTCCGTCTCAAAAAAAAAAAAAAAAAAAAAAAAAGAACATTATGGAAGCATGCTCTAGATATTTTTAGTAAATAAAATAGGCCCTCACCACTGCTGCAAAAGCGTTTTATTAATCTTCAGTTGATTTTTGTATTCTTTAGAACTGTTTTTAATCTTTTCTAGTTTTTTTGGCCCCTAACTCCAGCCTTTTTCACTCCTAAATAATCTCATATTATTGAAAAGAAACAGGCAATTATCCAATGTGAGTTTTCACTCCACCTAAAAACCTTTCTGTCTTCACCCTTCTTACCTTTTGCTTTTGCAGAAATAAGTGCCCTGCCTCCTTACCAATGCTTAACGTCCATATACTGCTTATGATCATATTGTCTCCTGAGGATCTTAAATATCTGTTCTTTTGTGTCTTTCCTATGCTTGGTCTCCAAATAAGTTCTGTGCCCTTACCGTAATAACAATCATCTGCCTATCCTACTGCTTATCCTCAGGTTAAATTTGCAAAAGAATCATTTATACTTTCGACCTCCGCTTCTTTCTCACCCACTAATTCCTTATAAATTTATCTTCTTACTCAACCACCATACTAAAGCCGCTTACACAATGCCACGAATAACCTCCTAGCCATCAAATCCAAGCACCTTTTCTCACTCTGTATCCCTCTTCAACTGTCTGCGGCATGTCAGTTTGTTACCTCCTTCTTCTTCCTTCTATAAAGTCACCTTTTATGACATACTATTCTTTTCATTCTGCCTCTCTGATAATTCACTAAACACTCCTACCACTTGTACTCCCCTGAAGTTTTTGTCTCATCTCTCCTTTACCTCTTTACTCTCTCTTCAGACAAGCATTTACTGTGATGACTTTATCACCTTTCTCATTCTTGCCCTGACCATCAAACCCAAATTGCCAACAGCCCACTCAACATGGCCATAATCAATATGGTCATCTTATTGTGGCTCAATAAGGCCTTCTAGATAGTACCTCAAACTCAGTGTCTAAACCAAACAATTTCTCTCCACTCTCCCATTTATTGACATATGTTTTCCTAGTCACTCAGGCTTAAAACCCCAAAATACCCTGTTTCCCCTCACCTGTTTTTTAAAAATTCAAGACTACATTAAAGTTGAGAGAGAAGTACAATAAACACCCATATAGCATACCTACATTCACTGACTGTTAACATTTTGCCACGTATGCTTTATGTTTCTACATTATTTTTCCTTTTTTCTTCTTTTTGTTGAATAACTTCTGGAAGTTGAAGCCATCATGACATTTTATTCCTAAATACTTCAGGATGTATCTCCTAAGATCAAGAAGAATCTCCTACATAACCACACCATTATCACTCTCAAGAAATTTAATAATTCTGTACTAGTTATCTGATATATGATCTATATTCAAATCTCACAAATTATCCCAATTATGTTCTTTATAGCTATTCTCTCCCTTTAATCCAGGATTCAATCAGAATTCAGATTTTGTGCATAGTTGCCATGCCCTGGAATAATTACTTTCCTGCAACTTCTAATCAAGTCCTATTGAGTCTACTTTTAAAATATCTCCCAAATCTATTCCTTTCACCATCTTGCCTTTACTCCCTCTCACTTGGATTATTTTCGTAAATATACTTTCAACCTACAGACTGCTTCCATTTAATCTTAAGATTCAACTATACTAAGACTCAAATCTGCCCTCTGTCCACCTTCAATGACTCTCCATTACTTACCAAATAAATACTCAACTTCTCACTCCTCAACCTGACATTCAAGATCCTCCACAATTTACTTGTACAACACATTTCCGTTTTATGTTCTTCTAGTCAGCTCTGCATGTAGTCTTTTATCTTAGCCCATACTATTCTCTACCTAGATTTCCCTTCCTCATGCAATTTCCAATTACTGAAATAACCATTCTTTAAATGAAATGTTTCTTTTTTCTGAGCTCTTTTCTGATTACACACCCTCTTCCTGCTACCACTATGTGACCTCTTGCCATCTTCCTCTTCTAACCTTTGTAATACTTCATAGCTTTCTAAGGACAAATATCCCATTCTGCCTTGTAATTTACTTAGGTATGTATTTTATCTCTAATATTAGACTACAAGCTCTCCAAAGGCATGGGTAATAACTGCACCCTAAAGAGCCAATACAAAGTCCTAAACATACTGGACACTCAATAAATGTTGATATGTTATACCAAGAGGTTAACACTTTTTTTTTTTAAGAGATGGAGTCTTGCTATGTTGCCCAGGCTGGTCTCAAACTCCTGGCCTCAAGTGATCCTCCTGCCTCAGCCTCTTGAGCAGCTGGGATTACAGGCATGAGCCACCACACCCAGCAGGACTTTTACCAAATTAAACTATATCAATAATGATTTGCAGGGTTCCTGCCCCTCCTTCTCAACTATGATCCCTGGCCTCTCTTGGCTTATCGTGGCCTTTTGTGGTTCACAACCTAGCATTAAACTGGAGTCACCACTTCCTGTCTTACACACTTCATTGCTTTTTGTCTCAAGGGTATAGTGCTAAACTTGGAGTCTATTTGATAGGATCACTTTTGTCCTATGGTGTCGCCAAATATTAATTCTGTTTTCTACTCTCATTTTTACATTACTTTTCCAACAGAAACCATTACTAAATACACAGGAAAAAAATGTAGCTTTCACTAAAATAATAAACAATAAATACACAAAGAAATAATTTCCAAGACCTGCTATTTAAACTTACCTGCCCCCAGGCATACATATTATTATGAGTCTGTGAAGGGTTGACTTTTGAAAGGAGGAAACGGGCCTTAAAAGCAAAGAAGAAATAACATTATCCATCAAAAATGGTTTCAGTCAATATCAGCTGAATAATTATATCATGCAAAATCAATTTTATTTAGTATGTGTTGGTAAAATTAATTTTATTAACTTAATTTTTAAAAGATTAAACTTTGAAATGTATAGGTCACTAAGTGTTACAAATAAATAATAAATGCACCTCTTCTCTCCAAATCATACATCCAAAATAACAAATACATTGTTGAGTCCAAAACTCAGCATATAAAAATTATGTGTGCAACAATTATGACAAGGTTGGTGTGAAATTACTAAACACTTGGTCAGAAGTTCAAAATCCCAAATAATGATAAAAACAAAAGCCATGAAAATCTGTATGTTCTTTTGCTTAAAATAATGACCCTTAAGCTTTCTTAAACCACAGGTGATTCTATGAGACAAGTGATCCAACATTTTATCCTTCTACCCACTATGGCTTATCATCATGAAAATAATAACCAGAATAAAAGAGGAAAATGGTAATACACACAGTGAGACATCAATGAAAGAACCAGTAAGATTTTTAACTCATAATGGAAGCACATAGACAGTAACATCTTTTGAAATTTAGTATCATACAAAATCTTTTTCTACTCTCTAAGGAATCAGTTTAACCTAACAGTGAAGAGCACTGGCCCTGGAGTACCAGGACTCAAATCCCACTCCTGTATTTACTGTGTTCCCTTGGCCATAAGTAACCTAGATCTCAGTTTTATTATCTGTTAAATGAAAATAACACTAGAATTCTTATGAGGATCAAATGAGATAAGGCATGCAGAAGTACTTTGCAAATTCTCAATATGAAATAACTCTCATATAAATACAGTAAAACTAATAGTAATTATCATTTCTGAATAACAGTTACTGATATTTGCTACCTATTTTATAATACCGTACTAGGCACTAGGGAATACAAAGCATAGTCCCTGCCTTCAAAGAGCATGTAAAACAAATTAATAACAACTTATAATTAATTTATTATAACTCTTATAAGAATTACAAAAGAGAAGTAAGAAGTATTTTATGAGAGTATGTTAAGGAACCTAACTTAGCCTTCTGAAGGTCTCAAAGCAACTGTGTATGTATGTATATGTATCTAACGTATATGTATCCTCAAAATCCTAAAAGCCACAAAACCTTTTCATAATACTACAGTGTTTTCCTATTACATAAAATTTTATTTTCTAGAAAATTGGAATGATAGAATGAAGACAATGAAAAAATGTAAGTTACCACAAATGTCATATTCATAGACTTTAACAGTAAATAAACGGCTTTAAGAAAAGTATATTACTTTCCAAGCTGTTCACATTTTCTTGTTCAACCAAAGCTAGTATACCACCACAATGCCATCCTGGCCCTGTTCAGGAAGCTAGGCTAGAGACAGAAGATGATGGAAAGTGCCAGGTTTAGGCAACTAGTCAATAATCTTACTGTTTTGCTCTCAAAAGCTAATGCAAAAAGTAAGCACTGATACCTTCCCCACCTATCTCCTTACCTTTCTGTCTGCTTTATGAAGCAATCTATTAAAATCAGAAGGCAAGCAGGTACACCTCACTGCAAACCTAACAACAAACAAACACACAAACAAATTAACACTACTTACCTGGCTGCCTCCATGTTCAGTGTCAATGTATCTTGGCATTGGAAATCTGGAGTGAAGAATTTCCTGTGCATCATCCACTGGGGCTTGCAGAAGGTGGCGGAAATTTTCATACTCAGGCATATCCTGGTATCCTGACTTCCGCCACTGTGCTATGGTCTAATTTTAAAACAATTAAAGAAATTACTTTAAATTTCTTGCCCATCCAAAAATCTTGAGATTTTTCCAAAGAAAATAATCTTTAGAAACTAAAAAAATTATAGACCATTATTCCATTTACCTCAATTTTTTAAAAGTTACAATTTCAGTAGAGAAAATATTCTTAATAAATATAAAATTAGAATATTTCTTCTCCTTTAAAAGTAAAATGAAAGAATACTTACATAAGTCAGAAAATTTTTAAAACACTATGCTTATCAAATGAATGTTAGCTAAAAGCTATCTACCTAAGCTTATGATACGTGAAAGCAATTGAATCAATCCATAGGTAAGTAGCTCTAAACACCATGTAATTAAATCATCTAAAAACTTATGCCTGGTTTATTTTCTAAGTTAGCTGAATCAGTCAACACATTCTTTTATAGCTTTATACCTCTGTATAAAACAATCATGTGCATTTCTGATTTCTCCTTTAACAAGCTACTTGAAAAAGTAAAAATCACCATAAAACAAAGAAAAAGCAAAAAAAAAAAAAAAAAAAAAAAAAGCCCTGTCAGTATTACAGGTTTTTTTTTTTTTTTTAACAAAGGCAAGAAGTTAAAACAGGTATTATTCTTAACAAGTAAAGGGCATTAGAAACTGGTATCAATTAAAAATAATTTACAATAATAATAATTAAATCTTTTAAAACTCCTGGGTAGGTCGGGCGCGATGGCTCACGCCTATAATCCCAGCACTTCGGGAAGCCAACACGGGCGGATCACCCGAGGTCAGGAGTTCGAGACCAGCCTGGCCAACATGGTGAAAACCTGTCTCTACTAAAATGCAAAAATTAACTGGGCGTGGTGGCATGTGCCTGTAATCCCAGCTACCCAGAAGGCTGAGACAGGAGAATCGCTGGAACCCGGGAGGCAGAGGCTGCAGTGAGCCAAGATAGCGCCACTGCACTCCAGCCTGGGTGAAAGAGCAAGACTGAGTCTCAAAAAAAAAAAAAAAAAAGTCCTGGGTAGTACTACTTCAAAGAATATTTTGAGTAATGTCTTTACTATTACAGTACAAATCTTTTCTAAAAATTTTTTTGTAGAGACAGGGTCTCACTATGATGCCCAGGTTAGTCCTGAACTCCTGGGCTCAAGTAATCCTCCTGCCTTGGCCTCCCAAAGTGCTGGAATTAGAGGCGTGAGCCACCACACCCAGTCACAGTGCAAATCTAAAATCATTTACAATTAAAGCAACTGAAAAAATAAATCTGCAGAACTTAGTAAAACACTAGACTGTAAGTTTGAGAACAGATCTGTGAAAAAAGAACACATCTATATCTTCCAAAGCATCCAGAGGAAGCACTTAACAATTGGCTGAATGAGTAACTGCAGGAATGCATCAAGGTCTGCTAAATACCTGGATTAAAGCTTAATAGCTACTAAAATCTTCTGCTCTCTGTAATCATTTACCATTCCAATGAAGTTACAAATTTTAATTCATGTATGCTTTAAATGAGTTTTCAAGATCATGTAGAACACTTAATAATAACTTATAATGATTGCATAACGTAAAAGGAAAGCCTGCCCACTGACAAAGGCTGACTTTTCCCCCCTTAATGTTTTCAGGTAAAACCCAAAAGTGCCATTTGTCTATGTACAGTCAGTGTTCTTACTTTCACAACACTGTGCTTTGCGCAAAATCCAATTGTGTGACAAATGAATAAAATAATCACATGTGGGTCAACTGCAATTGAAGCCTAAAACCTTATAGTAGGCAGCATCATATTTTATTATTTTATAAAAATGGAAATCAAAGTTTATCATAGATGAAACACTAGCCATACAATTAGAAGTAAGAAAACCTTTCTAAGTAAAAAGACTTTACATGCATAGCTTTAAATGCTATTGAAATCTTACCTCACCATGATAAATCAAAATCTGGAAGAATGTGTCCATGAGAAGAATACGATCTGCAAGAATGCTACTGCTATCAAGAAGAACCGGCTAACGTAAAGAAAACAATGAGAAATGAGGAAAAAGGAAAAATAATCTACTCAATAATATAAAATAGATGTTTCCAGGTTATTTTCCAAGTTTCTTTTATTTATTTATTTATTTATTTTTTTGGAGAAGGGTCTTGCTCTGTCACCTAGGCTGGTGTGCAGTGGCATGATCTCAGCTCACTGCAGCCTCAAACTCCCAGGCTTCAGCAATCCTCCCAACTCAGACCCCCAAGTAGCTGGGACTACAGGTGTGTAACACCATGTCCAGCTAGTTTTTTCATTTTTTTGTTTGTAGAGATGGGGTCTCACTATGCTTCCTAGGCTGGTCTCAAATTCCTGGGCTGAAGTGATCCTCCTGCCTTAGCCTCCCAAAGGCTGAGATTACAGGCTCAGCACTAAATTTGAAACTTAGGCCATGATGGCCTAAATTTGAAATTTATATTTTATTACCTAAAATCTCTTGCTATTATGAATTCTTATAGTGTATTTTAATTTTTTAAGGAATCCCTTTAAGCTGAGGTAACAAACAATTTAAAAATAGAGTAAAGTCAAGAAGAATTCAAGGATAACTCCTAAGCCTAAATGGGGAAAGGCCTGGGATAGAGCAAATTTGGAGCACATGGGAAAATAGTTCTGCATATGAAATGAAAGGGAGTGGTCTGAACTGATGACATAAATCTAGGTGTCACATGCACAAAGATTAAAGCACAAAGATTAAAGCAATGGGATTAGACTACATCACTGAGAGGGAAGACAGGGAAAGCCAGAAGATTGATCCCTTAAGCATGTCAACACTTAGAGGTCTGAAAGGGAAAAGCTAGCAAAAGACTGAGAAAGAACGGTGAGTGAGTAAGAGGAAAACCAGGAAGGTATAGGTGTCACAGAAGCCTAGGGCAAAAGGTTTTCAAGGGCTGAGTACTAGTGAAGACTAGGTAAATACTGTTGAGAGCTCTGGTGAGATGTAGGACATTGGTGGTCTTTATAAGAGCCATTTCAATATAATGTTAGGGACAAAAGTCTTACTTATATAGGTTGAGAAGACAATGTGAGGTGAGAAAGTATAAACAACAAATAACTTTTTTGAGTTCAACTCTCACCAGGAGCAGAGAAATGGGGTGGCAGTTAGAGAAAGCGTGGGTCATGGTGGGGGTGTTTTGGCCGTTTGTTATAAACCTGACTGTTGTTATGGTTTCTATGTTAATTAATAAGAATGATCCAGATGGACAGAAAGTAATTATATAGAACAGAAAGAAGATAACTCCAAAAGCAAAACCCTAAGAACATGAAGCTGATAGGATTCATGGATTAAATGAAAAGGTTGAAATTTAATAGGAGCAGGCACTAGGGACAGTGGGATTCCAATTTTCTTCTAAACACCATTCTACATTTTTCAGATGTCTACATGCACGTTATTACTCAGAAGAAAAAAAAGTTACTTCTAAAACATTCCTGATTCAAAGAATACAAGGCAAAATACATATAGCCAAACCAACATATTAAAAATATATATTTCCTAGAAAAATAGAAACTATTTGACCAATTACAAAAAAATCATTGTAACGAAATAAAATATTTTACCCATTATTTTACAAAACCGTGAATAATAGCATCATGAGGGATCATTAATCAATAGATATTGTAAATATTCTCTTTATATTGACCTTACTATTTTCAAATACAGTAACTACACACTTTTAAGTAGTAAAACAGACCATTTTAACTACAGAATGGAAAAATGGTTCATTTGATAACAGGTTAAAATAAGTGGGACAGTCTGCTAAGAAGGTTAAATGGATAACTTTATCAATCTTCTAAGCATGTGTCTTTATAATCAACTATTTTTTATGTTCTCAAAAAAACAAAGGAAAATGAGATTAAAACAAGAGCCTTTGTTTAGACAGAATGTCATAACTGTCACAGACACTAAACTCTGGAATAAGCTACAGTCTACAGAATTATAATCACTTCTGGACATTGTTAAAGACGTAAAGAATAATCATATGCTTTGGAGGATTTGATTAACCAAATGGCTGGACAAAATGATCTGAAAGTCTCTTCCATCTCCTTTAAAAAAAAAAATTTAACAATCTTCTAATACAGCCTACATGGTATCTAGCATATAGTAAACATTCATAAATATTTTAAGCGAATACATTAATAGGTTGAGATGTCCATTCTTTTAGTTAAATTCTTATATTTAGTAACTATATGCATTTTTTTAGTTATTTTCACTTTTTTAATGCCACACATTGCAGTAACAAGACCAATTTATTTTTTTCTGTCCCTCTTACCTCTGGTGGTCCACTAAAAGAATACGCATACAGGATAGGCTGAATCATAATTAGAGACTGGGTCAGATCTTGACGCATAAAATGGTGACGATAATATGAACTCTCATCAGGACTATTGTTAAAAACTTGCAGGAAAGAAGATCTTCTTAAATGAAACATAAACTGTAAGATAAACACGTAAGATAGTTGTTACTGATTTTAATATTAAAACAGGTGTTTACTATTAGCAAAAATATTTGATTACAAACTATTAACAACATAACAAAACATGTTATTATAAGAATGTTCTAATTTATATCCCTCAGGAAAGGAATCCTATTCACAAAATTTATCAGCTGCCTAAAAATAAAATTCCACAAGAAAAAAAATTTAAGAAAGAAAAAAAAAATTTTTAAGTTAAAGTAAGAAAAGGATGGCTGGGCATGGTGGCTCACACCTGTAATCCCAACACTCTGGGATGGCTTGGGGCCCAGGAGTTGGAGACCAGTCTAGGCAACATAACAAGACTTTGTATTTAAAAGGAAAAAAACAAAAAGACAAAAACCCCTTGCTCAAATCTAAGTTATTCAGAGGCTGACGCCAGGTAGTAAAACTATGACCATTCTTTGTTTTTAATCTTCACACGTCTGACCATATCTTTGGGCTTTTTTATTACTACTCATTACCAACACCAAAGATTCTAAGAACATATAAAAATAAATTACAGATTTTCTACTTTTTATATGGCTGATATGATTTGGCTACATCCCCACCCACCCACATCTCACCTTGAATTGTCAATTCAAGTTTACTTGTTAAGGCAGGGCCAGATGGAGGGAACTGAATCATGTCAGGGGGCAGTTTCCCCCATACTGTTCTCGTGGTAGTAAGTCTCAGGAGATCTGATGGTTTTATAAATGGGAGTTCCCCTGCACATGCTCTCTTGCCTGCTGCCACGTAAGATATGTCTTGCTTCCCCTTCGCTTTCCGCCATGATTGTGAGTCCTCCCCAGCCATGTGAAACTGTGAGTCAATTAAGCCTCTTGGCTGGGCATGGTGGCTCACGCTTGTAATCCTAGCACTCTGGGAGGCCGAAGCAGGTGGATCACCTGAGGTTGGGAGTTCAAGACCAGCCTGGCCAACATGGTGAAACCCCGTCTCTACTAAAAATACAAAAAATGATTAGCCGGGTATGGTCGCATGTGTCTGTAATCTCAGCTACTCGGGAGGCAGAGACACAAGAATTGCTTGAACCAGGGAGGCAGAGGCTGCAGTGAGCTGAGATTGTATCACTGCACTCCAGCCTGGGTGACAAGAGTGAGACTCTGTCTCAAAAATAAATAAATAAATAAACAAACCTCTTTCCTTTATAAATTACCCAGTCCCGGGTATGTCTATTAGCAACATGAGAACGAATACCATGACTTAAAAATTGTACTGGGAAGGGTCTACACTGGTTTAAAAAAAAACAACCACATATATACCCATATAATTTCTTAATATTTAATATCTTCCCTATACCTAAGAAACATTCTCCAGATTTTGTTTCACTGCTTCTTTCTCCTTTCACTTTCCTTCCCTTCCACCTACTCCTCACATGAAAGAAATCAAAAAGAGGGAGAGTTAGGCCTGAATAATGGACAGTTACACTGGGTCTTTGATAAAACTGATTAGGATCAGCCAGAAAGTATTCCCACTTGTCTTTAGTCACTTCTCTTAAATTCCTCCAACCCTCAGGTCTTAAGTGCCTATATGTTGCTCCTGCCTGGGACTCACTCAACAGCTTTCTCCCAACATGTCATTCACTGAAATTCTGATTCCTATTCTGTTTTCAGGATCCATAATTCATTGAGAGGCTCTTGCATCCCTTACTACTTCAGTCATTCTTGTTTACTCACAGAAATGACCAATTGGTAAATGTTAGGTAATATTTTGGGGATGAAGACTTCCCTTAAATTTGGTCTATGCTACCTTTTAGAAGATTATCAGACTTTGAAAACCCAAGACAAAAAGTATTCCAGGGTCCTCTGCTTCCTATTTCCAGGAAAGGAAGAAAGATGGAAATGTCCAGATCTCTCTGAAGATCTAAAAGCCCAACAAGAAGGCTTGAGGCAGGGAGAGAAGAGAAAGTGTGCAGAATTTAGTCAAATACTTAGGCTAATGCCCTCCATCACTTTCCTATTAGTTTCTGCTACAAAAATGACAAAACAAAGAATTTTACATGCCTTAAGACAAGCAGACCTTGCCTTTTCCTGGTTCTCCAGGATCTCACCAGAGGTTTTAGGGAAGTCTCTCCTCTGTAAGCATGGAGTTTCTGGGTTATAGATCAATCAGCAATAAAGGATCCTCAAAACAAAAACAACAACAACAAAAAAAAAAACAGAGCAGCTCTGAAAAAGAAAGCTGATGCTTTAAACAAAGTTCTCATGGGCAAAAATATGAATTTCCACATCTCAATATTAATCATCCTTCCAAGTTAAGCTAAAAGGCCACCTCCTCCTTCAAAAGATATATAAAATCATCCATTTGGAAGGACTCCTTTAAGTTTCCTTTAAATTCTGTATATTTCTCACTTTCTGTTCTGTGTTGTTTATGTATATTTCACATCTCACCCTTTTAAAAGCTCCTTGTAAGAGGGATCCATGTCAGTCACCTGTATCCTCCTAAAGTTCCCTGCACACAGCACTCTAAACACACAGACTTAAAAATATCTATCAAATCAACAGGAAGATGGAGGGATAGATTCCACTGCTCCAGGTGGAAAATATTCTGTAAGGTAAATCAAATGAGTTTATTTTCTATTTATCTGGTCTGGCCCCATAAAATTGTTCTCAGGTGATGATACCATACTGCAAGACTAGCTAACTGGTAAAATAACCTCAGATGAAGTCCTTCTGGTACCACTATAATTAGGTCCCCTTATGTCAAATGGAAAACTAACCAGCCTTACATGTAATTCTACCCACTGCAGGGTTCCAGAATAAGTCTCTATTCACCACAAATAAATGACTATTTGCAAGGCCAATATAAAAATATTATATACTTTTCACCAACTACTCGTAGCACAATATTAATTTCTTAGCTATCCCAAAACTTACCTAACAAAAAGAATAACCCAATAAAATAGATACCATAAAAAGAGCAATAAAAAAGGAAAAATGAGGCTCAATGCTACTGGCCACACAAGAAAAGAATATGGGTCTGTCTGGATGTGGCAATCTTAGCACTTTGGGAGGCCAAGGCAGAAGAACTGCTTGAGGCTAAGAGTTCAAGACCAGCCTGGGCAACATAGCAGGAAACCATCCCTACCAAAAAAAAAAAAATTAGCTCGGCATGGTGGCACACTCCTGTAGTCCTAACTACTCAGGAGGCTGACTAAGCCCCGGAGTTCCAGGTTACAGTGAGCTATGATGGAGCCACTATACTTCAGCATGGATGACATAGGGAGAGCCTGTCTCTAAAAAAGGAAAAAAAAGAAAAGAAAAGAATATGGACCTTTTACCTACTTACCTGTGGATAAAGGGAGAAAGTTTCTGAAAATCTGAAGGAACTTGGGTCATCTTTATGATATTCTCCAAATTTCTGACACTAAATAAAATAAAATGTGTTAGTAATTTATTTCCTGGAATAAAAGCTAACACTGTTGCCTATAAATATTCTATTTACAAGAAGTTACCAATCATCAGGAAGCAGATACTTGATAAAGAATAAAATTATAATATTACTTATAGACTTACCAAGAGACAAAACCAAAGAAAAAACATCTAAATTTCAGAAACAAACACCACATTGTCCCAATGTAATTAATAACTCACCTTAAAATATTTGGATATTTTTTAACTAAGTGTCTCTCACAACAAATAAAGAGCTCTTAGATAACAACAAAAAAGCTCAACACGTGCCTTAAAACACCAAAAAGGCTGGCACAGTGACTGACGCCTGTAATTCCAGCACTTTGGGAGGCCAAGGTGGGAAGATTGTGCCTAGGAGTTTGAGACCAGCCTGAACAATATAGCAAGACAACCATCGCTATTAAAAAAAAAAAAAAAATTGTGGCCGGGCGCAGTGGCTCACACCTGTAATCCCAGCACTTTGGGAGGCCAAGGCGGGCGGATCACAAGGTCAGGAGTTCGAGACCAGCCTGGCCAACATGGTGAAACCGCATCTCTACTAAAAATACAAAAATAAGCCAGGCATGGTGGTGCGCGCCTGTAATCCCAGCTACATGGGAGGCTGAGGCAAAAGAATTGCTTGAATCCGGAAGGCAGAGGTTGCAGTGAGCTGAGATCGTGCCACTGGACTCCAGCCTGGGTGGCAGAGCAAGACTCTGTCTCCAAAAAAAAAAAAAATTTGAGCCAAGTGTGCTGACTCATGCCTATAATTCAAGCACTTTGGGAGGCCAACACAGGAGGATCACTTGAGCCCAGGAGTTTGAGACCAGCTTGGGCAACATAGCGAGATCCTGTCTCTACAAAAAATTTTGAAAATTAGCCAGGCATGGTTGCACGTGACTATAGTCCCAGCTACTCGAGAGGCTATGGTAGGAGGATTGCTTGAGCCTAGGAGGTTGAGGCTACTCTGTAAGCCATGATCGTGCCACTGCAAGCCGGCCTGGGAGACAGAGCGAGATTCTGTCTCGAAAAAGAAAAAAACAATTTTTTTTTTTTTGAGACAAGAGTCTCGCTCTGTCACCCAGGATGGAGTGCAGTGGCGCGATCTCGGTTCACTGCAAGCTCCGCCTCCCAGGTTCACGCCATTCTCCTGCCTCAGGCATCCGCCGCCACGCCCAGCTAATTTTTTGTATTTTTATTAGAGACGGGGTTTCACTGTGTTAGCCAGGATGGTCTCGATCTCCTGACCTCATGATCCGCCCGTCTCGGCCTCCCAAAATGCTGGGATTACAGGCGTGAGCCACCGTGCCCGGCCAAAAACAATTTTTTGAACACCTGTAAAATGCTCTAGTATCAACTACTTGAGTCACGAGGAGCAGTCCTTATTTACAACCCAACCAAAACACTAATACCGGTGGAAAACAGACTGAAGCATAAAGAAGGTATATCCAAGACCCACTATTTGAGTTATTCAGAAGTAATAAAACTGGGCAGATAAAGCAACAGTAATGATTTTCCTGAGGAAAATAACATCCCTTACAAAAAGGCTAATTCCTTCTTTAATTCAGTAATTATTTATGCATAAAGGCAGCCACATAAAAGGACCCTAGGGGTCAATGCCTAACCTCTATAAGAAAATGGTAATGACAAAAGCGGTATCTGTAAAAACAGTAAAGCTAAAGTGTTTCATCCCATTGGTGCAGCAAGAGAAAACCTGGCTTGCAGGGAAAGTCCCAATAGTCTTAAGACAGAAGATTTCCTGAGTCAAGTCTGATTAGATGAAGTGTTTACCCAGGATGGCTAGCAATGCAGCTGAAGGGAGAACACAATTAGTGGTTGATGGGTAAACCAAAGGTCAGAGATGAATCAGCCATCAATTTTAAGTTGTGAAACAGAAAAGGCCAGGAGTCAAAAAGGAAGCCGGGAGCAGTGGCACAGGCCTGTAGTTCCTGCTCCTTGGGAGGCTGAGGTGGGAGGATCACTTGAGCCCAGGAGTTCAAGTCCAGCCTGGGTAAGTAATATGGCAAGATCCCATCTCAAAAGAAGGAAAGAAAGGAAGAAAGAAAGAAAGAAAGAAAGAGATGAACAGATCCCTGAAGTTGGATGCACAATGGATCCGAACAAGGGACTGAGAATAGAGGCAGTAAATCATGTGTGGATACCAGTATCTTATGTGATAAATGACTTAGGTGATAACGCACTTTAGTTTCAGTAGCTATTCTAGGATAGCCTCATTTTCTTGTACTGACAACTTCACTGCTGAATTTTTAGCTATTACAACAACAGCAACACAAATAGAGAAAAAGTTAATACTGTTTAGGTATTAAAACTTTTTGTAAGTTTTTTCCTAATCAAAAACCTAGGAAATTATACTAATAAATTTCTTTCCCTCAATTTAGCATAGTAATATGTTTTCTTTTCCTTGATGACTTACTAGAGTAACTTTAATTAAAAAGAAACATCATTTTTTGTGTACTGTTTTGGAGACAGTGTGCATTACAGAGCCAAATTGGTGCTGGCACCATGTCTGTTTTGGATACCTTTAACATGACAGGAAGCCCTTGCTTCCTTCAGTCATTATCATAAAATGGGGCCACAAGACTAATCTGGTCTCTAGCCCCAACTGCCCTGCTGCTGTTGTAAATGCTGCAGAATGTAGAATGTGTAGATTAGAAGTAAAGTACACTGTGAGGTTTATGTAATTTTGTACTTTTTGCAGTTGTCTCATTTAATTAATTACTAGGCCCTTCTGTTTTACATTAGTGCTTACATTTTACAAACATGTCAAATAATGTGGCAATTTTTGAAATTGAGGTGTGAGACAAAGTCATGGAATCAACCTAAATGCCCATCAATAATAGACTGGATAAAGAAAATGTGGTACATATACACCATGAAATACTATGCAGCCATAAGAAGGAACAAGACTAGCCGGGCGTGGTGGTTCATACCTGTAATCCCAGTACTCGGGAGGCCAAGGCAGGCAGATCACTTAAGGCCAGGAGTTCGAGACCAGCCTGACCAACATGGTGAAATCCCGTCTCTACTAAAAATACAAAAAAAAAATCACCTGGGTGTGGTGGCACACACCTGTTATCCCAGCTACTTGGGAGGCTGAGACAGGAGGATTGCTTGAACCTGGAGGAGGAGGTTGCAGTGAGCCGAGATCGTGCCACTGCACTCCAGCCTGGGCGACAAGGCGAGGCTCCTTCTCGAAAAAAAAAAAAAATGGAACCAGATCATGTCCTTTGCAGGGACACAGATGGAATTGGAAGCCATTATCCTCAGCAAACTAAGACAGGAATAGAAAAGCAAACACCACATGCTCTCACTTACAAGTGGGAGCTGACTGATGAGAACACATGGACACATGGGGGGCAACAACACACACTGGGCACCTGTGGGGAGTGAGGGGAGGGAGAGCATTGGGAAGAATAGCTAATAGATGCTGGCCTATAATACCTGGGTGATGGGATATCTGTGCAGTAAACCACCATGGCACACGTTTACCTATACAAAAAACCTGCACATCCTGCACGTGTATGCCTGAACTTAAAAGTTGAAAAAAAAAAATTAAAAAACAATCTCAAAATTGAGATGTGAGATAAAAGATATAAAAGAGAACAATTCTAGACATAAGTCTTCAGAGAATCCTGATAATTCTGAAGAATTACAATCATCTGAGTCATTTCAGTGTATTCATGCAACAAGGGACATACAAAAAAAATCCACCTTTACAAGGAAAATCAGTAGGTTTTACATGGGACAGTAATCCAAGTTGTACTGTTCAATTTTGTGTCATATGTGACAACCTACCAATTCAGCAATACCTCTGGCAAAATGGAAAAAGCCCTTTACTACAAATCACAGCCATTTGACAAGCAAAAGGTGCTGATTACATCAAGCAGCTTTTAGAATCTCTAAACAATGAAGCATTTGTTGAGACAAAGTCACAATTAGTGAAAAAAACTAAGGAAGCAAGCTATTTCAGAGTACAACTTATTACCTAGAAAAGGAAAAGTCACACAGTTGTTGAGAAAAGAATATTGCCAATATGTAAAATCACAGTAAGTGAAAATGCTAGGACAAGATGCTGTCTGAGGCCAGGTGCGGTAGCTCACGCCTGTAATCCCAGCACTTTAGGAGGCCAAGGCAGGTGGACCACCTGAGGTCAGGAGTTCAAGACCAGCCTGGCCAACATGGTGAAACCCGTCTCTACTAAAAATACAAAAAATTAGCCAGCATGGTGGTGTGCACCTGTAATCCCAGCAGCTCCAGAGGCGGAGGCAGGAGAATCACGTGAACCCAGGAGGCAGAGGTGGCAGTGAGCCAAGGTTGCACCACTGCACTCCAGCCTGGGCAACAAGAGCCAAACTCTGTCTCAAAACAAAAAAAAGATGTAGTCTGAGAAATTGAAAAGGTCCCATTTAAAAACAGTACAATAAGTCAAAGCACTGATGACATGTCACATGATGCTGGAGACATCTGTGTATAATAAGCTGAAAAATAACAGATTCTCTACAGATTGACGAGTTAACAGGTTTCAATGATGTCATGTCAGATTTCTAAATAACAGTGAAATTCAAGGAAAATTTCTGCTACAAAGAGAAACTTTTCTGCTATCCTAAATAAGCAAGGGTCAAAATATATTTAATGTTATATCTATCTGGAAACAAAAGATCCACCTTGAAGGAACTGTGTTGGCATTTGTTCTAATAGTGTCCCATCAATAGTGGACCCTATGAGAGGATTAATCTTTCTTGTTTTTTTTTTTTAAAAAAAAGGTAATATTGTCATAATGCTGCTTTTTTCAAAGAGGTACTAGTATAAAAAAAACTCTTGGAGGTGAAATCAAAAAAGTTCTGAATGATGATATAAAAATGGCTAACTTTTTAAAACAAGTCTAGTTCACTCAAGAATTTTTAAAATTACATGAAAGCCTACACCAACCACACAAAAGCCACTGGACACAGAAATTCGACAGCTTAGCAAATAGAGTTCTCAAAAGGGTGTTTAAGCTAGAGTGCATAAAGAAGTACCTTCAAAGAATAAGCCAGAGGTTGCTAAGTAAAAATGAAGCATTAAGAACTGAGCTTAGCCAGGTGTGGTGGCTCATGCTTGTAAAATCCCAACACTCTGGGAGACTAAGGTGGGAGGGGTGCTTGAGCATAGCAGTTTGAGACTACCTTGAGCAAAATAGTGAGACCCAGTCTCAACAAAATTTTTTTTAAATTAGCCAGGTATGGTGATGGTGGCTCATGCCTGTAATCCCAACACTTTGGGAGAATGAGGTGGGAGAGTCACTTAAACCCAGGAGTTCCAGACCACCTTGGGCAACATAAGCAGACTCCATCTCTACAAAAAAATTTTAAATTTGCCAGGTGTGGTGGTGTGTGCCTGTAGTCCCAGCTACTCAGGAGGCTGAAGTGGGAGAATCACTTGAGCAGGGGAAGTCAAGGCTATGATGAGCCATGATCATCTCATTGAACTCCAGCCTGGGTGACAGAGTGAGACCCTGTCTCAAAAAAAAAAAAAGGGACTAAGCTTAATCAAGTGCTCTGTGTCATAATGTAAGTACAGTAATGGTGTTCTGGCATGTTAAAAATCTAAGTAAATCAACACTACTAATAACTTTATTAGCACACGACTTGGTAATCTAGAACCAGATAATACAGACTTGTCTATATTTTGCATGTTAATATGCATAATTTTTCTACCCCAGTTCATTTCTTTTTTGACACAAGGTCTCACTCTGTTGCCCAGGCTGGAATGCAGCAGCACAATCACAGCTCACTGCAGCCTCAAACCTCCTGGGTTGCAGTGATCCTCCCGCCTCAGCCTCTGGAGTAGGTGGGACTACAGGCACACAGTACCATGCCTGGCCAATTTTTTTTTGGAGAGACAGGGGTTTCGCCATGTTGCCCAGGCTGATCTTGAACTCCTGGTTCAAAGTGCTGGGATTACTGCCATTAGCCACCATTCCTGGCCTAATTTCTTTTAAGAGATGCACATATAATAGTTCCATTAAAATGAAAGTAAAAAACTAAAGCCACAGCAATGAAGAAATATGTAAAAAAGCACTAAAAATTGTTACAATAATATAGAATTAAATTGGGAACTAACCTCATTCCAGCCAATAAGAATAGAAAAATAATAGGTTACATAATTGTCACTCTTACATTTTAAGGAAAAAAGGCAATCTAGTTTACTGGAAGAGATTAATGAGTTCTACTATTCATTACTGTGCTACTGTCTCAGTAATTTGAATAGGAGTTTCTCATACAGTATTTCAGATACACTGTTAAGTACTTTGAAAGAGATTATCTGCAACAAACATTTACTACAAATGAAAGCATACAGATTTAGAAAAGCACAGTGTTTATTTCTTACCAGTCGAATGAGCTGTCTGTCCAGCCACCTAAGCACATCTGGACCTTCTTCTGTTTCTGCTCTATATATTGCTAGCCGGGCCATAAGAATGGCAGCTGCCTCCTGGTCAAAAGATGCAGCAATGTTTTGGATTTGAGTTTGAGCATCTGCCCAGCTGAAGACAATAAGAAAGCATAGAAATGCTTCTGAATTATTATACCCACAATATCATAGTTGGCTACCACACAAATTTAAATTTAAAAGATAAAAGATACAGAAACTACTAGGATTTTTTTTTTTTTTTGAGACAGAGTCTCGCTCTGTCACCTAGGCTGCAGTGCAATGGCGCGATCTCAGCTCACTGCAACCTCTGCCTATTGGGTTCAAGCAATTCTCCTGCCTCAACCTCCCAAGTAGCTGGGATTACAGGCACCTGCCACCAGGCCCAGCTAATTTTTTTGTATTTTTAGTGAGGCAGGAAATTAAACAAATAAAGAAAAATAAAATTAAACAAGAGAAGGAAACAAGCTTTAGGTATTAGGCTAACTCATCCCAAAGGCAGTAACAGGCAAAGCCCAGACCCAGGCAAAGTATCGATAACATTATCCAAGAAGCCAGGGCTCAAAGGAATGTGCTCTGGAGACCCTCCCAGCACTCCCTCAAACACAAGGAAAAGAGAAACAAATTTTCCTTTCTCTTACGATATGAGTAAACCTATGAGTTTACAGATTCCTGTTTTCTATAACTAGCAACTTCAAGTAGTCTGTTTTAACTGAGCAGCACAGCGAAGGTCATGAGACATGCCTGAGCGGGACTGGATTGCAACCATCTAGGCGCTATAGCGAAGGTTATGAGATAAGCCTGTGCAAGGCTCTCTTGAGCAAAGCTAGATAACAGCCATCTGGGCCACATAGCAGGAGTCACACATAAGCCTGAGTTATGAACCTGTCACAGTTTAATTAACTGCCTTTGTTCTGCCTCTGTACATGAGCTTTCGTGCCACTACGCTTCATGCCACTGTAAGCTTGTTTCAAACTAGTCAGCCCCCTTTCAAAAGTGTGTAGATAAGCCAAGCCCTGTCTTTGTTCAGGGCCCAGTCTTCGGATGTTAATCCACTGGTTCTGAGTGCACTCAATAAAATCCTCCTGTTCTACTTACTAGTCTCTCCAGTCTCCTGATTCCCACAACATTAGTAGAGAGGGGGTTTCACCATGTTCACTAGGCTAGTCTTGAACTCCTGACCTCAAGTGATCCACCTGCCTTGGCCTCCCAAAGTGCTGGAATAACAGGCGTGAGCCACCACGCCCAGCCTACTTCAATATTTCAAAATTCCAATATTACTTAGACAAATTAGCTTTTTTTTTTTTTTTGGAGACAGAGTCTTGCTCTGTCACCCAGGCTGGAGTGCAGTGGAAGGATCTCAGCTCACTGCAACCTCTGTCTCCTGGGTTCAAGCAATTCCTGTGCCTCAGCCTCCTGAGTAGCCAGAACTACAGGCTCCGGCTAACTTTTTTGTATTTTAGTAGAGATGGGGATTCACCATGTAGCCCAGGCTGGTCTTGAACTCCTGAGCTCAGGCAATCCACCCACCTGAACCTCCCAAAGTGCTGGGATTACAGGCGTGAGCACCACACCAGGCTCAAATTAGCATTTTTTTAAATCACTAATAGCAGTTTTAGTATAGCATTCACTGTTTTTCAGAAAAATATAACCAAACCTAAAGAAATCTTCCAAAGTAAGTGTAAAGGCAGCTCTCCAACCACATTCCTTAAAATATTAATATTTTTACTAGTCCAGTCAGCATGGTGGCACACATCTATAGTCCCAGTTATTCAGGAGGCTAAGGTGGGAGAATCACTTAAGCCCAGAAGTTTTAGTTCAGCCTGGGAAACAGCAAGACCCTATCTCTAGGCTGGTTGCGGTGGCTCACACCTGTAATCACAACACTTTGGGAGGCTGAGGCAGGCAGATTGCTTGAGCTCAGGAGTTCAAGATCAGCCTCAGCAACATGGTGAAACTCTGTCTCTACTAAAACTATAAAAATTAGCCAGGCATGGTGGCACATGCCTATAATCCCAGCTACTCTGGAGATGAGAACTGCCTTAACCTGGGAAGCAGAGGCTGCAGTAAGCCAAGATGGCACCACTGCACTCCAGCATGGGCGACAGAGCGAGACTTTGTCTCAAAAAAAAAAAAAACTTTAAAGTCATAAAATAAGGAAGTTTTTAAAAAACAGAGATTTTTTTAAGAGACAAGGTCTCACTCTATCACCCAAGCTGGAATGAAGTGGCATGATCATGGTTCAAGTGGCACAATCATGATTCACCTCAAACTCCTGGGCTCCAGCAATCCTCCCACCTCCGCCTTCTGAGCAGCAGGACTACAGGCACGGACCACCATGCCCAGCCAATTTAAAACAATTGTTTCAGAGGTGAGGGTCTCACTATGTTGCCCAGGCTAGTCTCCAACTCCTGGACTCAAGTGATCTTCCTGCCTCAGCCTTCCCAAAACACTCGGATTATAGGCATGAGCCACCGCACTTGGCCAATAAAAGATTTTTACAAGTAAAAACAATAGGATATACGTGTGCCCACACACATAGATATGCAAGTCCCTATATCCAACTTTAAAATTTCATTTATTTAATTTTGTTAAAGCAGAAATATAGAAATACAAAAATAAAGGTTTTCTCTCAACCTAAGTAATTCTTGTTTATTCCACTGGAAAATGAATAAAGTGTCGGAAGTTTCTCATTGGTCTTTCAATCATTAGTGATAAAAATCAAATAATTAAAATTACTTTGTATTCTTTTATTTCCATGTTAATACACTGACTAAAACCAATTAAAAGTTAATAAGTAAAAACTTCAGTCTAAGGGATTAATTTGATACTACACATAAAATAGCAGCAATTTATTAAATCCAAATGCTGTATAAATCCAACTGATCCTGGGTAGACTCAGATCAAACTGAACCTAGGTAGACCCAGCAATACATTTTATCTGTTTGTTTGTTTGTTTAATATTTCAGATATAGTGACTGGCCAGACATACTTATAGACTTCCTGAAAATAAGTGCTGAACCACTTTTACATGTAAGAGTGATGAGTGATCCTAAGGGAATTCAGGCAGCAGCATGTTTAAAATTCTTCTCCCTTCTTTCTGTATTTTTTTTTTTTTTTAATTTTTTTTATTTTTTGAGACGGAGTCTCGCTCTGTCGCCCAGGCTGGACTGCGGACTGCAGTGGCGCAATCTCGGCTCACTGCAAGCTCCGCTTCCCGGGTTCACGCCATTCTCCTGCCTCAGCCTCCCAAATAGCTGGGACTACAGGTGCCCGCCACCACGCCCGGCTAATTTTTTGTATTTTTAGTAGAGACGGGGTTTCACCTTGTTAGCCAGGATGGTCTTGATCTCCTGACCTCATGATCCACCCGCCTTGGCCTCCCAAAGTGCTGGGATTACAGGCGTGAGCCACCGCGCCCGGCCTTCTTTCTGTATTTTTAATTTTCTTTCAATAAGCAAAATAATTATTAAATGTTTCCCAGATGGTTGAAACGTGTGAATTATCTCAGTGTAGTAAACAGTAAGAAGCAAAAAAGACTGAGAATGTGTAAAAGAAGACATTGGTAATTTTGAAAGTTATGTTTTAATGCAATTTAAAGACTTCATGATTATACTAATAGTTTGGTTTAGTGTTTTATTAATTATTTTAGTTTTAATTTTAAAAATCAAAGAATTTAAAACAACACTGTTTGAATCAATACTTTCTAAACTTGAATGACGGTATTTATTTGCTTTAAACTGAACTACAAAGGTGACTTTTTTAATTCTGAAAATATAATGGTGCAGGAGAGGAAATACATTCCAAGTGAACACATGCAAATTTACTAATTATTATTTGTTTAGACATAAATTAAAAGGTGGGCTCTTAAAGTCAAGTTTAAAGGGCTTCTTGACATTGTAAAAATCTGTCTTCTACATTTCCCGTATCCCTTCACTGTGATTCTTACAACTAGTTTAAACCAAAATTCCTAGATCAAAGTCATTTTGTACATGAAAAATAGAGTAACTTTGTCTTCTCAGGAGCCTTTATTTTCATATGGCTTATTCACTTAACAAAAACACTTGTCTAGGCCCCTAAAGTCATAGTCCTAGTTTAAAAAAAAAAAAAAAAAAAAAAAAAAAAAAAACAACAAGGTGCTCTGATCATTGGAAATGGTTGGGATAAGTTAACTTGAAAAGACGGATGCTTTTGGTAAGACACAATGCTATAAATGGCACCATAACACACATATGTCTCTACAAATAGCCTCATAAATTCTGTGCAAACTGAAAATATATAAGCCCATAATATTTCTCATAAGACAGCACCCTGTCTCTTGAAAGAGTCACCTAACCTTTTAAAATTTTCATTTTAAAAATATTTCAAACATAAAGACAGTAAGAGTGGAATAAACTCCTATATAACCATCACCTAGATTCATCAGTTGTTAGCATTTTAACACATCTGCATTATCATTCTCTCTCTCCATTTATATACACATTTTTTGCTGAACTTTTCTAGATTAAGTTGGAGATATTATGACCTTCTGCCTGAAATACTTCAGTGTATATCTCCTAAGAACAAAAAATTTTCTTATATAGCTCCAATTATTAAACTCATGAAATCTAACACTGATATAATGCCATTATCATATAGAAAGAGACTATATTCATATTTCCCCAATTGTCTAATAATGGCTTCTAAAGCAAAATTTTTCCCTGACATTTGCATTTTGTCCATGATCACACATTGGCATTAGTGGTAATGTTTCTTTAGTATCCTTTAATCTGGATCAGTTGCTCAGACTTTCTTTGTCTTCCAAGACATTTTTGAATAGTACAAACCAGTGACTTTGTAAGTTGTAAAAAGTCCTTCATTTGGTATGTCGTTGTTTCCTTAAGCAAATGTTCTGAATGTCAAATTTAATGTGTGCACACACATGTGTGTGTGTGTGCACACACGTTGAGAGCCATAAATAAACTGAGAAGTTTGCCAAGCATCAGTACTTCCAAGTTCCTTATCTGAAATCTGAATAAATCTAAGGGAAGGTTCAGCTGACATTTTTTCTTCAAATGAATAATGTATCCCCTTGACATTGTTCCAGGATGTTAAGTCAAAGCAAGGTAACAGAACAGAACACTAAATCTATGTACAACCCTGTGCTAAGTAATAGATCACCCAATACAGCTAATACTCAGTTCAAATGTTGTGTTCATGTCCATCACTCAACAAAAGTCTTAAGATTTTCAGGAATGAAGCTAGAGTTTAAGTACACTTAATGAAAATGAGAGCTACAAATGCCTTCCTTGTCCATTGTCGAGACCATGACTAAACTGGGTAAGTTTACTGATCAACACTTTTCCTATCCAGACAACCAAGTTCAAGACAAACAGAAATAAAGACCAAAGCCTGTTCATTTCTAGATTCACCTCATCTAAAAAACCTCTTCCTAACTAAACTCATTCCACAATTATTTTCCTTTTGTTTTATACTTCACAAATACACAGAGATACCAAAGTAGCAGAGAAATAATTTATTCGTAATTCTTAATAAAAAGAAAGGTACTAAATTCAGTTAAATTTGTTGTCTCTGCAAATGCTGGGCAAAGAGCCCATGAACAAATACATGCCTTATTTGGAAAATCTATCACAAAGATAGGAATAAGAAAAGGTATCTGTTGGGCCTTATTATTCCCTTCTGGGGACCCTGCCTATATCAATAAATTAGAACATGACTATGTTACACAAAATACTACCCTATAATTGAATCTGTTAGATAGAGACTTTACCTTTTGTGGTCTCAACAAGTGCTAGTCAAAGTGTGGTATGTGAACCAGTGCCATGAAGTCAAAAGAGGAACTGAGAATAAATATTTAGAAACTGAGCAACTTCACAAAATAATCTTATATCTTATTAATCTAATAATATAAAACAGGGAGTTTGTTTTAAATCACTTTTTAAAATTTCATTTTTCTAGTAATTCATTTTTATTGTATTTAATAAAAGCATCTGTACCCGAAGGATTAGGAAAAAAAACACAACTGGCCCTTTACCACAGACAATGTGAGGATGACTCTATACCACACTGTCATACAGCAGGAGGCTAAGTACGTTCACGGCTTCCGCATTCATACTCTCCTAAAACAGAACCTACTCCACAAAGCAGAAGCTGAGTAATGGCATAATAAATGAATTAAATGACTAATAAAACTTGAAAAAAAAATAGCTAAGAATTTTTATCACTAATTGAAAAGTAATGTGATTAATTACTGTGCTATATCATTTATATATATAATGGATTATATATATTATTATTGACTATTATAGGTAAATATCTGATTTTTCTCCTCTCACAGGAATGAGGTAAATAAAATAATATTTTGAAGGGTGTGTCTTAGAAGTACTTTTTAAAATTGCTCTTACGGTTCTTAGTAATGCATATTGTAGCAAATAAGCTGGGTTAGAAAGAAATAAATAAAATACTATTAGTCACAAATATTCACTTGCTAGTCATGGATGTCACCCAAAATAGGAATCCAGTTTGGAAACACAACCCAGATACCTGTGATATGAAAATCAAATCTCTAACAAATACAACTTACTTCCTAGCAATGGTGGTCACTCGGATGCGTCTCTGCCCACTTGAATGCTGATACTGAGTCACAAACTGGATTGCACCACGCCCTCCTTGAGGAATTGGAGCATTATGCTGTATAAATATAATGGAGTAAAACCTAAGCAAAATTTACTATGCTGTTGTCATATAATCACAGGCTACATGTCCTAGCACTAAAAATAATTCATTCTAAAATTGATTAGAAGGATACTTATTTCCAGTGCATTCAAAACAGTTATAATTTGTTACACAGAAGAGGAGAAATTAATTTGGAGAGGAGGAAAATAATCAAGAATGATAGAAGTCAGTCCTGCTAGGAAATCAATTTTCAAGTAATATATAAGCCAGAGGGACATGAAAGAACAAAGAAAAGGGAGAGCACAAAGAAATTAAAAGACAATTCCTAAGTGAAGCCATTTAAGCCAAACTGCACAGATTGAATATCCCTTATCCAAAATGCTTGGGACCCGAAATGTTTTGGATTTTGTATTTTTTTAAACTCAGGAATATTTGCCTTATACCAATTGAAGATCCCCAAATCCAAAAATCCAAAATCCAAAATGCTCTCCAATGAGCATTTTCTTTGAGTGTCATGTCAGCATTCAGAAAGTTCCAGATTTTGAAACATTTCAGATTTCAGATCTGAGATGTTCAACTTGTAACTAGATAAACAGAAATTGAGCTAAGTCCTCCTCCCCTAGGTATAGAAGATGAAAGCAGAACTTTTAGGAACATAATCATATGATGAACAACCAACCAATGAAAGATTAATAATGAGAAGAAACTAATAGCAATATATAATAATTATCATCAGAAAGAAATACAAGTAATCAATAGGAAAACTTTATTCCTGCATTCTGACAACAGACATTCTTGCTTTGTTTTTGTGTGTTGTTTTGTTTTTGTCAATAAGAGTCAATATATTTCTTATAAATTTTAATGTTTAAAAAAAAACTATTGCACCTGCCTTAGGAAAGCTGACTGTTAATATTTTGTGGTTCATTTTATGGCTAAAAACTATTAATATATAAGTCAGTAATTTGTGTTATTCTTCAATGTGATTAATTATCTCCTGTGGCAGAAAAAAAAATCTTCCCAAATACGATTACTTTCCAAACTTTTTCTATGGATTTTGACATATTAGACCTTCTTGTACAAAGACTCATATGTCATATATACTTTCTGACAACTAGGAAAAGCTAGACATCTAATTGCAAAAATGTGTAGCTAGAAGGGAATTTTAAATAACTGCATTTATCCTTCAATTTTATATTCAAAAAAAAGAAAGAAAGAAAACAGACTAAAAGTTGGGCTACCCAAGGTTTGGCGTTTGTAGGTTTCCCTGCATTTCTATTACAATATGTACTCTCACCAAGGAGTTTAGCCTTGAAAAATAAAAAACGACAAATATAAATTCCAATACAGAAAATAAATGTTGGGTTATATCTACTATAGGAAAAAAAATATGAACTATTCATGGCCTAAAGTAAGTACTTATTCAAATGTACGTTGTACGTTTTGATATTCAGATGTAGAAAGTCATACCTGATTGACAACCTCAAAATATATGGCTAAGGTTGTAGTGGGACTAAGTCCACATATCTTCCACTGACATGTGCCACCTGTTCCTATCTCCTGTAAAAATAAAATATAGCATGTTTGAAAGCTAGAGACACAATTTATTAATTTTATATTAAAGTGAAAATGGAAAAAGACCACAGGAAAAAAAAAAGTCATGTTTCAAACTAATTCAACAATGTTAAGAGCTTAAAATATTTTAAGACCATAAGTATATTATAAAATAAAGCATTTTTACATAATAAAAAATAAAATAATTTTTACATAATAAAAGTAAAATTTAAATTCTTGCTAAGTAAATTACAAAAGTATTAATATAAGTTCTTCATACTGTTCTCTTTAAAAGCATATGCTATTTGGCCAGGGGCGGTGGCTCCCACCTGTAATCCCAGTACTTTGGGAGGCTGAGGCGGGCAGATCACAAGGTCAGGAGATGGAGACCATCCTGGCTAACACGGTGAAACCCCATCTCTACTAAAAACACAAAAAATCAGCCAGGCATGCTGGCGGACGCCTGTAGTCCCAGCTATTTGGAAGGCTGAGGCAGGAGAATGGCGTGAACCTAGGAGGCGGAGCTTGCAGTGAGCCGAGAAGGCGCCACTGCACTCCAACCTGCGAGGCAAAGCGAGACTCCGTCTCAAAAAAAATAAAATAAAAAATAAAAGTATATGCTATTTAATGAAGTAATTGCAACTAACATTATCCTTCTATCCAACTACTTGATCTGTATAAAGAGAAACTGATTTAACATATAATATATGCATTTACGAACACATGTTCTCTGGATGAGAATTGTTAAGCACTCTGATTCCCAAGAAAACGTCATAGATATAGACAGACCTTTACCACGCAAACTGCTTGTACATATTAATTTTTTAGCTTTGTCATTTTTAAAGTTGATTACCCACTTTGTATTATTTGTCCCATCATCCTCTCCACAGCTACATGATTCTACCATTTTAGAGTACGTTATACTTCCATTAAATTGGATAAAAAGAACATAAAGAACTGAAATTCCAAATCTGGCTAATTTGGTTACTTTTTTGAAAATTCTGGTATCAAAAATCAATTTAGAGCTAATTTTGACTTTCAGAAGTCTCCAAATTTCCAAATCATGAGTTTTTTTTGTTTTTGTTTTTTTTTAGGCACACTGGGGCAAGACATAATTTAGGCATAAAAAATAGAAGACTGGTGACAGTACAAAAGTTTTAATTAGGGATGGATGGGAAAAGGGTATGCAGAAAGAGCAACCATGAATAGAGGTATACCAATGGGAGCTGAACTACCTAAAACAATCAATATAAGAATTTTGAAAGGAATGCTATAGGCTGCCACCCCAAGTTTTTATTGGTGCTGTCCTGTGCGTTCGCTGTGTCTTTTTTTCTTTTTTGGGGGGATAACAGGAGGGGAACAGGGTCTCTCTATGTTGCCTGAGCTGGTCTCTAACTCCTGGGCTTAAGCAATCCTCCTGCCTCAGCTTCCCAAGTACCTGGGATTACAGGTGCAAGCCACAGTTCCTGGTCCTGTATTTTCTTTTTAGAATAAACACAACTTACATTTTCAGACACACAGGGTCCTTTAGAATTGAGTGACACACAGGGTCCAATAGCTCCTGAAATCTTTATTTCCCTTGAGGTCTGCAAAATAAGAATACAGCATGTTCGGTTTCCTCAAAGATACGTTCAAATGTTCAACTACAGGTGTATAAGAATATAAGATATTCATCTATATTTAAAACTCAAAGCCAATGAAAATATACTAACATGAAAAATAATCAATCAATAAGCACTTCTATGCTCACTGTCAAATTTAAAATCTGGCACCAACCTAATGTTAACCTTCTATTTCCATTAGCACATACGAGGTCTCCATTTGGGAACCTCATCCTGACTTCACACTTCTACCTACCCACCCAAAATTCACATATCCTAATCTAAAACCTTAGACACCCTATTCTATTTTTCCTCCCATAGAAAATCTGTCACCAAGATTGGTCTCCCCCCAGTCTCTCCTGCCACCAAAATGTAAGCTATCACAATACCTTCTGTCTAAAAAAAAAAAAATTGGAAAGCTTACTTTTGTTTTCTTACTTGAGATTCTTTTTCCTGACATATGCAGAATACCACTGTCAGATGAATCTTACCCAAAATACCTAATGACTTCTGCCTACACATGTGTCTCCACACTACAGCCAGCTCCCACAGATTTAAGCTATTTCCTTTCATTCAAATACAAAGCATCTACTCTCACTGGGCAGTTTTCTCAAACATACAATGCTGATTCTCACCTCTATGCCTCTCCTCACACTGGGTTCCTGAATAAAATGCAATATCCTCTAACATCTTTAAGAAAACAACTGTGGCCAGGCGCGGTAGCTCACGCCTGTAATCCCAACACTTTGAGAGGCTGAGGCAGGTGGATCACCCAAGGTCGGGAGTTCAAGACCAGCCTGACCAACATGGAGAAACCCCATCTCTACTAAAAACACAAAATTAGCTGGGCATGGTGGCACATGCCTGTAATCCCAGCTACTCGGGAGGGTGAGGCAGGAGAATTGCTTGAACCCAGGAGGCAGAGGTTATAGTGAGCTGAGATCATGACATTGCACTCCAGCCGGGCAATAAGAGCGAAACTCCATCTCAAAAAAAAAAAAAAAAAAAAAAAAAAAAAAAAAAAACTATAAGTCACACTCCTCTAGAAGTCTAGAATAAATTGTGTCCTATATATGTTCATTTTTCTTCTCTAAACCTTTATAGTGTTTTTATAATTTACCATTATGTCATTCTATTACATGCAGTGTTTTCTTTCCCTGCCTCTCTATCAAGAGAATGCTAAGTTTCTCTATAGCAAGACGTGTACCTTAGATATCCCTAGGCATCTCTGTAATTTCCCAAGCAATGTTGGGCATATAGCAAGCATTCAATAAAACAAGATTAATAAATATTTAATGAAAATTCAAAATTAATGTGCTTAGAGTTAATTTAATAAGAATCAATTAGGATTAGAAGCACTTAGCCTTTGGGTATTTTAAATCCAAATTTGAAATAAATGATAGAATTATGCAATAACAACTAATCATAAAACAATTACTGATTATCCGAAAGGTAAAAAACAGTTTCCTCTTTTTTTTTTTTAAAAAAAACAGTTTCCTCTTAAGTTAGATAACAATTCCTATCATTAACCTAGCACTAACATAAATAGATTTGGCTCTACAAATGATAGAACAGGCCAGACGTGGTGGCTCATGTCTGTAATCTCAGCACTTTGGAAAGCTGAGACAGGCAGATCACCTGAGGTCAGGAGTTCGAGACCAGCCTGGCCAACATGGTGACACTGCGTCTCTACTAAAAACACAAATTAGACAGACACAGTGGCACACACCTGTAGTCCCAGCTACTCAGGAGGCTGAGGCTGGAGAATCACTTGAACCCAGGAGGCGGAGGCTGCAGTGAGACAACATCATGCCACTGCACTCTAGCCTGGGCGACAGAGGAAGACTCTGTCTCAAAAAAAAGAAGATAAAACATACTTTAAAGAGCTAAGCCCTATATAAAGAAAAAAATTAAAAAGTTAAAGAATATTTTACCAATATTGTTCTACTTTTCTAACAATTGTTCAGAAATGCTCAAGTAAAGTCTCACACATTGAATGATGACACTCTTCTGGTGAAGAAAATCTCTAACTCAGGTTTCAATATAAAATAACCACAATTTTGAAAGTAAATATTAAATTTGATTAATGGCATTTTAGAATTACACTCAAGCCTATAAGTTGTCTTTTGATAACATATCGCACATGTCAAGTTTTGGTTCTTACCTTTATTTCTAGCGTACCACCAAAGCCCATTTTAAACTGTCCATGCATGTCTTTGGTAAAGACTCTTTGAAAAGTTTGTTTGAATAAGGAAGTATTGAAAGAATCACCCATTACCATGTATCCTCTGCATGGAAAGAACAAAAAAACAACATACTTGACACAGTTACTGAGTCCGTGTGTTAAAATCGTAGAAGAAAATTACCTCTCAAAACTACCAATAAATTTTAAAGATATTTCCCAAAATGTGCTGTATTACTAATTTTTAATATTCAAATATATATGAGAATATCCTCACCCCACAAATAATCTCAATTCCGAAGGTAACAGAGTACCCCTAACAGTTGCATTTGTCCTTGGTAATTTAAAAAAAAATTCTTCTTTAAATAGGCAATATATCCACCATATTACAAAATTCAAAAGGTACAGAAGAGTATATAGTAACAAATGTTCTCCATATTGGTAAAGGTACCTGACAGTTTCCAGCATGCATTCTCTTTTTTTTTTTTTTTTTTTTTTCAGACAGGGTCTCACTCTGTTGCCTAGGCTGGAGTGCAGTGGAACAATCACGGCTCACTGCAGCCACAACCTCCTGGGCTCAAGTCATCCTCCTACCTCAGCCTCCCAAGTAGCTGGACTACAGGTTGCACCAACACGCCCAGCTAATTTTTTTGTTTTTTTGTAGAGATAGGGTTTTGCCATGTTGCCCAGGTTGGTCTTGAACTTCTGGGCTCAAACAATATGCTCACCTCGGGCTGCCAAGGTGCTGGGATTACAGGCATGAGCCACCCACCTGGCCCATTCTCACTCTTAAAAACAAGTATGTGTGTGTATGTATATGCATGTACTATCTGTGTCACATGAAATATACATGTTATACCAAGCAAATGAGAATGGAAGAAAATTGAGAGTATTTTCACTTTTTGCACTTATTTTTAATTTTTTTAATAAGCATATACCTACTTTTTTAATTAAAAAAATTTTAATATTAACTTGAAAGTTAAAAACTATTTTGATACCATTCCTTCTCTAATAGATTGGCAAAAATCAGTTTGACAGCAACATATTATGTTGGTGAGGCTATGGAAAAACAGGCACTCTCATACACTTCTGCTGGGACTGCAAAATGGTACAACCCCAGTACAGAGTAACTTGATAATATCTAACAAAATTATATATGGATTTCCTCCTTAATCCAGCCACCCCACTAATAGTAATCTATTCCAAAGATACTCTAACAAAACAAAAACAGAAAAACAAAATATATTCACAAGGTTATTCGCTGAAGCACTATTTGTAACAACAAAAGTTTTTTTCCTTTTTCCCTTGTGTTTGAAATACTGTATTTCAAACACAAACTCAGAATAACAGAAAACTGAAAACAATCCAAATAATCATGTAATTAGAGACTAGTTGAAAAAATATTACATCCACACAATGGAGTAATACACTGCTACAGACTGATTTCTAGGATACAAGTGAAAAACACAAAGAGAGGAAAGATGTATAAAATATTGTTTATATGATACACATGCATACAAATATTTAGATACACTTGCTCACATTTTTAAAATATTTTAAGTATTAAACATCAATAAAAGATACAATCAAAAATTAAAATAGGCAAAAGAATAAAACTGATGTGTTATAACTAATTGACCATAATTTTACTTTTGATATTATTAGAAGTTTTTGTTATCTCTGATGCTTATTAGAAATTGTATCCTTTTAAATTTTTTAATGTTACTGGTACATAAATTTATAATTAAACTTTGTACACTGACCTTGATCCAGAAGTCTTGCCAACTTCACATATTAATACCAATAGTTTATAAATTCTTTCAGATTTTCTACAAACATGTTATCTATGATGATCTAAGTCATCATTATACCTGATAATACATCCTAGATTAATGACAATTTATACCACCCCATTTCTCTGCTCCCTTTTACAGTAAACCTCTATGAAGGAATTGTCCACACCCTTACATCTATTTTCCAAATATATCCAAAATCCAACTACTTCCCACCATCTGTGCTACCATCACTTGGTATTCTTACATCCCTATACTCTACAAATGACAAATGAATTCAGCGATCCTTTTAAACTATTAAGTCAGATCATAAAACTCCTCTGTTGAAAACTCTCCAACGCCTTCCCATCTCACTCAAGGTAAAGTCCAAAGCCCTTTAAAAAGGTAAACGGACTTTGTAACCTACCCTCCTCACTCACTCCATTCCAGCTACTTTGTTCTCCTTGCTATTTCTCAACATCACAGGTACATTCTCTTTATTATTATTATTTTTTGAGCCCAGGTCTCACTCTGTCACCCAGGCTGGAGTGCAGTGATGCGATCATGGCTCACCACAGCCTCGACTTCCCAAGCTCCAGCAATCCTCCCACCTCAGCCTCCCAAGTAGCTGGGACCACAGGCGCACACCACCATGCCCAGCCAATTTTTGTATTTTTGGTAGAGACAGGGTTTCACCATGTTGCCCAGACTGGTCTCAAACTCCTGAGCTCAAGCAGTCCACCCACCTCAGCCTCCCAAAGTGCTAGGATTACACAGGTGTGAGCCACAGCGCCTGGCCCCAGGTACATTCTCAACTTTGTACTTGCTATTCCTCACTTGGAACACTCTTACTTCATATATGCACATGGCTCACTCTCACTTGCTTACATCTTTGCTAAAATATCACCTTCAATAAGGCTCTGCCTATTCATCCTATTTAGAACTGCAAACCCCAATTCTTCTTTCCTGAACTTTTTTCTTCCCAATGCTATCACCATCTGACATCCTATCTACCATACTTATCCTATCTCCTCTCATTAGAACTGTACTAACATGTGGCTAGTTAAATTTAAATGTAAAGCAATTAAAATTAAATTTTAGTTCCTCAGTCATACTTGCCACATTTCAATGGGACAGCACAAAGAATATATCCATTGCGAAATTATACGGAAGAGCCCTGCGCTAGAAGATAAGCTCCATGCGGGCAAAGATTTTTACGTTTAGTTCACTGCTTTACTTGCAGTGCCTTGAGCAGTTGGCTACATAGCAGGTGCTCATTCATATTTATTAGATGAATGAATTAAATAAATAAACCTGAGAAAGTGTTGACATATCTAATTGATTTTTAAGCCTAATTAAATTATTTCAAAAATAATAACTGCTCATGGAAGAGGAAAGAACACATCCCAGGTCATTCTGTGACGACAGTTACCCTGATGCCAACACCAAACAAAAGAAAACTACAGGCCAGTATCTCCTATGAAGACAGATGCAAAAATCCTCAACAAAATGACAGCAAATTGAATTTAGCAATAATAAAAAGGATTATACGCCATGACCAAGTGAGATTCATCCCAGAAATGCAAGGTAGGTTTAAAATCCAAAAATCAGTGCAATATACCATATTAATAAGGACAAAAGTCACATGATCATATCAATAGCTATAGAAACAGCATTTAACAAAATCCCAAAAACACATTTTCATGAGAGTTTTTGGAAGGGAACTTATTCAATCTGATGAAATCCACAGCTAATATCTTCTAATGGTAGAAGACTAAACAGGGCTGGACACGGTAGCTCATGCCTATAATCCCAGCACTTTGGGAGGCCATGGCAGGTGGATCACCTGAGGTCAGGAGTCCGAGACTAGCCTGACCAACATGGTGAAACCCCGTCTCTACTAAAAATACAAAAATTAGCTGGACGTAGTGGCGCATGCCTGTAGTCCCAGCTACTCAGGAGGCTGAGGCAGCAGAATCACTTGAACCCAGGGGGCGGAGGTTGCAGTGAGCCGAGATCGTGCCACTGCACTCCAGCTTGGGCAACAAGAGGGAAACTCCATCTCAAAAAAAGAAAAAAAAAAGACTAAACGACTTACCCCGAAGATCAAGAACAACACAAGGATATTCACTCTCACATTTTTAATCCTGTACTGGACATTCCAGCCAGGGCAATTAGGCAAGGAAAAGAAAAAGCATGCAGGTGGGAAGGAAGAAGTAAAACAATACCAATTTGCAGATGGCATGATGTTATATAGGGAAAATCCTAAGAAGTCCACAGAAAAACTATTAAAACTAATAAACAAGTTCCACAAGGTTGCAGGGGGTAAAATCAACATATAAAAATCAATTGTTGGACGGGCACAGTGGCTCATGCCTGTAATCCCAGCTCTCTTTGGTAGGCCAAGACGGGCAGATAACTTGAAATAAATATGAAAATTAGCCAGGCATGGTGCTACATGCCTGTAATCCAGATACCTGGAAGGCTGAGGCACAAGAATCTGCTGAACCTGGGAGGCAGAGGTTGCAGTGAGCTGAGATCGCACCACTGCACTCCAGCCTGGGCAACACAGTGAGACTCTGTCTCAAAATTTAAAAATTAAAAAATTTTTTAAAATCAAGGCTGGGCACGGTGGCTCAGGCCTGTAATCCTAGCACTTTCGGAGGCCGAGGAAGGCAGATCACAAGGACAGGAGTTCAAGACCAGCCTGGCCAACATGGTGAAACCCAGTCTCTACTAAAAATACAAAAACAAATTAGTTGGGCGTGGTGGCAGGCGCTTGTAGTCCCAGCTACTTGGGCTGAGGCAGGAGAATCGCTTGAACCTGGGAGGAAGAAGTTGCAGTGAACCGAGATCACGCCACTGCACTCCAGCCTGGGTGACAGAGCGACTCCGTCTCAAAATAAAAAAGAAAGAAAAAGCATGAAATAGGTTTCATCAAAATTTAAAACTTTTGTGCTGCAAACAATACCATCAAGAATGTGAGGGAGGCCGGGCGGGGTGGCTCACACCTGTAATCCCAGAATTTTAGGAGGCCGAGGTGGGTGGATCTCTTGAGATCAGGAATTCGAGACCAGCCTGGCCAACATAATGAAACCCTGTCTCTACTAAAAATACAAAATAGTCGGGTGTGGTGGTGCACACCTGTAATTCCAGCTACTGGGGAAGCTAAGATAGGAGAAACACTTGAACCCAGGAGGCAGAAGTTCCAGTGAGCCTAGATCGCACCACTGCACTCTTGCCTGGGTGACAAAGTGAGACTCTGTCTCAAAAAAAAAAAAGTGAGGGAAAAAACCCATAAGAGAAAATATCTGTAAGTCATATATCTGATAAAGGGATTTATATCCAAATAACAAACTATTTTAACTCAATAAAAAGAAAATCAATAGCCCAAATTAAAAATGGGTAAAGAATCTGAATAGACATTTCTCCAAAGATATACACATGGCCAGTAAGCACATAAAAAGATGCTCAACATCATTAGTCTTCAGGGAAATGCAAATGAAAACCACAATGAGATATTACTTCACACCCACTAGGACAGATATCATCAAAAAGACAGACAATAAGCTGGGCACGGTGGCTCACACCTGTAATCCCAGCACTTTGAGAGGCAGAGGCAGGAGGATCGAGCCCAGGAGTTCGAGACCAGCCTGGGCAACAAAGTGAGACCTCGTCTCCACAAAAAAAAAGTATTAATAATTAGCTAGGTGTGGTAGCATGTGCCTGTAGTCCCAGCTACTCAGGAGGCTGAGGTGAGAGGATTGCTTGAGCCCTGGACATTGTGGCTACAGTGAGCTATGACTGCACCCCGCACTCCAGCCTCAGTAACAGAGAAAGACCCCATCTAAAAAAAATTAATTAAAATACAGACAACGACAAGTGCTGACAAAGATGTGGAGAAACTGGAATCCTCATACTTTGGTAATGGGAATTTAAATTGGTACAGTTACTTGGGAAAATCGTTAGACAGTTCCTCAAAATGTTAAGGACAGATTACTATGTGATGCAACAATTCTGCTCCTAGATATATACCTAAGAGAAACAAAAACATAATCTCCACACCAAAACTTGAACACGATGTTCAAAGGACCATTATTCACAGTAGCCAAAAAGTGGAAATGAAATGTTCATTAACTGATGGATTCCTAAACAAAATGTGGTGTATCCATCAAATGGAATACTATTAAATGCACTTTAGCCCCTTGTTCCCTTTTTACTCAGCAGTAAAAATAAAATAAAATAAAATAAAATATTAGTACATTCTACAGTCTGGATGAACCTTGAAAACATTATGCTGAGTAAAAGAAACCAATCACAAGAGACCATTTGATTCCCTTCTTTTTGAAACAGAGTCTCACTCTGTGGCCCAGGCTGGAGTGCAGTGGCACAATCTTCTTGGCTCACTGAAACCTCCACCTCCAGGTTCAAGTGATTCTCCTGCCTCAGCCTCCTGAGTAGCTGGGATTACAGCCACGTGCCACCACGCCCAGCTAATTTTTATGTTTTTTAGTAGAGACAGGGTTTCACCATGTTGGCCAGGCTGGTCTTGAACTCCTGACTTCAGATAATCCTCCCACCTCGGCTTCTCAAAGTGCTAGGATTACAGTTGGGAGCCACGGTGCCCGGCTCTGATTCCTCTTTTTTTTTTTTTTTTTTTTTTTTGAGACGGAGTCTAACTCTATCGCCAAGGCTGGAGTGCAGTGGCATGATCTCAGCTCACTGCAACCTCTGCCACCCGGGTTCAAGCAATTCTCCTGCCTCAGCCTACCGAGTAGCTGGGATTACAGGTGCCTGCCACCACGCCCACCTAATTTTTGTATTTTTAGTAGAGACAGGGTTTCACCATCTTGGCCAGGCTTGTCTTGAACTCCTGACCTCATGATCTACCTGCCTTAGCCTCCCAAAGTGCTGGGATTACAAGCGTGAGCCACCACACCCAGCCTCTGATTTCATTTTATAAAATACCCAGAACAGGCAATTATCAGCTGTCTAAGGATGAGAGGGTGGTGAGAAGAAAAAGGAGGGAATAATGGGAAGTAACTGCTAATGGGAACATAGTTTCTAGGGTAATGCAAATGTTCTAAACAAATTACGGTGATGGCTGTGCATCCTGTAAATATACTAAAAGCATCAAACTGTACATTTTAAATGGTAAGTTTATGGTATGTGAATTTTATCTCAAAAATGCTGTTGAAGTAATAAATCAAAATAATGACTTCAAGATATCAAAGTGAGCTTTAGAAACAGGGTTGGACCTTTATAACTCCATATTTTTAAACAAATTCAAAAGTGTGTTTTACTGAAAGGAATATCAAAAACTACTAACAGATGTGTTGCCTTGAAGTAGTGGGAAGATGACACTTTTCCCTAAATGGTCATTATTGGTTTATATCAGTAAATGTCATCATTTGCTTATAATTACAAAAACTGTAAAAATTTAAATACATACCCAGTAAGGTTGGGACAGCATTTCATCTCCAGGAGACCTGTCTGATCTAATGCACACGCATAGATATCAATAACATGGCCAGTTGTAGCAGCTCGATTAGCCAATGCTTCAAAATGCTACAAAAGATTTTCTTAATTAAAATAATATACAAAATTGTCCTATAAATCTTTTTTCCATTAACAGATCAAAATGATCTAAGGACTAAAAGAGTAACTCATAATTTAAATTATGATTAGTTATTTAACTTTCTGTAATGTTAATAAAATTATACAACAACTTCTGTGAGTCTGACATTTTCACATTTTCCTTGAAAGCCACTCTTTCTAGATAAACCCCTAAATGAAGCCAAACTTAAAGAAAGTCCTATTGCATATCTTGTTCTTCCTATATAAACATAGCACAAAAACAACAGGCTGGGCGTGGTGGCTCACGCCTGTAATCCCAGCATTTTGGGAGGCCGAGGCAGGCAGATCATGAGGTCAGGAGATCGAGACCATCCTGGCAAACACGGTGAAACCCCGTCTCTACTAAAAATATAAAAAATTAGCCGGGCGTGGTGGTGGGTGCCTGTATTCCCAGCTACTAGGGAGGCTGAGGCAGGAGAATGGCATGAACCCAAGAGATGGAGCTTACAGTGAGTGGAGATCATGCCATTGTACTCCAGTCTGGGCAACAGAGCGAGACTTTGCCTCAAAAAAAAAGAAAGAAAAACAACAGAGAACTCTCTTTCCTAGCTAAATCCATACCCAAGTAACAAAAACATCCAAAAATAGAGAAAATACAAAAAGCAGTAAGATAAATGAATCTAAAACCTTTTTTGAAGCTGTAACCAAGAAAAATTCCAAGCTCAAAAAGGAAATTAGTTGGCAGGAAAGAAAAGCACCAACAGTGGCAAAAATTATGTCATAAATTACTTTTAAACATATAATACTGATGAAGACTATCAAAAAATACATGATACAGCACAAGCCAAATTAAAACTGAACTCTAGAGAATTTAAAAATTAAGAGATATTAACAAATAGAACGAATATAAGAGAGTCAAAAATCAACATTAGTGAAATGTACTTACACAAACCCAAAAAATGGGAAGTTAGATGAACATAAAACAACTTACAAGAAAATGATGGACTATTTAAGCTATGAACAATATTCATATCTAAAGGAAAAATTAAGGACTGCCTCTTGGAAATGAAAAACTGAAAAATGTAAAAACAACTTTTCCTAAACAGAAAGGCATTCTTTAACATGAATATTTAAAAAGGCATAGAATGTTTCTCTCAGTAATAATTTTTAAGGAGATACCTACTGACACGTACTATGAAGTGTTTAAATATTTCAAACCAGAAACATTACAACAAATTATCAAGAAAAAATGAATATTTCTCCAATTCTGAATACCAGTTATAGTATCAAACTGTATAATACCAATTTCTATCAAAAACTATTTGTATTCTTCTTCTGCCAGCAAATGAATACCTGTTTTCTAATAAGGCAAAAATATTTAACAGTCAAAATTACCTTAGTTCCCTTTTTAACATATTTGGCATTGTCTTTGTCAATGTCATGCCACGATCTTATAGGTGTCTTCAACTCATCTCCAACCACCATTCCAGGCCCCTGAGTAGCAGGACCACCAATGAACATCATGATACGAGCACCAGTGTTGGGAAAAGTACACTATTAAAAAAAAAGTCAAGAGTTTAAAAGAAAACATATGAATATACATTTCTGATAATAATTTTTTATATATTCCTTCTAAATAAGAGAAAAGCATATATTTTCTAAGAAATAAAATAATCAAATGTTTACAATGAAATTTAAAAACAAAGGTATCTGAACAACTTTCTTTTAAAATCCTATGGTATATAGTAGCACATTCCTAATTCTAAACTAATCTATGAGCCTAATCCCTATAAACATGGATATTTCTCCTGCTTAACTCATCTCAGACAGGGAAGAGTGGAGAGAAAAGTGGAAGAGTGAACATCTTCTTTTGTTTTGTTTTGGGTTTTTAATTTTTTTTTTTTTTTTTTTAGAGACAAGGTCTCACCATGTTGCCAGTGCTGGACTTTAACTCCTGGGCTCAAGTGATCCTCCCACTTGAGCTTTCCAAGTAGCTGGAATGAGAAGCACACGCCACTGCACCTGGCTCTTCTATTTTTTTGTTGGTGTTTTACTTTTGTTTTTGATGTTTAGAACACAAGTATCATAGAACAACAAAAAAAAAGGCCAGGCGTGGTGGCTCGCACTTGTAATCCCAGCACTTTGGGAGGCTGAGGCGGGTGGGTCACCTGAGGTCAGGAGTTCAAGACCAGCCTGGTCAACATGGTGAAATCCCATCTCTACTAAAAATACAAAAAATTAGCCGGGCAGGGTGGCAGACGCCTATAGTCCCACCTACTCGGGAGGCTGAGGCAGGAGAATCGCTTGAACGCGGGAGGTGGAGGTCGCAGTGAGCCAAGATCACGCCACTGCACTCCAGCCTGGGCAACAAGGCGAGACTCCGTCTCAAAAAAAAAAAAAATAGAGGCTGGACGCAGTGGCTGACGCCTGTAATCCCAGCACTTTGGGAGGCTGAGGTGGGTGGATCACCTGAGGGCAAGAGTTTGAAACCAGTCTGGCCAACATGGTTGAAACCCTGTCTCTACTAAAAATATAAAAATTAGCTGGGCATGGTGGCACATGCTTGTAGTCCCAGCTACTCAGGAAGCTGGGGCAGGAGAATTGCTTCGACCCAGGAGGTTGAGGTTGCAGTGAGCCAAGATTGTACCACTGCACCTTAGCCTGGGCAATGGAGCAAGACTCCATCTCAAAAAAAAAAAAAAAAAAAAAAAAAAAAGAAAGAGGCCCGGCACGGTGACTCACACCTGTAATCCCAGCACTTTCAGAGGCCGAAGCGGGTGGATCACAAGGTCAGGAGTTCAAGACCAGCCTGGCCAATATGGTGAAAACCCATCTCTACTAAAAATACAAAAAATTAGCCGGGCATGGTGGCGGGCGCCTGTAATTCCAGCTACTTGGGAGGCAGAGGCAGAGAATTGCTTGAACCCGGGAGGTGGAGGTTGCAGTGAGCCGAGATTGTGCCACTGCACTCCAGCCTGGGCAACACGGTAAGACTCTGTCAAAAAAAAGAAAGAAAGAGAAAGAGAGACAAAGATAGAGAGAGAGAGAGAGAAAAAAAAGTATGCATGACTTACACTTCCAGTCCAAGTTAATGGATTGAATACCCCAATCTACTTCCCCTTCCTCACAAGATGTCAATGAAATAAGAGAAAAGTTGTTTTAGGTGGATCACTTGAGGCCAGGAGTTCGAGACTAGCCTGGCCAACATGGCAAAACCCTGTCTCTACTTAAAAAAATACAAAAATTAGCCAGGTGTGGTAGTGCACACCTGTAATCCCAGCTTCTTGGGAGGCTGAGGCAAGAGAATTGCTTGAACCCAGGAGGTGGAGGTTGCAGTGAGCCAAGATCACACCACTGTACTCCAGCCAGGATGACAGAGTGAGACACTGTCTAAAATAAAATAAAGTAAAATTAAAAATAAATAAATAGGCCAGACACTGTGGCTCATGCCTCTAATCTCATCATTTTGGGGGTCCAAGGTGGGAGAATCACTTTAGCCCAGGAGTTCAAGATCAGCCTGGGCAACAAAGGGAGACCTTGTCTGAAAAAAATAAATAAATAACAAAATCAGTTGGGCATGATGGGACATGCTATAGTCCCAGCTTCTCAGGAGGCTGAGGTGGGAGGATTGGTTGAGCCCAGGAGTTCGATGCTGCAGTCAACCATGATCATGCCACTGCACTCCAGCCTAGGCAACAGAACTAGACTCTTGTCTCAAAAAAAAACAAAAAGTACATAAAATTTAAAGATAGGAAATAATGCAAGCAGTAGATCAGAAATTTTGAGGAATTCAAACAATAAATTGTACTGGATTATCAAAAGAATCAACGAAACACATCACAGATATCAAAAGTAAGCCCCAGATCTTCCCAAAGGAGGATGCCCAAAAAGCTCCATATTTGGAGTCAAAAAATACAAAAAGCAGCAATGAACCAAAGAAGAAACAGTGTGTATCTATACCTCCAGATACAGCAGCTGATGACAGATTCTGCCATCAGCAATTCCTAAGAACTACTCTCTGTAGAAAGCAGGCCATCTGCCTGGAGAAGGGTCTTTGCATGAAAATTAGAGGCTGAGAGATACAGAACCAAGCACATGTTACAATGGATATCACAACAAACATGACAACTCTCAAAAGTTTCTGGAAATAAAAGCATTAAGAAAATTTTTAAAACCTCAATGGATGGGCCAAAAAGCATGTCTGAAGGCTGAGCTAGAAATATGGGAAACAAAGCTGAGGAAATCTCATATAAATAGGAGCAAAGAAAGATATGAGGAAAAAAATAAATATATAAAGAGATATAGAGGTCCAGCATCAATGTAACAAATATAGAATAGAAAGAGAAATAAATTAAGCTGAAGAATGACAATATTTTTCAGAATTAAAGGGTCTACCAAAACCAAACGTAATTAAAGAAAGAAAAAATCAAACCTAAATACAGCCTAACAAAATTTCAGAACTCCAAAATTAAAGAGAATATTCTAAAAATGTCTAGTGAAAAAATAAGTTTCCTAAAAAAAGAACGAGACTACATCCAATTATCATCAATAAACTGTATGTCTATGTCAGAAAACTAGAGAGGAATGACTTGAATTTCCAAGTGAAGACTATTTTGAAACTAGAATTCTATAGCCACCCAAACTACCAATGAAATGAGAGGGCCATTTTTTTTTAATGTTTGAATATAGAAGAACTCAGAATACTTATAAGAAACAAAAGAGCAACTGCGTATGATCCAAAGGAAGTGACAGGATCTAGAAAAAAATGTAAAAGATATCCTATGACTTTTACATATGAAAGTATCCTTCTCTGTGTATAATCGCTCTACTTTATTCCACAATTAATATTTGTATTGTCATATTAGAAAGGCTATTTTATCTCTAATTTCTATAAGTGGTTATTGGACAAAATAGAGTACATTTTTCAACCTACACTACAGCTTCAGAACAGAATGTAAACGATATAAACTTCATGATAATTTTTAAAGTCATATGATTAGCCTGGCACAGTGGCTCACACCTGTAATCCCAGCACTTTGGGAGGATGAGGTGGGCGGATCACCTGAGGTCAGGAGTTCGAGACCAGCCTGGCTAAGCATGGTGAAACCCTGTCTCTACTAAAAATACAAAAAATTAGCCAGGCGGGGTGGCGGGTACCTATAATCCCAGCTACTTGGGAGGCTGAGGCAGGAGAATTGCTTAAACCCAGGAGGTGGAGGTTGCAGTGAGCTAAGATTGCACCACTGCACTCCAGCCTGGGCAACAAGAGCAAAAATCCATCTAAAAAATAAATAAATAAAATAAAATAAAATAAAATCATATGGTTAACAAATCTAGAGAACAAGGAAAGTTGTCTTCTACTTATTTGTATATACCATTGCATATTGTTTGAATGTTTTCACAAGGTATGATTATTACTTCTATAACTTTCTTAACTAATAACAAAAATACTCTCTTCATTCTGGGTATTTGAGATAATAGCAGTCATGTAAAGCTGAAAAAATGAAGAAAAGAGCAAATAAAACTATATACAGATACTTTCATAAAACTATGACACAAAGAACATCCAAACTTCAAATTTCCTACAACTGGAGGGAAAAAAAAGCCACTAAATCCCCGTGAACTGTATCTCTCATGCTCTCATTGCAATTCTCCAAAAAGATCAAGGGCAGTTTGGGAAGAAGTACACAGAAGAGAGAAGAGGGAAACAAACAGCAGGCCTAGAAGAACGACTACAGATTCAAATGAAAACTTGGTAAGAGGCACTAAAGAAAAGAAAAAAACCAAGAGAATGAAAATGAAATAAAGAAATAAAAAGATGGCTGAAATAAAAAGCAAGCAAAGAAGAGTCAATTTATATATAACGGCAGTTGTTTTTTTCTTTTGAGACAGAGTCTTGCTCTGTCGGCCAGGCTGGAGTGCAGTGACATGATCTCGGCTCACTGCAACCTCTGTCCACGGGTTCAAGCAATTCTCCTGCCTCAGCCTCCCAAGTAGCTGGGATTACAGGCGTGTGCCACCGCCCCCGGCTAATTTTTGTATTTTTAGTAGAGATGAGATTTCACCACGTTGGCCAGGCTGGTCTCGAACTCCTGACTTCAGGTAATCCGCCTGCCTCGGCCTCCCAAAGTGCTGGGATTACAGGCATGAGCCACTGCGCCTGGCCGGGAGTTCTTAAATAAAATAAAACAATGGAACAAAACTACTATTTAAAGCTATAAGACAACTTTATAGGAAAAAATACTATAAGACAACTTTATAGGAAAAAATACATATAAAGAGGGCCTACCACATACTAGAGAAAATTAACCTGCAACAAAAACCCTACAAGATAAAAAAAAAATTCCTCAAGACCTTGAAGCAAAATGATCAAATAATTTACAAGGGCAAGAAAATAAGGCTGGTATCAGCCTTCTCAAAAAACATCAGCCAAGGTGGTAGGATCACTTGAGACCAGGAGTTTGAGACCTGTCTGGGCAACATGGCAAGACTCTGTCTCTACAAATTTAAAAAGTAGCTGGGCATAGTGGCATGGGCCTATAGTCCCAGCTACTTGGGAGGAGTCTGAGGCTGGAGGACTGCTTGAGACCAGGAGTTTGAGGTTGCAGTGCTGCAGTAAGCTATGATCACGTACTGCACTCCAGCCTGAGCAACAGAGGCTCTGTTTAAAAAAAAAAAAAAACACACACACATCAAGGTAAGAAAATAATGAAAAAGCATTTTCCAAAACCTCCAGGAAAAAAAAATTAGAACCAAAGCTTTTTATATCCAACCAAGCTATTCTTCAACTATCAGAACCACAGGAAAAAAGTTTAAACATTCAACAGCCCAAGAAATTCTGTACTCTTAAGTCTTCTTAAGAAATTTACTAGAAGATACAAATAAAACTTACAGCAAAGAATAACATAATCACACTAAGGGCAGTGGAGGGGAATAACCCACTTAACTTTTGAACATTATATTTTGTACTATATATTCTCAGAACATTAAACAAATACTGGGCTCTAACTCCTAAGCTTCTTTCTAACAGAGGTATGAGCTAGAAACTCTGAAACTATTCTATATATTCTAGGACTGAGCAAATAAGTAAATATATTTGATAACGGGAGCAGGTTTCTCATAGAGAATGAGTTACAAATATGGAAAAGTGGGAAGGATAGAATAAACCCTGTGGTACTGAATTGAACATACCTGAAAGAAACATTGGTTTTTAATATAAAATTTTTTTTATTTTAATAGAGATATAGATGCATATTGGAGTATGCAGACATATATGCACACACATATACTTATGATTTTATATACATCTATAGATACATATATATGCACATACATCTTCTTCTTAGCTCCATCCGCTGGGACCTAGAATTAATGACACCCAGGGTAAGGGTGCACATGAAGCATTATCTTCTTGGTAGAACCAAGGCTAAAAGGAAACAGGGCTCCTAAGTGGTTTCATTTCAGGTCCAGAGCAGGAAAAGGATAAGATGAGCCCTGAACAACTTACTATACCAGAAAGGAAGTATTTAAGCAAACATGCGGCATTTAATAAGGACCCAGAAGCAGCTTGAAGAGGCTCCCACTAGCCAAATCGGGGAAAACTTAAGCATCAAAGTAAATTATGATAGTAAAGGAATGTATCTTGTTGTATAAAATAAGAATGTAAGAATACACCCAGTGTGTATTCTGTATGTATTTACATATATATATGTGTATATAAATTTATATATATATAAATACGTAAATGGGAGAGGAGAGAAAGCTCTTCCTCAAGTAGAAAGCCAATTAATAAAAGTAGAAATGATGGAATTAGAAAGCCACTATTTGGCATGCATCATAATAATAATTGATCAGAAAAGAATCATCAATGGATGCTAAACTAGTGGGTAAAAGTTTGCTGAGTACACTGGTTATTCACATATTTTCAAGGTATCTCCTAATAAGATATTTATAATTACAATAGGAAAACCTGTAACTTTACAGTGACAAAAACAACCTTAACCAAGTAAGGAAAGTTAACATCAGCAGTAATGAAATAAATCAACATGGGGGTTCCTAATATTTTGCAATGTTTATTAATTACAAAGGGGTAAAAAAAGAGTAATTTTAAAGTGGAGAGCCCTGGCAGATACTACCTTAATGAATGACCAAAGTGAATATCATCAGTAACAGAACAAATGAAAACCATGTGCCACCTGTAAAATGTAACAATAAGAACACAGCATTACTTCTGTGATATTCCTCCCAAAGATGCAAGACCTGAATCAAATTACGAGAATACTTCAAGACAAACTCAAATTGAAGAACATTTTACCAAATAACTGGTCTGAATCTTCCAAAGATCAGGAAAGATTGAGGAACTGTTCCAGGATGAAGGAGGGTAAATAGATATAGCCATAAATGCAGGACTGAACTAAATCCTTTCAGTAAAGGAAATTATTGGGACAACTGGTAAAACTTGAATGGGGTCTGAGAATTAGCTGGTAGTAATGTATCAGTGTTAACATTTTAATTTTAATAGTTTTATATTGTGGTTATATAGGAGATTATCCTGGTTCATAGGAAATACAAAGTTTCAAGGGGTTGGGACTATCATATCTGCAACTTAATCTTGTGAAAGGAAAGTAAGTCTTGGGACCCCAAAATCATTAAACTAAAGGGATAAGTCAAGCTGGAAACTGCTTCGGGCAAACCTGCCTCCCATTCTATTCAAAGTCATCCCTCTGCTCAGTAAGATAAACGCATATCTGATTGCTCCTTCGGAAAGGCTAATCAGAAACTCAAAAGAATGCACCTACCTGTGTCTCTCACCTACCTGTCTCTCACCTATCTGTGACCTGGAAGCCCCTCCCTACTTGAGCTGTCCCACCTATCTGGATGGAACCAACATACATCTTACATATGTTGATTGATGTCTCATGTCTCCCGAAAATTTATAAAACCAACTGTGCTCTGACCACCTTGGACGCATGTCATCAGGACCTCCAGAGGCATGTGTCCTCAGCCTTGGCAAAATAAACTTTCTTTTTTTTTTTTTTTTTGAGATGGAGTCTCGCTCTGTCACCCAGACTGGAGTGCAGTGGTGCAATCCCGGCTCACTGCAACCTCTGCCTCCCAGGTTCAGGTGATTCTCCTGCTTCAGCCTCCCAAGTAGCTGGGACTACAGGCGCCTGCCACCACACCTGGCTAATTTTTTTGTATTTTTAGTAGAGACAGGGTTTCACCACGTTGCTCAGGCTGGTCTCGAACTCCTGACCTCAAGAGATCCACCCACCTCGGCCTCCCACGATGCTGGGATTACAGGCGTGAGCCAACACGCCAAGCCCAAAATTAACTTTCTAAATTAATTGAGACTATCTCAGATATTTGGGGTTCACAATCTCAAATAGTTTGGAGAAAAAAATTATTTATACACTTCTTGCATCTTTTCTGTAAATTTGATAGCATTTCAAATTTTTTAAAAAACATTTTTAAAAACTATTTTGTTTTGTTTTGTTTTTGAGATGGAGTCTCTCTCTGTTGCCCAGGCTGGAGTGCAGTGGCATGATCTCGGCTCACTGCAACCTCCACCTTCCGGGTTCAAGCGATTCTCCTGCCTCAGCCTCCCGAGTAGCTGGGATTACAGGCATGCGCCACCACGCCCGGCTAGTTTTTTTTTTTGTATTTTTAGTAGAGACAGGGTTTCACCATGTTAGCTAGGATGGTCTCGATCTCCTGACCTCGTGATCCACCCACCTCGGCCTCCCAAAGTGCTGGGATTACAGGCGTGAACCACCGCACCCAGCCACTATTTTGTAATTCTAAAGCTAAGATATGTATAGCATAAAATTTTCAAATTCTACTAAAACTCCACTTATTGTATCACTGTTAACATCTGGGTGAACTTCTTTCCAGAATCATGTCTGTACAGGATATATACAAAACAATACACAAGACAATATGCTGGAGGAAAACACTTCACGTAGATAAAATCATACACCCACTGTCCTATAACCTGATTTTTTTTCACTCAATATTATCTTATACATACCATTTCCTATAATACTGTGAATATATTTTTTTCCTCTCCTTTCCTGACACACAGCTCCTAAAAGCCTTGGATTCTGTAGAATGATAAGAGTACCTTTTGTTTTTTGTTTTTGTTTTTTGAGACGGAGTCTCACTCTGTCACCCAGGCTGGAGTGCAGTGATGCGATCTCAGCTCCCTGCAACCTCCGCCTCTTGGGTTCAAGCAATTCTCCCTGCTTCAGCCTCCCAAGTAGCTGGGAGTACAGGCGCCCGCCACCACGCCTGGCTAATTTTTGTATTTTTGGCAGAGATGGGGTTTTGCCATATTGGCCGTGCTAGTCTCGAACTCCAGACCTCAGGTGATCTGCCCACCTCAGCCTCCCAAAGTGCTGGGATTACAGGCATGAGGTGCCCAGCCAAGAGTGCCTTTTGTATGTTAATAAAATGACTCCTAGATAGCTTCAAGATGGGGGCTGGTCACTGAAAAGACTAAAGCCTGATTAGAAGGTTGAGACTTTCAGTTCCACACCCCAACCTCCAGAAGGAGAGAGGGGATAATGGCCAGTGATGTAATCAATCATGCCTATGCAGTGAGCCTTCATGAAAAGCCAAAAGAACACAGTTTGGAGAGCTTCCAGACAAATGAATATGTGGAGGTTCCTGGAGGGTGGTGCCCCAGAGAAGCCACAGAAATTTGGAACCCCTTCTCCCACACCTCACTCTATGCATCTAGTCCATCTGACTGTTCATCTATAGTCTTCGTAATATCTTTATCATAAACCGAGAAACATAAAGTGTTTCCTAGAGTTCTGTGAGCCATTCTAGCAAATTAATCAAACCCAAGAGTGTCCAATTTACAGCCAGTCTATCAGAGAAGTATAGGTGACAACCTACTATGTGACTGGCACTTAAGTGGGGGCAGTCTTGTGGGACTGAGCCCTCAATCTGTGAGATGTGATGTTATCTCCAGTTAGATAGTATCAGAATTGAACTGAATTACAGGACACCCAGGTGGTATCGAAGGCAGAACTGCTTGGTTGGTATGTGGGGGAAAACCATAGAAGTATTCTTTGTTGATGCTGAGTGAGAGAATAGGGAGGAAAAAAAGCACTTTGGTTCTTCTTATCCTTATAATTATATATACACACACACACACACACACACACACACACACACACACACTTTACATTCCAAAACAAAACCATCTTCCCTACCTCCAGCAGTCCTACAGCTATGGAAAGTGCCACCCCAGAGGAACGCAAAGGTCTCTTTCCCTGTGGTACAGGCCAAGGGTCTCGCTGGAGTTCTCCCAGAAGATCTGTGAGATTCATGTCTATTTTCTGTACTGGTTGTAAGAATCTAAGAAACAGAATTAAATAAAAAGCCATTTGTAAATGTTTATGGGTGAGAGTTCGATAAACAAATTTCACTTTCCTAAAAATAGAAAACAACACTCTGAACACACAGCAGACCAATGGTTCTCAAACTTTCGTGTATATGAGAACCAGCTGGAGGGCTTGTTTTAACACATATTGCTAGGTCCCAGTTCTAGAGTTTGTTTCGGTAGGTCTGGAGTGGAGCCGAAGAATTTGCATTTCAAACGCATTCCTAGGTGACACGTGATGATAACAGCCCCAGAAACCACATTTTGAATACAACCACAATAAACGAAACACTCAAACCAAGTACTTCAGGATTTCATCTCTCACTAGTCTAGTAAGTTTTAGGTTACTGAAATAATTATGAGAAAATACATCAACTAAATTTTAGTAATACTACCTCTGATTAGAAAGCTTAGGGGAAAAAGCTAGCAGGGCGCGGTGGCTCACACCTGTAATCCCAGCACTTTGGGAGGCCGAGGAGGGAGGATCATAAAGTCAGGAGATTGGGATGGTGAAACCCCGTCTCTACAAAAAATACAAAAATTAGCCAGGCATGGTGGTGCATGCCTGTAATCCCAGCTACTTGGGAGGCTGAGGCAGGAGAATTGTTTGAACCTGGGAGGCGGAAGTTGTAGTGAGCCAAGATCATGCCACTGCACTCCAGAAACCTTAGCGGGAAAAGCTACCTCTAAAGCTAAGAAGAAAAAATAAAAACCTTGGCTGCCCTAAAACCACACAAAAACAAGTTTTTTCCAAAGTTCAAAATAAAAAATAAGGAAAATAACAAAACTAAAGTAACTCCTTACATTGTTAAGACAAAAAACAAACCATTTTAATGACATGATTTTGACTCAATTCTTTAAAAAGTATGTTAATACAATTTACTTATATTCCTAAAAATATTTAACAATATAGTATCACTGAATGCCTATGTTCAAGGGTATGGAATGTTTAAAATAGCTACAGAAACGGTCAAATTCTCTTCATCATATTTATTACCTGTTGGAAGGAGGTGGCTGCTGTACCTGAGGACCACGTGTTGCTTGAGTAAGTGGTACTTTAGAGAGCCCCAGCATTTCCTGTAAAGAGATTACTTGTGCAATATTCATTTAATTACTTTTACAAAGATTTATCAACTATTTATCATGTATAAAATGCTGTGCTAGACATTAGAAACACAAAAATAAAAAATACAAGGTCTCCTTCCTCAGAAAACAAAGAATCCAGTGGGAGAGATTATCAAGAAAACAATAACACAAAATAATCATCATGAGAGAGAAAAGCACAAGGTGTTATATAACCAAAGAGGAGGCATATTAGCTCAAAAACACTTTATTTCTAATTAACAGTCAAAATAAATTGTTGTGTAACTTAAATGTCCATACTTCTTAATTTATATTCATTCATCCGTTTCAGCAAACTATATCATAAGCACCTGCTATGTGGCAGGAATACAATGGTAAAAACTAACTAGTCCCTTCCCTCATGGAAATTAAAATCCAGAAACATAAATTAATCAAATCAACAGATAAATAAATGTAAAATTGCAACAGTAGTAAATGTTAGGACTTGGGGAGTTATAAGGCTCACGTACTTTGTACCTATATACATCTTGATTTTCTAATGTAATTCATAACCAAACTACGAACTGCCACCTTTGTTTTGAATTTCAGATATGTGCACAATTTCTCTCTAGACAAATGAAAATAATGTTATACTAAATTTTTCTTGAATCTAGAAATGCTTAGTCATGAAGTACTGGAGTTATAAAACTGTGTAACAGAAAACTGAAGTCTAAAGATGTACAAAGATAAAATTAGTGAACTAATCCTGCAATATTTCCTATACTGTTAGCAGAAACAGCAACTCTTTACTAAGAACTTAATATGTTCCATATTCTATGCTAAAACCTTTATATATACTATTTCCTCACAAAACAATAATGAAATAGATTTCTTCTTAAATTCTACTTTATAAATGAAAATTGACAATCAGAAAGACTAAGTAATTTGTCTGAGGTTACACAATCAGTAAGTAACAAAGCAAGATTTTAAATCCAGGTTTTTCTATAAAGCTCTATAAGGGTTTACACCATATTGAGAATTTCATATTTAGTACTAATAACCTGGCAAAATAGGTAGTTTATTCCTTTCTATGAAGGATGACACAATCAGCAAAGACAAAAACCCAGGATCATACAACCAGAAGAGTTTAAGATTTGAATCCAGGACTATCTGGGGAGCAAAGGCCAGGCTCTTTTCAACTAATAATAGGGAAAGAATAGGGAAATTTAATCTAAATAGGGAAAGAAAATAAACATGTTTCAATGGAGAAAAAAAATTCAGTCTGCAGGCATTCACTTGCCTATTGAAAAAAGGAAGATGTGGCCAGGCGCAGTGAATCACAGCTGTAATCCCAGTATTTTGGGAGGCCGAGGCGGGTGGATCACCTGAGGTCAGGAGTTCAAGACCAGCCTGGCCAACATGGTGAAACCCCATGTCTACTAAAAATACAAAAATTAGGGCCAGGTGCGGTGGATCATGCCTGTAATCCCAGCACTTTGGGAGGTCAAGGTGGGCAAATCACAAGGTCAGAAGTTCAAGACCAACCTTGGCTAACATGGTGAAGCACCAACTCTACTAAAAATACAAAAATTAGTAAGGCATGGTGGTATGCTCCTGTAATCCCAGCTACTTGGGAGGCTGAGGCAAGAGAAGCGCTTGAACCCAAGAGGCAGAGGTTGCAGTGAGCTGAGATCGTGCCACCGCACTCCAGCCCGGGTGACAGAGCGAGACTCTGTCTCAGACAAACAAAAAAAAACTAGGCCGGCCTCAGTGGCTCACACCTGTAATCCCAGCACTTTGGGAGGCTGAGGCAGGGGGATCACCTGAGCTCAGGAATTCAAGCAGCCTGGCTAACATGGTGAAACCTTGTCTCTACTAAAAAATACAAAAATTGGCCAGGCGCGGTGGCTCACGCCTGTAATCCCAGCACTTTGGGAGGCCAAAGCAGGCAGATCACGAGGTCAGGAGATCAAGACCATCCTGGCCAACATGGTGAAACCCGGTCTCTACTAAAAATACAGAAAAAAAAAATTAGCCGGGTGTGGTGGCATGCGCCTGTAGTCCCAGCTACTCGGGAGGCTGAGGCAGGAGAATCGCTCGAACTAAGGAGGCGGAGATTGCAAGATCATGCCACTGCACTCCAGCCTGGGTGACAGAGCAAGACTCCGTGTCAAAAAAAAAAAAAAAAAGAAAAAAAAAGGAAGATGTTTTATGTGCTTCATATGCATTATATAAGTAAAAGGTACTCTACAATCAGAACAGTAAACTATTCTAAATAAATTCATAATTTAATAATAACATTAATAGTAGCAAATGCTTAAATGTACAATTCATTTAATTCTCATGACTACACTATAAGGTATATACTATTACTATCTCTATTTTACAATTGAAAAAAACTAAAGCACAGAGATTTCAACTGGTTCACTTTCTCTCCTGTCTCATGGAAACATGATTCTCCTCTCTAAGGTACTCCGCTTCCTGTGCTCCTGAAGGAATCCCTACTATGTCTTCCTAAACCTGACTTTCCTCATCTCACTCTTGCTTTAACTCACCCTCTTTAGTCTCTTTCCTTTCTCCTTCCTCCTAAAGTACATCTCTTTAACTCAGTTCTCTCTCAAATTCCCATGCTATCTCCTCCTTCATTACCTTCAACAAACCTCTTAAAAGAACAAACTTCAGGCCGAGCACGGTGGCTCACTCCTGTAGTCCCAGCACTCTGGGAGGCCGAGGAAGGTGGATATCCTGAGGTCAGGAGTTCAAGACCAGCCTGGCCAACATAGTGAAACCACGTCTCTACAAAAATACCAAAATTAGCTGGGCATGATGGCGGGTGCCAGTAGTCCCAGCTACTCGAGAGGCTGAGGCAGGAGAATAGCTTGAACCCGGGAGGCGGAGGTTGCAGTGAGCCAAGATTGTGCCAATGCAGTCCAGCCTGGGTGACAGAGCGAGACTCTTGTCTCAGAAGAAAAAGAACAAATTTCAACTTTCTCTACCTTCTCAAATCTTATTCACTATTCATTGACTAACGCATTCATTACTCATTATCCTCCCCATTTAAACCTGCAAATTCCCCTAGTATGTTCTCTTAGTTAACTGCAGCACCACTACCTCAGTCTGCCAAGTTTCAAATTAGACTCACCCTCAAAAATCTCTTCCTTTCTTCTTCATTTTGGTCTACCTGGAAGCCTCTAAAGTCTGATTTTACATCTGTCAACTTTATGCCAGGCTTATCTATCATCTTCTAGGGTAAATGTTCTCAACTAGGAGTTGCACCAGAATTACTTAGAAAGTTTTTTCAAAGTACCTACATGAACAATCTTATATTATATATATAAGGTATATATACCAACTATCCCCCAATACAAACAGACATTCACTTATTACTCTCTTATGGACTATCAAAATCTCTGGGCAGAAAAAAAGATGTTCATCTGAGCAGATGATCCTAGTATGCTACACATAACTCCTTTGCCTTGGAAGAGAAAGCTTCAATTTGTCCCAGTGATAAAAACCACTAAAAAACATATGTAACCATAGTTCCTACACTAAAAATCGTCCAGTCTCAAAATAACTTCCCTCACCAAACATACTAAAAGTATTTAGTTCTTAAGTGAAATGTTAAGAAATAAAAGCTCTCTCCTCAGCTGCCACCAAGGTTCTCGGTTCTTATGAGGAAGCCAAGACCACACTGGGGTGAGACCCTCACTTCATCAGGTGACTAGCACCATGTCAGGCAGCACCAGCCCTGCACTCGCCCACATCATGGCCTCCATCTCAAGTTCTTCTGTATCTCCTTGGACCTCATTCTGCACGACAATGAGGTGACCATCACAGTGGATTAGATCAATGCCCTTGTTAAAGCAGCTGATATAAATGTTGAACCTTTCTGGCCTGATTTGTTTGCAAAGGACTGGCCAATGTCAACATCAGGAGCTTCATCTGCAATGTAGGGGCTGGTGGACCTGCTCCAACAGTTGGTGCTGCACCTGCAGAAGGTCCTGCCCCCACCACCACTGCTGCCCCAGCTGAGGAAAAGAAAGTGGAAACAAAGAAAGAAGAACCTGAGGAGTATGATGATGACATGGACTTTGGTCTTTTTGACTAAACCTCTTTTATAACATGTTCAATAAAAAAGCTGAACTCTTAAGAAAAAAAAAAGAAACAAGCTAATATTCTGCAGTTGCTCTCTCTTAGCCTTCAGCATGACTCTTCATAAGCCCTTCAAATCTCTAGTAAAATACTGTTGGTTTGACTTTAAATTTTAAAGATATAGTTAAAAGTGAAGGGTGTTTAATCTGTATAACAATTTAAGGCACATGAAAAGAAAACTGAAGCCAGCACTGAATTTAAAGCCTTTGTTATAATACAATTATATTAGTTATTCATAATAAAAATTTGTCCTAGAAACATACAGAAGGCATTTATAAACATATATAGAGTAATTTTCAGATAGGTAAAAACTACCATTCTTGTTGTTTACCTGCAGTTGTTTGGCAGACAAATCTTTTGTTCCTCTGAAGACATAGCTTTTTGAAATGCCTTCACATCCAAGTTCATGAACCTGAACCATTCTCCCAAAAGTAATAAGTCCAACCAAAGCTGTAGGTGGTAAAAGACTTAATGACATCTGCATGGATTCTTTCAGGGCTTGTAAATCTTCATCTTCCATGCAAGTATCAACCACATAGAGGAATATCAAAGGCATCTGAGGACCACGCTTTTAAAAAATTCACCAAAAAGAAAAAATATGTAGTTTAAAGCACAGCATACAAGACAGTCAACAGGGAACTAATTAAATAACGAATACAAAAGAATCCTAGTAAAGCCATTTCAGAAATGAAACAGGTTATTTCTACTGTCATGGAGAGAGATCTAAGACATATCATCAGGTGAAAAATTAAGTTTAAGAACATGAGGTATAGTTACACAGAGGGGACTTTCACTTTCCATTTTATTTAACTACATGCATAAGGTTTCATTTGACTCTTTTAAAATAATTAGTAAACCTGACTTGGATTTTCAGATAACTAGAAACTAGCCAGGCTGGACAAATTACTGAATGGTCCAAGTGAACCATAATTGTTTTCTCTAAAACATTCATAAAAGATATTACTTCCACAGTAAAACATGTAAACAACTATGGTTAAGTATTCAGAAAGAGAATAAAAATGATTTTCCTAAAGACCAATGCAAGATTATTTTCATTAATTAGACCTGGGGGATACATTAGCCAACTCCAGCATCATATTGACTAAATATTTGTTAACTGACCTTCCAACTACAAAGCAAGATTTATACTTTATTGTTTACTGATCTACTCAGTATAGCAAATCACACCACCCTACCCAGTATCTTGGCCACCCATCAAATAAGTACAACATAGGAATTACCCTGCTCAAACTGACCTCAACAGTTCTTACCTTTGAAATGTTCCATCAAATCAATGTGAGAATTAAGCATGATTCCTTCTAAATCATCATAATTTAACAATTCTTTCAGTATAAATTTTAAAACTTTCTTAAATATTTGTTCTTAGGTTCTTACCAGAACTACATATTCAATGCTAGAAAACTGAGGTAAAAGTTCAGCAGGCTGATTCAGTTCAGATATACCAGCATAACTAGGTGGAAACTACAAATAGAAAACAAACAAAAATTTTTAACAAATTATAGGCTAGAAAGATTAATAAAATTTTAAACAAAGTATTTCCTGATCATTTAATTATTTTTAAAAAGGCATTTTCATTAAATGAGAAATAATTATTTGTATCTTTTTTTAAATATGCATTTTTCTACATGACTAGTATTTTGGCATTAACATCTGCAATGGATGTTTTATGGGTTTTTTTTCATTTGTTTGTTTGTTTGTTTTGTTTGTTTGTTTTTGAGACGGAGTCTTGCTCTGTTGCCCAGGCTGGAGTAGAGTGGTGCAATCTCGGCTCACTGCAAGCTCCACCTCCCGGGTTCATGCCATTCTCCTGCCTCAGCCTCACGAGTAGCTGGGACTACAGGCGCCTGCCACCACGCCCAGCTAATTTTTTTTTTGTATTTTTAGTAGAGACGGGGTTTCACTGTGTTAGCCAGGATGGTCTCAATCTCCTGACCTCGTGATCCACCCGCCTCGGCCTCCCAAAGTGCTGGGATTACAGGCATGAGCCACTGCGCCCGGCATGCAATGGATGTTTTCTTACCTGATTCCTTTGGTAACAAAAGTTGCAAGCCCAAAGTTTTGCTCGATAATCCACTTGACTGTTTTAAAAAAAAAGAAAAGACATATCAGTTCATATTTCAGTTCAATTTTACAAAAATCCTAATTTCAATAAAATTAATTTCTTCCTAAAACATGAACATATTCAAATTGATAGTCAAAGTAACTTTTAAAAGCCATGTAGTTTTAGATACTGCCAATATCTAATTCACACTTTTAACATATACAAGTTTACCTAAATGGTGAATATAACTTTTAACATATAGTAAATATTGGCTGGGTGCAGTAGGTCACGCCTGTAATCTCAGCACTTTGGGAGGCCTGAGGCGGCAGATGGCTTGAGTCCAGGAGTTCAAGACCAGCTTGGGCAATATGGTGAAACCCAGTCTTCACAAAAAATACAAAGAATCATCCAGGCGTGGTGGCACATGCCTGCACTCCCAGTTACTTAGGAGGCTTAGGTGAGAGGATCATCTGAGCCCAGGTGGTCAAAGATACAGTGAGCCACAATCACAACACTGCCCTCCAATCTAAGTGACAGAGTGAAACCATCTCAAAAATATATATATGCACACATATATACAGCAAATATCAATAAAATTAAAATAATCCTATTTTTTTCTTCAAGTGACTTCAGTAACATCTACACTCAGACCTAGAAAACATTTATTCAGGTCAAAAATATATTTACTGAATGCCTAATAAGTACCAACCACTATTTTAGGCGCTGGTGATACAAGAAAAAGAGAACTGCTCTCATGGAGTTTACATTCTAGAAAAAACAGACAAAAGACAAGCAGATGCACAAACAAGAAAATACTTTTGGTGTTTTTTTTGAGACAGGGTCTCGTTCTATTGCCCATGCTGCAGTGCAATGGTAGAATCATAGCTCCCTGCAGCATTGAACTCCTGGCTCAAGTGTTTCTCCCATCTTCAGCCTCCCAAGTAGCTAGGACTACAGACACATACCACCACACCCAGCATATACATATACATATATATATATGCATATATACACATACATATATATATATGCATATATACACATATACATATATATGCATATATACACATATACACATATATATGCATATATACACATATACATATATATGCATATATACACATATACACATATATATGCATATATACACATATACATATATATATACACACACACACACACACACACACATATATATATATATATATATATATATATATATATATATATATATATTTTTTTTTTTTTTTTTTCCCCTCCTGTAGAAATGGAGTCTTGCTTTGCTGCCCAGGCAATCCTCCCACCTTGGCCTCCCAAAGCACTGGGATTACAGGCGTGAGCTACTGCACCCAGCCAAAAATACTTTTACATTGTAATAACAGAGATTAAAGAAAACAAAGCAGAATGTGAGAATGTGTTTAAGAGGGCTGCTTTAAAAAACAGCCTTCTTAAATAGACAACTAAAGTATGATCAGAATGAAAAGGAAGCAATCATACGAAAATATGGAGACAGAAGAATCCGGGCAGAATGCACAGCTACTATACCATTGTCAAGGTAGGAGTAAGTTTGGTATGTTCAAGAATCAGAAAGAGGGTAACAGGGTTAAGGTATTATGTAGATGAGAATAAGGAAAATGGATAACACAAGATGAAGGCAGAAATATATACAGAGGCTAGATCATACAAGGCTTTATAGATCTTGATAAGGAGTTTGTATTTCTCATTCCAAGAATAAGAAGCTACTACTGGAAGATGTTCATCATCTGATTTTCATTCATAAAACTCTAGCTTCTGGGTAGAGAACAGACTGCTGAAAGACAAGAATAGAAACAGGGAGAGCAGGTAGGAGGATATTGAAATTGCCCAGGAAAAAGACTGTGGTATCTTGAAGCAGGGTATACTACCAGAGATGGAATAAGAGGCTGTAAGAGACAGAATCTATAATGTTCTAGAGGTAGATCACCCAGATTTGCTAGTGGATTGGCTGGGGGGAGAGGGAATGGAAAGAGAAGTAAGAGATGATTCCTGAGATTTTGGCTTCAGCAACAGAAATCACAACATTTTTGGAACATCATGTCACTCAATCACAACTTTTTTTTTTTTTTTGAGGCGGAGTCTCGCTCTGTCACCCAGAGTTGGAGTACAGAGGCACGATCTCAGCTCACTGCAACCTCCATCTCTCAGGTTCAAGCAATTCTCCTGTCTCAGCCTCCCGAGTAGCTGGGACTACAGGCACATGCCACCACACCCCAGCTAAGTTTTGTATTTTTAGTAGAGACGGGGTTCCACCATGTTCGTCAGGCTGGTCTCGAACTCCTGACTTCAGGTGATCCACCACCTCGGCCTCCCAAAGTGCTGGGATTACAGGCATGAGCCACCACGCCCGGCCAATTATGACTTATCTAATGATGCAAGATGGGTTGATACACATCCAGCACCACTATTCAGAAGACACTGATGGAATCTAACAGTTTTTATAGTGCCACTTTTACATTTGGTCTCTTTATATTACCAACTCAGTACAACTAGAATGATCCTAAAATTTTACAGCTCTCTGGATTGTTTTGACTGTCCTAATTTGAAAAAATTAGTATGAACAAAAACAAAGGGATTTTTATAAAAATATGCAGAAAAACCCCGACATTTTAAAATCACATTGCCACATTAGTTTTTCTATATATTTTACTTACCATAAAGGATTCAAAACTGCACGGCAAGTGGTCCTACTACACAGAACAGGTTCATATTGAATAGGTGGTAAGTCAGGTCTCTCTTTCAGTGGTGTAAACAGGGCTGCCACAGGAACAACCATTCTTGTAGCTTCCAGTCGACTTGATGGCCAAACATTCCAACTAAATCGGACTCCATCTCGTTCTTCATTTTGTTGAATGAATTCCAAATAGGTTGTCATTGTGGAGTTTGATTCTTATTTCTGTATCAAAATTTTAAAATATTTTAAAATCCAGGATCCTCTTAAGAACGTTCAAAATATGAATGTTCTCCCCTCATTCAGCAATATTAACACCTTAGAAATCAGGACCAGCTGGGCCCCGTGGCTCACGCCGGTAATCCCAGCACTTTGGGAGGCCGAGACAGGCGGATCACCTGAGGTCGGGAGTTCGAGACCAGCCTGACCAACACGAAGAAACCCCGTCTCTACTAAAAATACAAAATTAGCCAGGCATGGTGGCGTATGCCTGTAATCCCAGCTACTCAGGAGGCTGAGGCAGGAGAATCTCTTGAACCCTGGAGGCAAAGTTTGTGGTGAGCCGAGATCATTCCGTTGCACTCCAGCCTGGGCAACAAGAGCAAAACTCCATCTCAAAAAAAAAAAAAATCAGGACCAAATGAAAATATTTATCTCAGAAAAAAATTAGCAAGCAACTCATAACAAAATAATTAATGGCTCTACCCAATGTTCACAAGGCCCAATAAGAGGTATTTAACACTTTTTTATTCACTCTAAAAGATGATGGCAAAAAATAGTGTCTTATTTCTTTAAGGATATATAGGAAAGAAATGCAAAAATAGGGGGAAAACCTAGATCCTATGTTTTCCATATCAGTTTTGAAAATTATAAGAATTCATATAAACAGATTTCAAAATTATAAAGTTCTAAAACTCACATGGTTTCTATCTGAAAAATAACAAGTTTCCACTAAACTTTACAGAAGAGAATGTTTAATGGTATGTAACAAAAAGATTTTCCTAAAACTGGACACTTCTGCTTTGGACAGGTAATTTTCTTATTGTGCAAGTACAGGCTATTTGTGGCACAATAAATAAAATGCTTGATAAGTGCTGTTCCCCCAATTTATATATCATTTAGACTCTTTTGCAGAAACTTACTTCAGAATATTTTGAACATTCCAAATTATGAGAGCATTTTAAACTCCAATTTGAGATATAAAATTTCAGTATAATAATTTAAGTTTACTAACCAAGGGAAGAGGATGCACTCTGGGGAGGGACCAGTATCAAAAGACAGCTCCATTTTTACTGTCTAAATGCCTAGGTAGGATGCCGGCTTTCCTACGTAGGCAACAGCTCTATCTCATGCTCTCAAACTGCAACAGTAGTTAGTCATGGAAGGAAGCTGAAGAATTTAAAGGTGTGGGAGGACAAAGACATTCAAGTGTTATGCAGCAGACAGGAAGGACGTCAAGTTGAAAGAAGTGAACTGTGAACCTAGGGTGCCTGGAAAACCCAACATGGATGTTTAAAGTTGCTAAGAGCAATAGTGGGACAAGAAGCTGATTCTAAAATTTAAGTGAAGAAAGAAGAGATATTATTTGGGGGGAAAAAGTTAGATATAACAATTTTAATTTTAGAAAATCTTTCAAATAAATTTTCATAAAACAAATGGCAGAAAGTGAAGCTTAACAAATCTAAGCATTCCAAGCAGTTAAGAACTTTCTCTTCTTTAAATAAGAAAATAAAAATTAAAGAAAACACTGTATTTCCTCCAATTGTGCCAGAATCTTGGAGACAGCTAGAAAATCTTACGCTAATCAAAAAAGATTGTGGTTTTTCAAAGGTGCATAAAGGGTAAAGAGAAATCCCAAGACTAAACTTGTTTAGAAAAGACTATTTTGGGCCGGGTGCAGTGGCTCAAGCCTGTAATCCCAGCACTTTGGGAGGCTGAGGCAGGTGGATCACCTGAGATCAGGAGTTCAAGACCAGCCTGGTCAACATGGCAAAACCCCGTCTCTACTAAAAACACACAAAAAAATTAGCTGGGCAGGGTGGCATGCACCTGTAATCCCAGCTACTCAGGAGGCTGAGGCAGGAGAATCGCTTGAACTGGGGGGGCAGAGGTTGTGGTGAGCTGAGATTGCACCACTGCACTCCAGCCTGGGCGACAGAACAAGACTCCATCTCAAAAAAAAAAACAAAACTATTTTGAAGGTAAATATAGAAGGCAGCTTTGAGAAGGGTGGTATGAGCTTTCAAGGAAAAGTGTTGAAAGATAATGATAAAACAAAGGTGTGGGATATTCAGAGGAGAGTTAGAAGATGTCAAACTCCACCGTAACATAGGTGGCAATAAAGAAAAAACAACCAGGACGTGGGGGTGAGGGGGAGATTAGAAATCCAGTTTTTAGCAACAGCTTCCATGTTACTGATGTGAATATAAATTCTAAGACTATGCAAACCTCTTCCACATTTATTATACAGAACATAAGGCAAATAAAATTGTGTTTACTACTTAATTGCTCCTATAATTTAAGAAGCATGTACACGCCTACTATGTACCCACAAAAATTAAAAATAAAAAAAATTTTAAGGCCAGGCACAGTGGCTCACGCCTGTAATCCTAGCACTTTGGGAGGCTGAGGCCAGCGGATCGCTTGAGGTAGGAGTTCAAGACCAGCCTGGCCAACATGGTGAAACCCCATCTCTACCAAAAATACAAAAATTAGCTGAGCTGGTGGTGAGTGCCTGTAATCCCAGCTACTCAGGAGGCTAAGGCAGGAGAATCACTTGAACCCGGGAGGTGGAGGTTGCAGTGAGCCGAGATCATGCCACTGCACTCTAGCCTGGGCGACAGAGTGAGACTCCTTCTCAAAAAAAAAAAAAATTTAATAAAATAAAATGAAATCAGAACAGGGATGACTACATTTGACAAAAAATAAGTCATAAGAAATCCAGTGTTATTAAGAAAAAATAAAAATTCTAATGTGCCATAACAAAAAAAAAAAATAAAATGCATCTAAAACACATCTGCAAAAGGCATTAAAATAGCTGAAACACAAAACAAAAAATGTTTTCAATGACTGTTTTCTCAATTCTCCCAAGGATAGTACATAACTAGTACTTAGGTATTACACAGATATTTTCTCAAAAATGTATGAAGTAAACCTATCACTTCATAGAAAACAACTTATAGTATTTTTTGCCAATGATAAAAATTTGAGCTTTCAAGCAAACATTAAATTGTTTTTGGGTTTTTTTTTTTTTTTTTTTTTTTGACACGGAGTCTCACTCTGTCACCAGGCTGGAGTGCAGTGGGGCAATCTCAGCTCACTGCAACCTCTGCCTCCCGGGTTCAAGCGATTCCCCTGCCTCAGCCTCCCAAGTAGCTGGGACTACATGCGCGTGCCACCATACCCAGCTAATTTTTTGTATTTTTAGTAGAGACAGGGTTTCACCATGTTGGCCAGGATGATCTCAATTGTCTGACCTCGTGATCCGCCGGCCTCGGCCTCCCAAAGTGCTGGGATTACATGCTTGAGGCACCGCTCCCCGCCATTAAATTGTTTTAAAACTTGTGCCTGCTACCATAAGCTTGACAAGTTCCTAATATGTAAAGATTTTTCTGATGAGATCAGTGTTGGTATTAATGTAATTTGTTTGATAGTATATAACAAAATGTATTAACATTTAGAAGATATACATTACTCAGTGAAGCAATATCTTCCAAACCGTCAATTTGTGATATGAAAATATCACACATGGGTAGATGATCCATTCAAAGTGTAGAATAGGCCAATGAGTTTTAAGGTAACAAAGTACAAAAAGGTCACTCCTAAGCTTTCAGATTCCACACTGCAATTAACCTTTTAATTTATTAATTAATCCTTCATACAATTCAACCAAAACAATATATCACAATAAACTGCAGAAACAGATATGAAAACCCACCTGTCTTCTATTTAGCCTTTTTTTTTTCTCTTTGGATACTCAATAATGTTTAAGTTAGGGGTTCTGAAAACCACTGCCTTAGGACCATTAGGAAACCTCACTAAGAAAGGTTCCAGGAGTCTTAGCAGGAAGACATTCACACACAGACAATAGCCAGGTTTAACTTTCTACAACTGGTTAAAAGGCTGGATTGTATCTCTACATTCTTACTTCTTATTAAGACATACTAAATATCACCTGAGTGATATCTGGGCACAACTCTCTTCTCTTCTTCACATTTTTTCCTCTCAATCTCCCTGCTCTAAGATCAATTTGCTTGCTAAATCACATCTATTATACTTCTTACATTCCCACATTCCAGCAGTAGTTTGAAGAAAATCCCACCTGTTTCTCAATTGGTCCAATTACATGGCTATGCACAACACTTCCCTGACTTCCCTCACCTTTCCATAGTAGGAGTCATGCAATCTTAAAATCACGAATTCAATTACAAAATTTGCCAGGCTTAGTCCCATGTCCGACAATGGCATATCTGAAATAAAGTCCTTTTACAAGCCAACTTAACTTTTTTTTTTTTTTTGAGACGGAGTTTCGCTCGTTGCCCAGGCTGGAGTGCAATGGCGTGATCTCGGCTCACCGCAAACTCCTCCTCCCGGATTCAAGCAATTCTCCCGCCTCAGCCTCCTGAGTAGCTGGGATTACGGGCATAAGCCACCACACCTGGCTAATTTTTGTATTTTTAGTAGAGATGGGGTTTCTCCATGTTGGTCAGGCTGGTCTCGAACTCCCAACCTCAGGTGATCCACCCACCTCAGCCTCCCAAAGTGCTGGGATTACAGGTGTGAGCCACCATGCCCAGCCACAAACTAGCTTTTCATAACATGATATTATTTGATAAGCACTCTCTCCCCTAATACTAACATGTTTGCATAAAAGTATTAAACCAAAGAAATATTATTCCACACACTATATTAGAATGCAGACTTAGCATATTAGTCTCTTTTTTTTTTGAGATGGAGTCTCACTCTATCACCCAGGTTGGAGTGCAGTGGTGCAATCTCGGCTCACTGCAACCTCCACCTCCCGGGTTCAGGCGATTCTCCCGCCTCAGCCTCCCCAGTAGCTGGGATTACAGGCGTGAGCTACTACACCCAGCTAATTTTTGTATTTTTAGTAGAGATGGGGTTTCACCACGTTGGCCAGGCTGGTCTCGAACTCCTGACCTCAGGTGATTGGCCTGCCTCGGCCTCCCAAAGTGCTGGGATTACAGGCGTAAACTGCCGCACCCAGCCACTAGTCTTTATTTTTTTTAAAAAGTGATACAAAACACAAAAGACTATTACAAAGAAATGTCCAATTTCAGTACAATATACTTTGGTTAAATAATTTATCATAATAGAGCTAAAAGCTAAGAAGCAAACCACTATGTCACTTTAACCTAGTATATCAAATATGTGCCCAAGTCTTTTAAAAGTAAGACTTCCCTGGCCGGGCGCGGTGGCTCACACCTGTAATCCCAGCACTTTTGGAGGCCGAGGAGGGTGGATCATGAGGTCAGGAGATCGAGACCAGCCTGGCCAATATGGTTAAACCCCGTCTCTACTGAAAATACAAAAATTAGCCAGGCATGGTGGCGGTCGCCTGTAGTCCCAGCTACTCAGGCGGCTGAGACAGGAGAATAGCTTAGCTTGTACCTGGGAGGCGGAGGTTGCAGTGAGCCGAAATCGTTCCACTGCACTCCAGCCTGGGTGACAGAGCGAGACTCCGTCTCAAAAAAAAAAAAAACAAAAAAGACTTTCCCTATGATAGTTTTTCAATATTCTAATTTTAAGCCCTTTTATTCATATCTAATTGAAAATGTACTTGCCAAGTAAATTTGAGTTCCTTCCAATTACATGTATTTGTTAGTTGCCAATTAAATTTGTCTCCTACTTTTCACTTCCAAAATCCTCAATGAATTGTCTTCTTATGATCTTGGACAATTAACCTCTCTGAATCCTGTTTTTCTCATCAGCAAAATAAGAGACTTGGACTAGAAAATCACAAGGTCCCATCTAACTCTAAAATTCTGTAAGTCAATTAAAAATAGCTGGACTCTGGCCGGGCGCAGTGGCTCATGCCTGTGATCCCAGCACTTTGGGAGGCCGAGGCGGGCGGATCACCTGAGGTCAGGAGTTCGAGACCAGCCTGGCCAACATGGTGAAACCCCGTCTCTACTAAAGATACAAAAATTAGCCGGGCATAGTAGCTCGCCCCTGTAATCCCAGCTACTCGGGAGGCTGAAGCAGGAGAATCGCTTGAACCAGGGAGGCGGAGGTTGCAGTGAGCCGAGATTGCGCCACTGCACTCCAGCCTGGGCGACAAAGCAAGACTCCGTCTCAGAAAAAAAAAAAATAGCTGGACTTCTGAAATGATGTTCATTCACTACCAGAGGAGAAAGAGAAGGAAAACTCAACATGCATTTATATTTAAATCTAAAACCTTTTTAAACCAAGTTAATTTGGCTAGTTATCCATGGCTTTGGACGGTAGAGGTTGAGGGAGTTCAAGTGAAAACGAGAATTCCACATCCCCACTTCAGTGATTGATGTAGATTTACTATGACCTTCCTCAGGCAGTACCTTTACCACCAAATCGGGAAACACTACCTACCGTAGAAAGAAAGCCCAGTGAGATAGGGCTGGTCCTGCTGGAAAACTGAACTCTTTGTAATCAAAACCCAAGGCATTATCTTTACCAAGCTCTTTTCCCCTTTAACCCCTTTAACTTCCAAGGCTGAATTACGGTGACGTAGTCAATTGGGTTCAAAGTCTAGGACACTCCATATCTGGCAAGGAATGAAACAGTAAGTCCAAGGGCCCAGAGGCGATGATGGACTTGGGTGGAGGTGGGTGGCCCAGGAGGTGGGGGTGGGTGCTGGGCGAGATGCTCGAACCACCGTTTTCCACATCTTTCCACCTAATCCAGGGGAGCTGGAGGAGGCCGGGCCCCCGGCCCCGGCAGAGCGAAGTGGGTGAGAGGGTGGCAAGCTCAGCACTCAACGCTCCCCGCGCCGGACCGGGCCTCAGCCTCCAGCACACCTCGCTGGCCCCGGGGCACCGAGAGGGCAGAGCCGGGACCACCCCAGGATCCCAGCCCCCAGCCCGCCGCCGCCAGCCCGCCCCCGCTCCCCGCTGCGCACCTGCGGTCCCCCAGGAGCGGAGACGAGGCGGCCCTTTCCTCACTGTCCCCCTGCAGGACCCGTCGCAGCCTCCGCTTTGCAAAATCTGTCCTCTCCGCCCAGCAGGAGCAGTCCGTGGCACCGCAATCAGGGGTGGCGCCACCCCGCCCCGGGCCTCAGCGAAGACCTCCGCCCGGCCAACATGGCTGGCGCCGCCTCTGCCACGTCAAGAGGAGGGGACGGGGCGTGAGGGCAGGAAGGGGGCAGGAAGGGGCGGGCGCAGAGTTACCAGGGCAGGCCACCGGACCCCTGAGCTTGCTTAATAACCGGAGGATTTGAGAAAGGCGCGCGGCGGGCGAAGGTACCGAGAGGGGAGGAGGGAGGAGAGGTAGCGGGGACCGAGCCAGAGGGGCGGAAGAACCCGGAAGACCCAGGCAGCCGGACGGCCGAGGGGCGTGGGACCGGGCAGAGCGGGACCGGGAGAGAGCGCCTTTCCCAGCTCCCTAAAGCCACAGCGTATCCCACTCCCTGCAGGTCGCAGAAAGAGTGGAGAACTGGTGCCACTCGGACACCTTAGCTCACCGAGAGAAATGGAGACGGCCTCCAGGACATCTTAGGACCCTGGTTGATTCCGAGAATCACAAATCACATCTCTGAAAAAAGTGAAAAGTTCATTCTTTCACTTAGTGCAACAAATGTTTACTGAAACTTACTATGTGCCAGACACAATTGAGATGCTGGTAATATGATGCAGGCAAAGTAGGCCCAGATCCCTGGCCCGAAAGAATTCACGTACTATTTATGTATTTTAGTCAGCCTGTCTTTTCCTCCTACATTGCCTCTGCCACTTCAACTCTGTCTCCCCCCACCCCCAAAACACACACACAGTACAATATTTGGCTGATTCATCTTGATATGTTCAATGTTTTTCTTTCCAAGAAAAAAGTTGAACAAAATGAGAAAGCAACAGATTGGTAAGACATTAGAGCTTGGTGGTCTCAGACAACCCCTTCCTTCAGTGAGGGGAATGAAATTAAGTGCCCATGGAATTAATTGCATATATGACAACGCCTAAAAGCCTGCAAAGTTTAGCCATATCAACATTTTATGGAATGGAAAAAAAGATCAAGTCCCTGTCCTTGAAAGCTCATATTCATGAGAAATAAGACAGCAGCACCAGGCTGGGCGCGGTGGCTCACGCCTGTAATCCCAACACTTTGGGAGGCGGAGGCAGGCGGATCACAAGGTAAGGAGTTCGAGACCAGCCTGGCCAACATAGTGAAACACCGTCTCTACTAAAAATACAAAAATTAGCCGGGTGTGGTGGCACGCTCCTGTAGTCCCAGCTACTCGGGAGGATGAGGCAGAAGAATTGCTTGAACCCGGGAGGCGGAGGTTGCAGTGAGCCGAGACCACGCCATTGCACTCCAGCCTGGGTGACAGAGTGAGACTGTCTCAAAAAAAAAAGCACCAAACATATTTCCCTTTCTATAATGTGTGTACTAAAGTTGTTTTGGAAGGTGGAAGAGGATGTTTGCTTGTCAAATTGTAATACAATCCTGAAGAGGGCAATGGGAATCGAAAGCCAAAAATTAGTGTAGGCTTCCAAATAAAGTAGGTTCAAGGTGCTACCTTAATGAAGATTCTTAACAGCACACAGCAGAGGTGTTGTTATAAAGGTGGAATAAGTACACCCACCAAAAGCGACAAGATCTAAGAATGAGTAGGATAAAAAGATCTTAGTCCATTTAGGCTGCTAACACAAATGCCCTCAACTGGGTAGCTCATAAACAACAGAAATTTATTTCTGACTGTCCTGGAGGCTGAGAAGTCCAGGATCAAGATGCCAGCAGATTTGGTGTCCGGTGAGGACCTGCTTTCTGATTCATAGATGGTGCCTTCTTTGTTCTCACATGGCAGAAGGGGCTGGCTAGCTCTCTGGGGTCTCTTTTACAAGGGTACTAATCCCATTCATGAGAGGCCAGCCCTCATGACCTGTTCACCTCCCAAAGGCCCTACCTCCCTATACCATCACCTTAGCAGTTAAGATTTCAACCTATGAGTTTGGTAGGACACAAATATTCAGACCATAGCAACATTGATGAGAAGATCCACAGAAATCCTGGAATCCAGCGAGGAATAAATCAAAGCATAGTACCTTTGGTAGATTCATTCATTTCATGGTTCCCAGAAAGGCATCTTTACCATCCAGCTCAATGAAGTCTTTTCAAAAACTCATCATTCCTGGCCAGGCACAGTGGCTCACGCCGGTAATCCCAGCACTTTGGGAGGCCGAGGTGGGCAGATCACGAGGTCAGGAGATCAAGACCATCCTGGCTAACATGGTGAAACCCTGTCTCTACTAAAAATACAAAAAATTAGCCAGACATAGTTGCGGGCGCCTGTAGAGCCAGCTACTCGGGAGGCTGAGGCAGGAGAAATGCGTGAACCCAGGAGGTGGAGCCTGCAGTGAGCAGAGATCGCCCCACTGCACTCCAGCCTGGGCGACAGACCGAGATTCCATCTCAAAAAAAAAACAAAAAAAAATTCATCATTCCTTTGTTTTCAGTTGATCAAAGGTTTTAATTCCCTATTACAATGAAATAGATGTTAGGATGCATAACAAACTCAGTTGCATCTGTCTTTATGTGCTTTAAGATGAATGACTTTAAGTCCAGGCGCAGCGGTTCACACCTGTAATCCCAGCACTTTGGGAGGCTGAGGCAGGTGGATCACAAGGTTAGGAGTTCAAGACCAGCCTGGCCAAGATGTTGACACCCCATTTCTACTAAAAATACAAAAATTAGCCAGGCGCAGTGGCAGGCGCCTGTAATCCCAGCTACTCAGGAGGCTGAGGCAGGAGAATCACTTGAATCCAGGAGGCAAAGGTTGCAGTGAGCCGAGATCACGCCACTGCACTCCAGCCTGGGCAACCGAGCGAGACTCCGTTTCAAAAAAAAAAAAAATGATGAATGGCTTTAATCCTTGGATATACTATCAGGATCAGGATCTACTGGACCCAACTTTAGCCTTTCAGGGTTGTTTTTTTGTTTTTGGGCTCTACTCTTAAGGATTGATATTTCATGATTTTTTGTTCCTTCGTAGAAGTCTTCCAAACAACAAAGAGAAAATTTATTTTCTAAAAAAATAGATGTGGTGACTCACACCTGTAATCCTAGCAGTTTGGGAAGCTGAAGGGGGAGGATCCCTTGAGCCCAGGAGTTCAAGACCACCCTGGAAAATATGGTGAAACCCCATCTGTACCAAAAATATAGAAAAATTAGCAGAGCGTGGTAGTGTGTGACTTTAATCCCAGCTACTCAGGAGGCTGAGGTGGGAGAGTAACCTCAACCCAGGGAGGTCAAGGCAGCAGTGAGCCGTGATGGTGCCATTACATGACTGTGCCACTGCCTGGGCGATAGAGTGAGATTCTGTCTCAAAAATAAAATACATAAAATTAAAAAATAGAATAAAACTCATTCTATTTACAATTCCCATATAGATCCATTGGACCCTTATACATCTAGGACACATAGTGGGATTTACTAATTTTTTTTTTTGTATGTTGAAACGTTCTGCTACTTCATCATCCATAGAATTATTTCATCCTTACTGATCAATTATTCCAAGCTATGCTTTAAAAAAGATGAAAGTCAGGCTGGCGCAGTGGCTCACGCCTATAATTCCAGGGATGTCACCGTGTTGGCCAGGCTAGTCTTGAATTCCTGGCCTCAAGTGATCCGACCACCTCAGCCTCCCAAAGTGCTGGGATTACAAGCGTGAGCCACCGCACCTGGCCCTTTTTTTCTTTTTTTTTTTTTAGACGGAGTCTTGCTCTGTCCCCCAGGCTGGAGTGCAGTGGCACGATCTCGGCTCGCTGCAAGCTCCGCCTCCCGGGTTCACGCCATTCTCCTGCCTCAGCCTCCCGAGTAGCTGGGACTACAGGCGCCCGCCACCACGCTTGGCTAATTTTTTTGTATTTTTAGTACAGGCGGGGTTTCACCGAGTTAGCCAGGATGGTCTCCATCTCCTGACCTCGTGATCCGCCCTCCTCGGCCTCCCAAAGTGCTGGGATTGCAGGCGTGGGCTTTTTTTGCTTTTTTAAATAGGGATGGGGTCTTGCTATGCTGCCTAGGTTGGAATTGAACTCCTGGACTCAAGGGATCCTCCCACCTTGGCCTTTCAAAGTGTTGGGATTATAGGTATGAACTACCACACCTATAATTTTTTCCAGTATGCTGGTTACGAGGTTTCAACCTGAGGAAGAGTAGAAAGGGAATGGAATTTTTTTTAACTCCTGTGAAAGGAAGGTCAGAACATCTAAGAGATTGTAAAAAATATAAAATCTCATATAAGCTCCCTTCAAAAGAAAGTCTTTTAAAAGCAAATACTCCTAAGTTCACTATTTCCTCAAACTGGCATTTCTTAAAATGCCAGAGACTAAAAAGAGAGGGAAAGATTATGTGGTCGAATAAAGACATGTATAGCCAAGAACATTTCTTAAAGATATTTGACCTTGCAACTTTTTTCCCAGGGATTATCTTGAGTCAAGTATTCTAAACACCCTATGAAAGACTTTGCCTTCCACCATTAAATATTAGTTAATACGTAACAGCCAGTAATCTTCCTACTTCAGAACCCACAGGTATTTCTAAACTGAGGTTCCAGTACTACAGTCAGTGAAGTATAATGTCAATTTCTTGGAACTGTAGATGTTAACCACCAGATGGAGCTTTCACCTCTACTTTTCCTTTTTAGGTTTACTCTGTTTTCTAGTATTGATGAAGCACTTGTAGTTTTTTCTAACATGGATTCTCTTCCATTTGTTCAGATAGTGACAGGTTAAGGCACTGGCCAACTATTTTTGGAGTAGTCACTTGAAAAAGCAATATTCAGATTCTTATAATTTTGAATTTTCAGCACCAGTAGTGTGTTAAAGTTATATTCACGGAATAACATCTGTCTGATCCTCTATTCTGCACTCATAATGACTACAATTGTATTAAATATAATAAGGCTAATTAATAAGTCACATGGAAATTACAGAATAGTAAACTCAAGCCTTTGTGATCATTTAGTCTAATCCCCATACATGACAAATGAATGTGAGGACAAGAGAAGTGGCACACTTAACAACACCCTAGGCCAGGGTGCTGATGCTCATTTAAAACCTACAACACTGGCTTTGCAGACACCACTGCCGGAGCCCTGTACTATCAACCATGGTGAACCCCACCGTGTTCTTCAACATCGTGGTTGACGGCGAGCCCTTGGGCCGTGTCTCCTTCAAGCAGTTTGCAGAAAAGTTTCCAAAGACAGCAGAAAACTCATGCTCTGACCACTGGAGAGAAAGGATTGGATTATAAGTGTTCCCTTCTTTCACAGAATTATTCCAGGGTTTATGTGTCAGGGTGGTGACTTCACATGCCATAATGGCACTGGTGGCAAGTCCATCTACGGGGAGAAATTTAATAATGAGAACTTCATCCTAAAGCATACAGGTCCTGGCATCTTGTCCATGGCAAATGCTGGACCCATCACAAACAGTTCCCAGTTTTTCATCTGCACTGCCAAGACTGAGTGGTTGGATGGCAGGCCATGTGGTCTTTGGCAAGTTGAAAGAAGGCATGAATATTGTGGAGGCCATGGAGTGCTTTGGGTCCAGTGGCAAGACCAAGACCACCATTGCTGACTGTGGATAACTCTAATAAGTTTGACTTGTGTTTTTATCTTAACCACCAGACCATTCTGTCTGTAGCTCAATAGAGCACGCCTTCACCCCATTTTTTCGCAGTATCCTATAATCTTTGTGCTCTCACTGCAGTTTCCTTTGGGTTCCATGTTTTCCTTGTTTCCGTCCATGCCTAGCTGGATTGCAGAGTTAAGTTTATAATTATGAAATAAAAACTAAATAACAAATAAAACCTACAACACTGAGTTTTCATTTCATGCCTGTCTTTTCCTCTTTAAATGCTGACAAGACTAGATTTTCTAACTCTTGTTCAAATAGCAATTGTTTATTTTATATTTTATATATATTTTTGAGACAGGGTCTCACTGTGTCACCTAGCCTGGAGTACAGTGGCAGGATCACAGCTTATTGCAGCCTCGACCTCCTGGGCTCAGGTGATCTTTCCACCTAAGCCTCCTGGGCAGCTGGGACTTACAGGTGTGTGCCAGGATGCCCAGCTAATTTTTGTATTTTTTGTATAGATGGGGTTTAACCAGGCTGGTCTCAAATTCCTGGGCTCAAGTGATCCTCCTACCTCGATCTCCCAAAGTGCTGGGATTACAGCCATGACCCACCACGCTCGGCCCAAATAGCAATCTTCTCTATTCCACAGAGTGCCCCAACAGTGATATACTCCAATATCTCTTCATTCTGTCACTCTGACCAATCCCAGAATTTAAGAGTTAATTTTATAAAACTAAACAAATGAGGGGCCTGGCCCAGTGGCTTACATCTGTAATCCCAGCACTTTGGGAGGCCGAGGCAGGCGGATCATGAGGTCAGGAGATCGAGACCATCCTGGCTAACACAGTGAAACCCCGTCTCTACTAAAAATACAAAAATTAGCCGGGCATGGTGACATGCGCCTGTAATCCCAGCTACTCCGGAGGCTGAGGAAGGAGAACGGCGTGAACCCGGAGGCGGAGCTTGCAGTGAGCCGAGATCGCGTCACTGCACTCCAGCCTGGGCAAAAGAACGAGACTCGTCTCAAAAAAAAACCTAAACAAATGAAATTTGTTGATTTGCCCTTAAACCATTTACAGTGGCCCAAAGAAAACATGAATATCTACTGGCATATTTATTTTTCTTTTTATCTTTTATTTATTTGATTTGTAAAGAACATGAGTAATTTAAAAGCCATATAACAAAGGAGGGAAATCCCACTCTAAAACGGAACAGATTTGCATTTTTACTTCAAAAGAGGAGTAAAGTTTTTGTTTCATGTTCCATAATTAAACTAGACCTTGTCTTGATTTTCTGACATCAAGTCAGCATTCTCTCTTAGTGGCTCTGGACCTCAGAGCCAGAGGATAGCATTCTCAGACAACGGAGACAAGGAGACTACTCATGCCTAGATGGCAATGTACTAAGACTAGGAAGCAAACTGGATCTCTCCGCATTTAGTCTTCATTGCCTCTCTCTAATTTATGGCCAGTGGATCATAAAGACTCACAGGAACCTTCCCTGGGACTTGTCTTTTTTTGTTGTTTTTTTTTGTTGTTACTAATCTTTACTCAGCTGTATCTTGTGCAGCATAGAGATTTAGAGCAATGGCTTGGCGCCCAGGATAGAATCTCAATTCCATTACTTCCTTGTTGTATGATCTGGGCATGTTGCACAGTTTCTTCACCTGCAAATGAAGATAACAATACTACCACTTAAATGGCCATGTATTGTGAAGACTAAACGAGATAATCCATGTAAAAGATTTAGCCCTGAGAAAGAGAAAAACAGCGCCGGAGGGCTGGAATGTGGCGAAACCCTGTGTCTCCTAAAAATACAAAAATTAGCCAGGTGTGGTGGCCTCAGAAGGCTGAGGCACAAGACTCGCTCAAACACAGGAGAGGCGGAGGTTGCTGTGAGCAAAGATCGCAACTACACTGCAGCCTGGGCAACAGGGCGACAGAGCAAGATTCTGTCTCAAAAAAAAAAAATCCCACCTAGAATGCCTTTTAAAATGTCAGTTTCTTAGCCCCACACCCCATCAACAGAAACAGAAGCTCTGGAAGAAATAGCTGTAAAATACAGGATTCCATATTTTAAATAATTTCTTCCAGTTTTTTTTTTTTTTTGGAGACTGAGTCTCACTCCATCGCCCAGGCTGGAGTACAGTGGTGCTATCTCGGCTCACTGCAACCTCTGCCTCCTGGGTTCAAGCAATTCTCCCACCTCAGCCTCCCAAGTAGCTGGGATTACAGGTGCACGCCACCATGCCCAGCTAATTTTTTGTATTTTTAGTAGAGACAGGGGTCTCACCATGATGGCCACGCTGATCTCAAACTCCTGATTTCAAGTGATCCACCTGCCTTGGCCTCCCAAAGTGCTGGGATTACAGGTGTGAGCCACCACGTCCAGCCGGATGACTCTTATACACACTAACATTTGAGAATAACTGAGCCACTTAAAGGGATAGAAAACACAGAGACATGGGAGGCTGAAGCAGCTAGATCATCTGAGGTCAGGAGTTTAAGACCAGCCTGGCCAACATGACAAAACCCGTCTCTACTAAAAATAAAAAAATTAGCCGGGCATGGTGGTGGGTGCCTATAATCCCAGCTCCTCAGGAGGCTGAGGCAGGAGAATCACTTGAACCCGGGAGGCACAGGTGGCAGTGAGCAGTACCACTGCACTCCAGCCTGGGTGACAGAGCGAGACTCCGTCTCAAAAAAAAAAAAAAAAAAAGGAAAATAATAAAAGAAAAGAAAACACAGAGACAGAGATAAACTGTAGTTGGCTGTGTAAGGTTGACTTAACAGATGCCTCCATCATCAATAAACAGCCACATCATCAATAAACACACAACAGAATGTTCTGTTCTCACAATCGTCATGTAACTCCTACAGCTAACCAATCGTGTGAGAAATACTGAAACAAGAATTTTTCCATCATAAACTAAAAACCGGCGATAAATCTCTAAAAACAGGGCACCAGAAGTAGTTCAGTACCTTAGGAATATTTCTTCCTGGGAATAGATGAAATGTTATTGTAGTTTCAGAAGTTCACCTTTCCAAATAGCGTTTTTTCAGAATAACTTCATCAACCAAATATAACTTATCTCATGTGTTCCATATTTCACTGAAGCATTAAAAAATACTTAGTGCAATTTCTGAAAACTTCACTCAAAAAATCATTACTAATTCTTTTAAATAAAATTAGATTTGAAGTAGCACGAAGCTATATTATTACCTCTTCTTTTGGAAAATAATTTATTATTATTTCCCAGGACAACCTTTGTTCCATTCTCCTATTGTCTCCTTTCTTCCTTAATCCATGCATAGTTCTGACACATACTTATGCACAAACTCCAATGTTAGCCATTGTTCCATTGGTAGTTGATTGGCAAGGTAACCTTTTCTCCAGAAAAAAATTGAAAGAAAATGCTAATAATTTACAGTAAAAAATAAAAATTAAAAAAAATGTATTTGTGGCCTGGCCCAGTGGCTCACACCTGTAATCCCAGCACTTTGGTAGGCCAAGGTGAGTGGATCACTTGAGCCCGGGAGGTCAAGGCTGGGTAATATTTTATTTTATTTTATTTTATTTTATTTTTTTGAGATGGAGTTTTGCTCTTGTTGCCCAGGCTGGAGTGCAATGGCACAATCTGGGCTCCCTGCCACCTCCGCCTCCTGGATTCAAGCGATTCTCCTGCCTCAGGCTCCCAAGTAGCTGGGATTACAGGCGCCCACCACCATGCCCAGGTAGTATTTTGTATTTTTACCAAAGACGGGGTTTCACCATGTTGGCCAGGCTGGTCTCGAACTCCTGACCTCAAGTGATGTGCCCAGCTCGGCCTCCCAAAGTGGTGGGATTACAGGCATGAGCCACTGCGCCTGGCCAAGATTCTTTACGGATGCAAAATTTCCTCCACAAAGAACAGCTTTGCAGGGCCATTTCAAAATACGGCAAAGAAACATGTTTTGGGGTCAAATATTTTTATTTTCTTCTTTGTCTCGTAATGTCATTTCGAAGTGAGGTTGAAAAGTAAATCGTGATATATAGGGTTAAATAAAACCCATCTGATGAGAATTTATGATTTGTAGGGCATGACTCCCCAGACCCCTTAGATAGGAATTTGGGCAAAATAAAAAAATCAGGCCGGGCGCGGTGGCTCATGCCTGTAATCCCAGCACTTTGGGAGGCCGAGGCGGGTGGATCACGAGGTCAGGAGATCGACATCATCCTGGCTAACAAGGTGAAACCCCGTCTCTACTAAAAATACAATAAATTAGCCGGGCGTGGTGGCGAGTGCCTGTAGTCCCGGCGGCTACTCGGGAGCCTGAGGCAGGAGAATGGCGTGAACCCGGGAGGCGGAGCTTGCAGTGAGCCGAGATTGCGCCACTGCACTCCAGACTGGGCGACAGAGCGAGACTCCGTCTCAAAAAAAAAAAAAAAAAAATTCAGTTTAGTCCTCACGTCACTACTTACTTTTTCAAATTTGTCCTTGATTATCACCAAAATGTTGGACGACAGGAGTATTTCTCCCTATTCTAAGTCTGTTTTTCCCAAAACCAGTGAAAATTTGTTAACCAAATAACTGTAGTTTGCAGCCAGGTGATATCTTTCCAAGTGTCCCAATTGTTTAGTTACAGTTCCTAAGCATTAAGTACTTAAATAAGCTAAGGACTATCCTCACTTTATCTTCAATTTAGACTTACATCCTGGTTTGAAATCAATTCCTTGCAAACTAAAGGCAGTGCCATAAATAAAAATTTTTAACCTTCTAAAATAAACATCAGTGTTAGAAAATAAGTCAATTGTATTCACTCAATTGTATTTGTTTAGAAATAATCAGATATTATACTTGTTTCTTGCACATTCTTGCCTTGTTTCCTCACCTATGAAATGGAGATAATAATACTATCTACCTAACAAGATTGACCTAACATTTTTGTTAATTTCTGGGTGTTAGCATTAGTTTCATTTTTTTCACTATTTGTATTTAAACGAAGAGATTTTTCTTTAAAACAAAAATTAAAAAGTGCTGGCTATTCTAGGAGTAATATTCATTCCAAATAAACATACAGTGATCTTTGAAGTGGTCAAGCACTAGAAATTTCTGTAGAAAATTAATTTTTCATTCATTTGGCATCGCATAAATCTAGGTTGGAATTGGTTCTTCCTCTTTGGAAGGTCAGTCCCTGCCCTAAGAGAGCGGTATATTACCACCCACTTCACAAGACTGTTCTAAGAATCAAATGAGAAAATGTGTTTATGAAGAGTTTAAGAATTTAGAGCTCCATGAATGATAATTACAGTAATATTGTTCATTAATTCAAAAAACATTTTTAAGGATCCCTCACTACTAGGGATGCATAAAAGTTGCTAACCCTCGGCCTTTACCCAGCGTTAGAAGACAAAACAGAGGGTAAAAGTCCCAGAAACGCGTTCGAACCAATTCAGCTAGGAATTAAATTCTCAGATCCTTTATTACACCACCGGAGCCTTAACCTTGAGGCAAGCAGCAATTTGTTCATGCGCAGTTAACGCTCCCTAAACTGCCACTTGCTCAGCTCCGCGCCTAAGGTGTCTATTAGTACGCCTGCGCTGTGACCTAGAATGGGCGCATGCGCCGAGCGGAACTGGCTGGTTTGAAAACCATGGCGTGGGTACCAGCGGAGTCCGCAGTGGAAGAGTTGATGCCTCGGCTATTGCCGGTAGAGCCTTGCGACTTGACGGAAGGTTTCGATCCCTCGGTACCCCCGAGGACGCCTCAGGAATACCTGAGGCGGGTCCAGTGAGTGATTCGGCCCTGGGCGGGTGGGCTGGTCTTCTGCCCTGCCCCTGGGTACAGCCCTCGGTGCTCTATTCCCGTTCCAGTCTGTTGCGAGTTCAGGTCTATTCAGGATTCTGGATTACATCCTAACGTGGGCGAGTTTCTGTTGAACGTGATTGCACGTATCAAGATGTGTGCTCTTAGATTTGTTTTCAATCCAGATAATTTCAGAAATACATTGTTTAGTACCTCAATTGGAAGTCTGAATTTTTTTCTGATTTCACAATGAACTGTGGAAGTGGATCGCTTGTTTTACTACACCTGAGCAAAGCACAACAGAAATTTAATTTATCGCGTTTATTACTTATTTGTAGGATCGAAGCAGCTCAATGTCCAGATGTTGTGGTAGCTCAAATTGACCCAAAGAAGTTGAAAAGGAAGCAAAGTGTGAATATTTCTGTGAGTTTTATTAACCGTCTGGAGATTACCCCCAACCCCCCAATTAAAAGACTAACGCTCTTCCTATAGTATCTGACAGCATCAATTATGACGTAAGATTTGACTACTCCGTGCAAAGTTAGACATTCGCTTGTACTTTTTCCTTCAGAAAGACAATTGGCATTTACTGCCTCTAAAGAGGCTTTCTGTAACTCTAGCCTTTGTGGAGTGTTGCCCATCTTACTTCAGGACATTATCCAGTCCTTTCAAAGGAGTCTTTAAATGGGTTACTTATGTTATCTTTTATTTTTTGCTTGTTTGTTTGTTTATAGAGAGGGAGTCTCTGTTGCCAGCTGGTCTGGAACTCCTGGCCTCAAGTGATCCTCCCTCCTCTGCCACCCAAAGCGTTGGGATCACAGGCGTGAGCCACCTCACCTGGCCCCTTTATTTTTTAAGGAACTTTTTCCAGTTATTGGATTGGTGTTTAATCTTAGTGTGCTTTGCATGTTCTGAATTTGACCAAGTTTCACTTTTTTTAAGAATAGAAACCCAGATGTCTTACACTTTTTTTTTTTTTTTTTTTGAGACAGTTTCACTCTTGTTGCCCAGGCTGCAGTGCAGTGGTGCGATCTCAGCTCACTGCAACCTCTGCCTTCCGGTTTCAAGCGATTACCGTGCCTCAGCCTCCCGAGTAGCTGGGATTACAGGCGCCCACCACCACACCCGGCTAATTTTTGTATTTTTAGTAGAGACGGGGTTTCACCATGTTGTCCAGTCTGGTCTTGAACTCCTGACCTCGTGATGCGCCCACCTCTGCCTCCCAAACTGCTGGGATTACAGGTGTGAGCCACCATACCCGGCCTTACACTTTTATAGCTACTTGCACACTCTGGACATTTTCATTTATTTATTTATCCAGCACATCTTTAATTAAGCAACTAGGTTGTGCCGGGCATTGGGAATTCAACAGAGGGTAAGACAAAAAAGGTTCCTACCCTTGTAGAGTTTACATACCCTCCTGAGGAAGACAGAGAGTAAACAAGCAAACAAATAATTACATATTGTGATTATTGCTATGAAGAAAATAAGCATGTATAATAATCAATAAATGACAGAACTACTGTAGAGGAATCATAGAAGGGCTCTCTTTTTCCCCCTTTTTTTTTTGCGTCTCAATTTTTCGCCCAGGCTGGAGTGCAGTGGCACAATCTCAGCTCATCACAACCTCTGCCTCTCAGGTTCAAGAGCTTCTCTTGCCTCAGCCCCCTGAGTAGCTAGGATTACAGGCGTGTGCCACCACACCTGACTAATTTTTGTATTTTTAGTAGAGACGTGGTTTTACCATGTTGGCCAGGCTGGTCTCAAACTCCTGACCTGAAGTGATCTGCCTGCCTCTGCCTCCTAAAGTGCTGGGATTACAGATGTGAGCCACCACGCCTGGCCAGCAAAGGTCTCTCTAAGGAGGTGCTATTTAACCTAAGCTCAAAGGAGGGTGGCATTTTATTTTATTTCTTTTTCTTTTTTTTTTTTTTTTGAGATGGAGTCTCAGAGTCTCGCTCTGTCGCCCAGGCTGGAGTGCAGTGGCGCGATCTCGGCTCACTGCAACCTCTGCCTCCCGGGTTCACACCATTCTCCTGCCTCAGCCTCCCGAGTAGCTGGGACTACAGGCGCCTGGGAGAGTGGCATTTTAAATAGTTGATAGTAATTTCCTTTTCATGCTCAAAGTAGTTTCTCTGATACTTGTAATCAGGAAATTTTAATTCAGACACTGTAATTTTTCCTATAATTCCTCTTCAGGGTTTTTTAGTTGATGGACATTTAATGGAACAGAATGTCTTAATATACCTAATTTGATGGATTGATTGATTGATTGATTGAGACAGGGTCTCGCTTTGTTGCACAGGCCAGAGTACAGTGCCACGATCATAGCTCACTGCAGCCTCGAGTTCTTGGGCTCAAGCCATCCTCCCACCTCAGTCTCCCCAGTAGCTGAGATGACAAGCATGTGCCACCGTGCCCAGCTAATTGTATTTTTTGTAGCGACGGGGTCTTGATATGTTGCTCAGGCTGTATGTGCTCTTTTAGAAAACAGAAGTATGGCTGGGCTTAGTGGCTCACACCTGTAATCCCAGCACTTTGGGAGGCCAAGTCAGGCGGATCACCTGAGGTGGGGAGTTCAAGACCAGCCCGACCAACATGGAGAAACCCCATCTCTACTAAAAATACAAAATTAGCCGGGTGTGGTGGCACATGCCTGTAATCCCAGCTACTCGGGAGGCTGAGGCAGGAGAATTGCTTGAACCCGGGAGACGGAGATTGCAGTGAGCTGAGATGGCCATTGCACTCCAGCCTGAGCAACAGGAGCGAAACTCCGTCTCAAAAAAAAAAAAAAAGAAAACAGAAGTAGACAATTTAAAGTTAAGCGTCTTTAAGTACATTTTGCCCATACCAAAGTTCTTATTTTTAATTTTATTGATACATAATAATCATAATTTCATGCTTTATCACGCAGGCACAATAATAATTGTACATATTTATGGAGTATATGTGATATTTTGATACATGCATACAATGTATAATAATCAGTAATTAGGATAGCCATCACCTCATTTATCATTTCTTTCTTTTGGGAACATTCAAATCTTCTAGCTGTTTTGAAATATACAATAAATTATTGTTAACTGTAGTCACTCTACTGTGCTATTGAATGCTAGAACTCATTCCTTCTAACTGTATTTCATACCAGAATTCTTTATTTGTGGTATATCTCTCTTTTTGTTTCTGTTTTGCTATTCTAGAAAGGCAGGTAGGGCTAGATCATATTCTCCAGGCTCATGTCATTTAGATTTCATAGAAACTCCAACTATAAACCTTTCCAGATTTCTCTGATTAAGGTGACTAAGGCTCTTTCCCTAATATTTTTAACTGAGATATAAATAATAAAGTGAAATGCCTACTTTTTTACATCTGCAAAAATATTTTATTTTCTTGTATAATCTTTATTTTATTATACACTTTATCTTGGTTTTACTTTTGCTTTGCAGAGGCATGAGATTCTAGTTTTGACACTAATGTTGATCCTAATATTTGTGAACTTGATCTCTAGCTTTCAGGATGCCAACCCGCCCCTGAAGGTTATTCCCCAACACTTCAATGGCAACAGCAACAAGTGGCACAGTTTTCAACTGTTCGACAGGTAAGTGTCATATTTAATCTAATTAAGCCCCTGTTGGATTTATTTCTGTTCTTAGACTGTAGCTGGAAAAATAAAATTTATGATCCTAAAGTATACAGAATATTCATGAATTAATTACCAAATTATTTTTATAATCATTAGACATGATACAGTTTGAAATATTTTCTAAGTTTTGTTTATTTTTATTTGTTTGTTTATTTATTTCAATAGTTTTGGGGAACAGGTGGTTTTTGGTTACATGGATAAGTTCTTTAGTGGTGATTTCTGAGATTTTGGTGCACTTGTCACCCAAGTAGTGTACTCTGTACCCAATACATGGTCTTTTACATCTCACCCCCTCCCACCTTTCCCATTTTTCAAGTTTTAGATGGTTACAATTTTGTGCAGAAACTGATTTCAGTTATCCATTTTTTGAAGAGTACCATCTAATGTCTAAGTTTTCTTCCTTTAGAATGTGAACAAACATAGAAGTCACTGGAAATCACAACAGTTGGATAGTAATGTGACAATGGTATGTAAGTTTCTCAGTTTTAAGATGTACAATGTATACCTGATTGAAAGAGTCTATATTTACTTCCAGTCGTTAAAGATTCACTTGCCTAGTCAGTGTTACTTTCATTCTCTTCAATATACCATTAATAGTAACAATTCATTACATTAGTAGCCTGGAAAGTATAGATTTTCATGACAAATTTTTTTTTTTTTTTTTTTTGAGACAGGGTCTTGCTCTGTCTCCCAGGCTAGAGTGCAGTCATGGCTCACTGCAGCCTTGACCTCCTGGGCTCAAGTGATCCTCCCACCACCGCCTTCCAAGTAGCTCGAACTTAAGGCATATACCACCATGCCCAGCTAATTGTTAAAATTTTTTGTAGAGACAAGGTCTCCCTGTGTTACCCAGGCTGGTCTCTTACTCCTGGGCTCAAGTGATCCTCCTGCCCTAGCCTCCCCGAGTGCTGGATTACAGGCATGAGCTACTGTACCCAGCCTTTCATGTCAATTTTAATTCACAATATCTTGGGGGACTTTGGATAGGTGACTGTGAAACTTCCACAAGTTTTTAAGGATTCTTCTAGACATTTACTTTCTAGGAAATAAATACATTTTCAATATTTACAAAAAAAATTGAATAAAGCCTTAATGGATTTTCCTGATGAGGTGATGGTGCCATGCAGTAAACTCACATGTTTACAGAACTTGTGAATGGATTCTGCTTCTGCTTAATGTGATGAGTCTGTGTCACAATTCCAGTGACATATAAGTGAAACCTGTCATGTATATTGTCATGCATATGTCCTATATTTTATCAGTTTAGATATAACTTTAAGCCCTTTAGTAGATATATCAGGACTACCAAATGAAAAAAGGAGTTGGAAAGATGATACATTGTCTCAGGACAGTAGTTTTTAACCTTTTAGGGGACTTCATATTCTTTCGTAGAATCTAATGAAAGCTATTTATCTTCAGAGGGAAAAAAAATGCACCTATGCACAACATTTTAGTTTCAGGTAGTTCATAGATTTTAGATTTTAGAAGCTTCCTTTAGGCAGTGCTTCCTGATATCTTTTACATGGTGACACATTAGAATAAATGACTGCTTGCATATTCTTCCTGAAACCAGCCGAAAGCTGAGAGATTCAGTATATGGCATCTCTGTATGCTTCTGCATACCATTTGGAAGCTCTGCTCCAGGAAAAGCGTGAAGGGAAGTAACTTATCACTTGCCAATGGTCATTTAACTTGTAAAAGGTATAGCTAGTCCTTCTATCAAAGAAGCATGCGCACATAAACACACAAAAGGTATGCTTAAGGTTCAAACCCAAGTTGGTCTGTCTCTAAAGCCTGTGTGCCTTTGACTATGCAATGGTGCCTTCCTAGTACCAAGGATGTATGTATGTAGTAGGGACAGGGCTAGGTAGGTAAATATATTTTTTTTCTTACTTAGCGGAAGGCCTTTTGGGTGCATGCCCACTAACTAAAAAAGAAGCCACATCAGTAACATTATGACTTGATAAAATTTTGTCAAAAATGGAAATGACCTAACATAATTGATTCAATAAACTATGGTCCATCAGAACAGTGGAATATTATGTAGCAATTTTAAGTGTTTGTCATGGCAAATGCAAACATCATATAAGTAATAAAATGAAAATGTTTTAAAGTACACTCTGAGCCAGGCACAGTGGCTCATGCCTATAATCCCAGCACTTTGGGAGGCTGAGGTGGGCAGATCACCTGAGCTCAGGAGTTCGAGACCAGCCTGGGCAACATGGCAAAACCCTGTCTCTATTTAAATTATTTAAAAAATAAAGTACACTGTGATGGCAACTGTGTGAAAACATAAACATTTGTTTATTAATTGATCCAATAATTTAAGCATGTGCTATATTTAATAATCAGGATATTCAGTACTAACTGAAACAGAAACAGCTTCTGACCTAATAGAGTGTTAGGAAAAGGTAGATAACCTTATTCCAAGACAATAGGGTTTAACTTTGTAGTGGTCTCATGTTCATCGTGAGGTTTTATTTTATTTTATTTTATTTTATTTATTTTTTTGAGATGGAGTTTTGCTCTTGTTGCCCAGTCTGGAGTGCAGTGGCACAATCTTGGCTCACTGCAACCTCTGTCTCTTGGATTCAAGCAATTCTCCTGCCTCAGCCTCCCAAGTAGCTGGGATTACAGGTGCCTGCCACCACACCCAGCTAATTTTTGTATTTTTAGTAGAGACGGGGTTTCACCATATTTCCAGGCTAGTCTCGAACTCCTGACCTCAGGTGATTCATCCTAAGGATTTAATGAAAGCTACTTATCCCTAGGGGGAAAATGCACCTATGCAAAGTAATATACAAGGTGATATGTACAAACAAAGGTTATTTTGTTAAGGAGGTTATATTGAGCTGAATGCTTCTCCCAAATAGTCCTGCGTCCTGCTTTTTCTGTCTGGCAGCATGAGTAGATCTGTTTCTTCTTTGACTGGACAACCCTTCAAATATGTGAAATATGTAATCATGTCTCTTTACATGGGATAAATATCCTTCATTCTATTAAGTGTTCTTGGTGCATTTTTTCCCCCATACTTATTTCTGTCTTTATCATCCTCTTTTGGACACACCATTGTCTGTCAGTGTCCACTAAAGTCTTGTCCAAACTAAACACATCTTGGCTGGGCACAGTGGCTCACACTTGTAATCCCAGCACTTTGGGAAGCCAAAGCAGAAGAATTGCTTGAGGCCAGGAGTTTGAGACCAGCCTGGGCAACATAGTGAGACAACTATCTCTACAAAAAAAATTTAAAAATTATCAGGCATGGTGGCACATGCCTGTAGTCCCAGCTACTCAAGAGGCTGAGGTGGCAGAATTATTTGAGCCCGAGATTCAGGCTGCAATGAACTGTAATCACACCTCTGCACTCCAACTTGGGCGACAGAGCAAGACCCTGTCTCAAAAAATGTAATAATAAGGAAAAACAACATGTCCCACATATTGTGTAGCCACTTAGGCACTATGTTTGTCAGGGCTGCCATAACAGACTAGGTGGATTAAACAACAGAAATGTATTTATTTTCTCAGTCTTGAAGGCTGAAAGTCAAAGAACAAGGTGGCAGCAAGGTTGGTCTCTTTTTGTTTGTTTGTTTGTTTTTTGAGGCAGAGTTTCGCTCTTGTTGCCCAGGCTAGAGTGCAATGACGCAATCTCTGCTCACTGCAGCCTCCGCCTCCCAGGCTCGAGTGATTCTCCTGCCTCAGCCTCTGGGTAGCTGGGATTACAGGTGTGCACCACCACATCCGGCTAATTTTTTTTTTTTTTGTATTTTTAGTAGAGGTGGGGTTTTGCCATGTTGGCCAGGCTGGTCTTGAACTCCTGACTTCATGTGATCGCCTGCCTCGGCCTCCCAAAGTGCTGGGATTACAGGCGTGAACCACCGCACCCGGCCTAAGGTTGGTCTCTTCTGAGGCTTTTCTCCTTGGCTTGCATAGGGCCACCTTCTCCCTGTTTTCTCACGTGGTCTTTCCTCTGTGTGTGGGAGTCCCTGGTGTCTCTTTGTGAATCCAAATTTCCTCTTATAAGGACACTAGTAAGATTGGATTACGGCTCACCCTAATGGCCTCAATTTAAATTAATCACTTCTTTAAAGGCCCTGTCTCCAAATACAGTCACATTCTGAGGTACTGGAGTTTAAGGTTTTAACATACAAATTTGGGGGCAGAGATTCTCCCCATAACTGGCTCCGTATCTTTGGGTTGCGGTAATGGGAATATGGAAGGACTTAACTTCTTTTTTTTTACTGTTCAGTGTAAAAATTAATACACAGGAATAAATCAGTTTTTTTTTTTTTCTTTTAGCCAAAATCTGAAGATGAAGAAGGCTGGAAGAAATTTTGTCTGGGTGAAAAGTTATGTGCTGACGGGGCTGTTGGACCAGCCACAAATGAAAGTCCTGGAATAGATTATGTACAAGTAAGGGCTGTGTGGATAAACAGAACAAAAAGCATTTTAATTTTGGTGCACCACTTAATATAAGGGGTCAGCAAACTCTACCCTGGGCCAAGTCCAGTTCATGGCCTTTTTTATATCCATGAGCTAAGGATTGTTTTTAGGTTTTGAAAGAGTAAAAAAGAAACAAATAATATGTGGCTGAGACTTTATGTGGCCTGCAAAGCCTAAAATATTTGCTGTCTGACTCTTGATAGAAAATGTTTGCCAACCCAGACTTAGTTTATTAGCTCTTCAACCTAACAAAACAGCTTAGTTTCTGAAACAATTTACTGTGACTTTTTTTAGTTTGGCTTCATATCCCTTATGTTTGGCTTGGTAATCATTTTATGAGTTGGATAAGATTCATAGTTTTTTTAAATGATGAGGCATCAGGCAAACAGTGTTATGAGTAGCCAGGGAAAAAATGGAAATCGACACAATTAGATGCTTTAAAATGCATAATCACATCTATCACTTCATGGGCCTGTAAAAAATAAATCACATATTCTAAAGATGAAATGTTGAGGATATCTTTAAAATTCATGTGGCTGTAATCATAAGTTATGTAGACAACTCCTTGTCCTTCAGGATTTACCTGCCCCCAAGTTTGCAGGTGTTCCTTGAGAATCCAGTGCATGCCTCTGCATTAGCGCTTACTCCCTATAGCATGTAGTTCTTTTCAGTTCAACAGGTATTTATTATTTGCTATATGGTGCCACATTGTGTTTTTCACATTTAAAACTAATTTTTCCTAAAAATGTAAAAAGCCCCAAGAATCAATAAAAAGACCAAGAATCACCCCTCCCCTGCCCAAGAAAAAATAGCCAAAGGATATAGATACCTCACAGAAAGGAAATAAAATTATTCTTATATGACAAGATGCCAAAAATCACTTGTAATAGAAGTATAACATAACTATGCCAAGGTGCTATTTTTCAGGTAACATATTGGCCAAGAAAGTTTGATACACCATATTGACAAGAGCTGGGGAAACAAGCACTCTTAGACGTGGTACAGGAGTATAAATAGACTCAAATCTTAGGGAAGTTAATTTGGTACTCTTTCTATATAACCAATTGATCTTTTGGATGATATCCTTAACATATGCTACATTTCAAAAATAGCTATATATATATATATATATATATTTTTTTTTTTTTTTTTTTTTTTTTTTTTTGAGACAGGGTCTTCTTCCGTCATCCAGGCTGGAGTGCAGTAGTGCACTCATAGCTCATTACAGCTTCAACCTCCTGGGCTCAAGCAATCCTCCCACGTCAGCCTTCAACATACCAGGGGCAGCAGGCACCCACCACCACACCCAGCTAATTTTTAAATTTTTTGTAGCGATAAGTTTTTTAATTTTTTAAAAAAATTTTTTTGTAGAGAGAAGTTTTCACCATGTTGCAAGGTTGGCCTGAAACTCCTGGGCTCAGGCAATCCTCCTGCTGGGATTATAGGCATGAGCTATCATGGCTAGCCAAAAATGGTTTTTAATTTATAAAGAATTAAAACTTACTTATTTAGCTTATTTTCAGAGAATACATACAAGTAAAATACACCATGTTAAAAAAAACCCTTAAGGAAGTAAGCGTTTAATGTATATCCTCTTAAGTTTCTCACAAATCAGTGGTATTTTCATAATTAGCAATCACAGCCTCAGACTCCAAAGTAGACTTTTAAAAATTGAATCAAATTAGGTTTTAAAAATGTCATTCTAATTCAAGTGTCCTTAATTCTTGAAAATATTAGCTTTAGCTGAAGATTTTGAAATGGTGTATACAACATATTAATGTCATCTTATCAATGTTACAGTTTTATTGGATATACTTAATAAGTTAGTTTTTTCAAGTACTATCATGTAAAAAATTTTTAGTCTTTAACATTTTACTTACTAAAATCATACTTTATTTAAAAATTTACAAATTCAGACCAGGTGAGGTGGCTCATGCCTGTAATCACAGCACTTTGGGAGGCTCTGGCAGGTAGATCACTTGAGCTCAGGAGTTCCAGACCAACCTGGGCAACATGGCAAAACCTCATCTCTACCAAAAATACAAAAAAATTAGCTGGGCGTGTTGACATGCACCTGTGGTCCTAGCTACTCGTGAGGCTGAGGTGGGAGCATCACCTGAGCCCAGGAAGCAGAGGTTGCAGTGAGCCAAGATCGCGCCACTACACTCCAGCCTGGGTGACAGAGTGAGACCCCATCTAAAAAAAAAATTACATATTCAAAATTTAAGGCGTTATTTTCTTCCGCATTACAAACATAGTAGTTTCCGGAATGTCTCATTGTTATGGACAATGAAAGAATTTTCTTTTATTTGTTCTTTGTTTCTAAACAACAGTGTGGCAAGAAATTCACCAGTTTGAAAAAAAAAAATGAAGCTTATAATACCATTTAGTAAAATTCAGTCTCATTTTTTCTTTCAGATTGGTTTTCCTCCCTTGCTTAGTATTGTTAGCAGAATGAATCAGGTAAAATTAATAATAGAGATATATGCATTCTTTTGTTTGCATTGTGTGTGAAAGTATTTGAATTGTTAATACATATACTGAATTCTTACAGTATGCAAGACTTTGTCCTAAGCTCTTTAATGGTTCTTATTTAATCCTTACTACAACCCTCTATGGAGAGTTATTATTGATAACTACTTTTTATAGATGAGGAAACAGCATTTGAGGTTAAGTAACTTGCAGGTGGTTTTTCAGCAAGTAAATGGCAGTACTGAGATTCAGTGCCAGGTAGATCTAACTCCAGAGCTCATGCTCTGTCTTAATCATGGTGCTAGAGTATTCATTTCTGTAGCTTTCAGTTATAAGTCTTAGATTCTGGGGTTTGAATTAAATACAAGGTCCCTGACTTACAATGGTTCAGTTTAGGATTCCTTTTTTCCCACCATGCCTGGCTAATTTTTGTATTTTCAGTAGAGAGAGGATTTTGTCATGTTGGCCACGTTGGTCTCGAACTCCTGGCCTCAACTGATCCACCCACCTTGGCCTCCCAAAGTGCTGGAATTACAGGCATGAGCCACCATGCCCAGCCATTTTAGGAATTTTCAACTTTACAATGTGTTTATCAGCACATAACCCCATTGCAAGTTCAGGGGCATCTGTACTAAGGTTAGATTGCTATTTCTAGTTCTAGATGTCCTATACATTCTATTAAGATTGAAATATGGGCCGGGCGCGGTGGCTTATGCCTGTAATCCCGGCACTTTGGGAGGTCAAGGCAGGTGGATCACAAGGTCAGGAGTTCGAGACCAGCCTGGCCAACATGGTAAAACCCCATCTCTACTAAAAATACAAAAATTAGCTGGATGTGGAGGTGTGCACTTGTAATCCCAGCTATTTGGGAGGCTGAGGCAGGAGAATCGCTTGAACCTGGGAGGCAGAGGTTGCAGTGAGCCGAGATCGTGCCATTGCACTCCAGCCTGGGCGACAGGGCGAGACTCTGTCTCAAAAAAAAAAAAAAGAAAGATTGAAATATATGATTTCTTGGATCAAAAGGGAAGAATTATGGAGTTTGGTTCTTCAGTTTTTTAGGAGTAAGGACTCTTATTCATTTAAAAAGCAAATAAAAATTTAATTTTATCTTCACATAGCATTGGGTACCTTTGGAAGCCTTTTTTTTTTTTTTTGGCAGGGTCTCATTCTCTTGCCCATGCTGGAGTACAGTGATGTGATCTTGGCTCACTGCAGTCTTGTACTTTGGGGCTCAGGCAATCCTCCCACCTCAGCCTCCTGGTAGCTGGGACCACAGGCATGTGCTACCATGCCTGGCTAATTTTGTTTATTTTTGGTAGAGACAAGGTCTCACTGTGTTGTCCAGGCTGGTCTGGAACTCCTGAGCTCAAGCGATCCTCCCACCTCAGCCTCCCAAAGTGCTGGGAATACAGGTGTGAACCACTGGGCCCAGCCAACAATTTTTTTTGTGGGTGATATTCTCTTGGAAATAATACACAAGCTGACAGTGTTACTTAATCATTTGCATTAAGATATTGTAGCAGTCATACTAAATTCCATCAGTGTCATTTTTGTTGTAACCATCAACTGTATTTGAATAAACCAGAGATTATTTTCAAGAGTTTGATAAATCCATCTGTATAGTTTAAGAACAGATTTTTCTCCACCTAAATTTTTATTCAGATTTGTACTTTGATTTAATTTGAATTTAGAAATAAACTGATGGTTTTTTTGTTTTGTTTTGTTTTGTTTTGTTTTTTGAGAGGGAGTCTCGCTCTGTCGCCAGGCTGGAGTGCAGTGGCACAATCTTGGCTCACTGCAACCTCCACCTCCCAGGTTCAAGCAATTCCCCTGCCTCAGCCTCCCTAGTAGCTAGGACTACAGGCGCACACCATCACACCCAGCTAATTTTTTGTATTTTAGCAGGGATGGGGTTTACCGTGTTGGCCAGGATGGTCTTTGTCTCCCGACCTTGTGATCCACCCGCCTCAGCCTCCCAAAGTGCTGGGATTATAGGCATGAGCCCACCGCGCCTGGCCAACTGATGGTATTTTTACAAATACATCTTTTTTTTTTTTTTTTTTTGAGACAGAGTTTCGCCTTTTGCCCAGGCTGTACTGAAGCGGCAGGATCTCAGCTCACTGCAACCTCTGCCTCCTGGGTTCAAGCAGTTCTCCTGTCTCAGCCTCCCGAGTAGCTAGGATTACAGACCCCGCCACCATGCCTGGCTAATTTTTGTATTTTTAGTAGAGACGGGGTTTTGCCGTGTTGGCCAGGCTGGTCTCAAACTCCTGACCTCAGGTGTGCCATTGTTTTTTTTTTTTTTTTTTTTTTTTGAGACAGAGTCTCACTCTGTTGCCCAGGCTGGAGTGCAGTGGCAAAATCCTGGCTCACTGCAACCTCTGCCTCCCAGGTTCAAGGGATTCCCCGGCCTCAGCCTCCCTAGTAGCTGGGACTGCATTCACTCACCACCATGCCCGGCTAATTTTTGTATTTTTAGTAGAGATGGGGTTTCACCATGTTGGCCTGGCTGGTCTCAAACTGACATCAAGTGATCCACCTGCCTCGGCCTCCCAAAGTGCTGAGATTACTGGCAAGAGCCACTGAGCCTGGCCACAAATACATTTTCTTTTAACCTTGTGAAGTCTTTCAAGTAGTTACAAACTAAATTATTAATAGTTACAAACTAAATCCTAGGATTTAAACCAAGGTGTTAGTTGATATTTGAAAGTGTGAAAATATTTGTTTTAAAAGCCTCACTGGGGCTAGGCGCGGTGCCTCACACCTGTGATCGCAGCACTTTGGGAGGCCGAGGAGGGCGGATCACCTGAGGTCGAGAGTTCGACCAGCCTGACCAACATGCAGAAACCCTGTCTCTACTAAAAATACAAAAATTAGCCGGACGTGGTGGTGCACGCATGTAATCTCAGCTACTCAGGGGGCTGAGGCAGGAGAATTGCTTGAACCCGGGAGGCGGAGGTTGCAGTGAGCCAAGATCGCACCAGTGCGCTCCAGCCTGGGCAACAGAGTGAGACTCTATCTCAAAAAAAAAAAAAAAAAAAAAAAAAAGCCTCATTGGATAAGCCGCCTAATCAAACTAATTAGAGTCAAACAAATTAGCTTTCTTTGAAAGTTTAAAGAATGAGGCCATTTTTAACATCAGAGTTGCTTTCTAAATAAACTTAATGAAACTCATGTTGAATTCATGTTTTATTATTAATACAACTCTTCTCCACCCCCTCTTTTTTTTTTTAGGCAACAGTAACTAGTGTCTTGGAATATCTGAGTAATTGGTTTGGAGAAAGAGACTTTACTCCAGAATTGGTAGTATTGCATGTTTTTCTTTTCATAATGTAGGCAAAAATTAGACGTTTTGGGTCAACTGTGGGCCACATATACAATGGTGCTCCTATAGGATTATAATACTGTATTTTTACTGCACATTTTCTTTTTTTCTTTTCTTTTTTTTTTTTTTTTTTTTTTTGAGACAAGGTCTCGCTCTGTTACCCAGGCTGGGGTGCAGTATTACAATCATAGCTCACTGCAACCTTGATCTCCCCAGCTCAAGCAATCCTCCTGCCTCAATCTCCTGAGTAGCTGGGACTACAGGCGCATGCAGCCACGCCCAGTTTTTTTTGTTTTTTGTTTTTTGTTTTTTTTATTAGAGACAAGGTCTCACTGTGTTGTCCAGGCTGGTCTTGAACTGAGTCCAAATGATCCTGCCTCCTCACCCTCCCAAAATGCTGGGAATTACAGGCATGAGCCACCATGTGTGCGGCCTTTTGTGTTTTTTAAATAGAGACGAGGTCTCACCATGTTCCCCAGGCTGATCTCAGACTCCTAGGCTCAAGTGTTCTTCCCACCTTGGCCTCCCAAACTGTTTGGATTACAAGCATGAGCCACTGAGCCCGGCTCCTTTCCAGTATTTAAATATGTTTAGATCTGGCCAGGCACAGTGGCTCATGCCTGTAATCCCAACTACTAGGGAGGGCTGAGGCAGGAGGATCACCTAAGGCCAGGGAGGTTGAGGCTGCAGTGAGCCATGATTGTGCCACTGCACTGCACTCTAGCCTGAGTGACAGAGTGAGACCCTATCTTAAGAAATAAATATATGGTTTTTTTGGATGCACAAATGTTTACCATTATGTTACAGTTGCCTACAGTATTCAGTATAGTAATGTGCTATATAGGTTTGTAGCCTAGGAGCAATTGGCTATGCAATATAGTCTAGGTATAGTAGACTATACCATCTAGGTTTGTGTAAGTATACTCTATGATGTTCATCCAGGGTCAAAAATCACCTAACAATGCATTTCTCAGAATATATCTCCCTTCATTAAGTGATGCATGACTGTACTTGATGTGATGCTACGGTATTTATTTATTTTTTATTTATTTGTTTGTTTTGACATGGAATCTCCCTCTGTTGCCCAGGCTGGAGTGCAGTAGCGCGATCTCGGCTCACTGCAGCCTCCACCTCCTGGTTTCAAGTGATTCTCCTGCCTCAGCCTCCCAAGTAGCTGGGATTACAGGCACCTGCCACCACACCCAGCTAATTTTTGTATTTTTGTAGAGACAGGCTTTCTCCATGTTGGCCAGACTGGTCTTGAACTCATGACCTCAGGTGATCTGCCCGCCTCCACCTCTCAAAGTGTTGGAATTACAGGCGTGAGCCACTGCACCCAGCCAGTATTTATATTTATATTTATATTTGTATATGTGTGTGTGTGTGTATATACATATGTATAATCTGAACTATACTTGTTTGTAGTCAAATAAGAAACACTAGAATGTAAATCAACATACTACTTCCTTCATTGAGAAAGTCTTGGAGAAAAAAAGTCAATGAAAGAGTTGATGTATATCCTGGTACAAGGTACAAACTCCTTATCTCATTGCAGACAAGTTTGTTTTTTTTTTTTTTTTTTTTTTTTGAGATGGAGTCTCACTCTGTCACCCAGGCTGCAGTGCAGTGGTGCCATCTCGGCTCACTGCAACCTCTGCCTCCCAAGTTCAAGCAATCCTCCTGCCTCAGCCTCCTGAGTAGCTGGGACAAGTGTAGAGAATATTTAATTTAAATTAAATATTTAATTTAAATGCTAGCTTTACATAGTAAATGTATCCCTTAAAATTTGAGTCAAGTTGAAACATATAATTTTTTTTTATAGAAAAAGAATTCCACAATTTGTAAAAGAAACCTGGATTTGAATCTTTTTCTGTAAGAAAAAGTCTTAACTATTGATTTGAGTTTGCCTGAGGAACCCATTTAGTGTGTTGTATAAATTGCTATTTAAATTTTGTCCTAATATTTTTTAGGTTTCCCCGAAGTGATATGTTGCTTAGAATAAACAAAGTTGTATATACTACTGGTGGAAATACAAATTTGGTATAACCTTTCCAGGATACAATCTGGTGATCATATCTGAAAAACCTTGATGAATATACATACCCTTTGTCACCATTTTACTTGCAATACTTAATAAACTTTCCCCATGTTGTTAAATGAGATTAAACAAGGGAATGTTATTAAATACTCTAAACAAGACACTTAACATTCCCTTGTTAATCCCATTTAACTACAAGGGATGGCTGAGTGGGGTGGCTCACTCCTGTAATCCCAGCACTTAGGGAGGCCGAGGTGGGCGGATCACTTGAGGTCAGGAGTTCGACACCAGCCTGGCCAACATGGTGAAACCCCCATCTCTACTAAAAATACAAAAATTAGCTGAGCATGGTGGCGGGCGCCTGTTGTCCCAGCTACTCAGGAGGCTGAGGCAGGAGGATTGCTTGAACCTGGGAGGCAGAGGTTGCAGTGAGCCGAGATGGCACCACTGCACTCCAGCCTGGATGACAGAACGAGACTCCATCTCGAAAAAAAAAAGAAAAAGGACAAAAACAACATGGTAAACATTTTATTATGTATTATAAATAAAAAAGATGGCTACAAGATGATATTACAACTGATGAAATTGTATTGAAAAAAGGTTGTACAGCCGGGCATGGTGGCTCACGCCTGTAATCTCACCACTTTGGGAGGCTAAGGCAGGCAGATCACTTGAGGTCAGGAGTTCGAGACCAGCCTGAACAACATGGTGAAACCCGGTCTCTATTAAAAATACAAAATTAGCCGGGTGTGGTGGTACATGCCTGTAATTCCAGGTACTCAGGATGCTGAGACAGGAGAATTGCTTGAACCCGGGAGGCAGAGGTTGCAGTGAGCCGAGATCGCGCCATTGCACTCCAGCCTGGGCAACAAGAGTGAAACTCTGTCTCAAAAAAAAAGAAAGTTGTACATACGAATAGGAAAAACAAGAACATTTTTAAAGTGAATCAAAGTTTGATCTGGAATGTTGGGACTGCAGGTTTTTTCTTGTGCTTGTGGTATTCTTCACAGTTTTTCTGCATCAAATATGTATTCATTTTGTAGCTGAAAACCCCATTTTAAAAGGGAGTGGGGATACATTGAGCCTGTCAAAGTATTTATAAAAGTGTCAAAAGATTATTTCATCTGTAGTATAGTTTCTTTGTATGTCCCCAGAGGACAAAATTATACAATTATAAAATGATTTCTATATCTGTCCATACAGAACAAAGAAAAAAATGTATCTTAATTTTTTCCAGTATTTATATTCATCTTAATGTAGTGTTCTGCTTACAAATGAGAACTTCCTATCATAAGAATATCTGAAACAAACTCTTTGGAGATCAGGGAATATTTTGAGGTATCCAATGTCCTGTGTCTGTAATTATAGGATACAAGAGATAACACCTGGCTCTCCAAATGAGGCTTTCTTGTCTATACCCAAACATAATATAGTTAAATGTTCTATGAATTTATTCATAGCAGATAATCAGGCATAACATTGGACATTTAAAAAATAAACTTCTGGTTCAGTATTTGTCTAAATATTAATTTTTTGAATTTTTTTTTAGGGAAGATGGCTTTATGCTTTATTGGCTTGTCTTGAAAAGCCTTTGTTACCTGAGGCTCATTCACTGATTCGGCAGCTTGCAAGAAGGTGCTCTGAAGTGAGGCTCTTAGTGGTAAGTTGCAACTTACTGTTTAAAATTAAAAGCACCCACCAATTTATATGGTGGTAAAGAAGGAGTTCAGTGAAATAGGAAAACACATGGAATATTTTATTGGTGGCAATTAGATTTGTAAAGCCCAAAATAATAGTAGCTTAAATAATATGGAAATGTTTTCTGAGATAAAGAAGTCTGAGCCGGGCGTGGTGGCTCACACCTATAATCCCAGCACTTTGGGAGGCTGAGGCGGGTGGCTCACCTGAGGTCAGGAGTTTGAGACCAACCTGGCCCACATGGTGAAACCCCGTCTCTACTAAAAATACAAAATTTAGCTGGGTGTGGTGGTGGGTGCTTGTCATCCCAGCTACTCAGGAGGCTGAGGCAGGAGAATCGTTCGAACCCAGGAGGCGGAGGTTGCAGTGAGCTGAGATTGCACCACTGCACTCCTGCCTGGGCAACAGAGCAAGACTCTGTCTCAAAAAAGAAGTAGGTAAAAAAATTAGATTTTTACTAAGATGGCAGTAACCCACCCACACCTTTGAGTTTTGTCATATGTGGCTTTCATCCTCATGCTCATCTTATGATCCAAGATGGCTGCTGTAGCTTCAGCCTTTTTTTTTTTTTTTTTTTTTTCTTTTATTGTGAGATGGAGTCTCGCTCTGTCACCGAGGCTGGAGTGCAATGGTGCGGTCTCGGCTCACTGCAACCTCCGCTTCCCAGGTTCAAGCAATTCTCCTGCCTTAGCCTCCAGAGTAGCTGAGATTACAGGTGCCCGCCACCATGCCTGGCTAATTTTTGTATTTTTAGTAGAGACAGGGTTTCACCATGTTGGCCAGACTGGTCTCAAACTGCTGACTTCAAGTGATCCACCTGCCTCAGCCTCCCAAAGTGCTGGGATTACAGGCATGAGCTACTGCACCTGGTGTGTGTGTGTGTGTGTGTGTGTGTATATATATGTGTGTGTGTGTGTGTGTATATATATATATCTTTATATATATATCTTTATATAATTCAGTAATGAATATATATAAGAACAGTAAGAATCCTGTGTCTTGACTGTACAGTGATTAATATATATTATATATATTCATATATATTCTATATATATCCTCACATATATTGTATGCATTATATAGAGGAACAATAAGAATCCTGTGTCTTGACTACAGTGATAAATATATTTATTCATATATGTATATTAATATATATTTATTATATATGAATACATATTCACTACAGTTAAGACACATATATAATATATATGAATATATATATATATATTCATCACTGTACAGTTAAGACACAGGATTCTTATTGTTCCTTTAGTAGGAACCAGGGAAAAATTTCCCCCAAGTTATCCCCCTTAGATCCCTCTTTATTTTTTTTTCCCTATTCAGAATCTTTATTTAAAAGATAGTCTTAGATGTTTCTCAAGGAATCATTAACTCTACAGTTCTCTGCTTTTTCTTTGAGGGCTCCTATTTCCACATGATGATTACTGTCATATAATAAAGTTTTCATGTTTCGTGTTTTACATCTTAATAGAAAATTTATTTCAAAAGTAATAGGAACAGACAATATTTAAATTTTTCTTTTTTTTTTTTTAGGATAGCAAAGATGATGAGAGGGTTCCTGCTTTGAATTTATTAATCTGCTTGGTTAGCAGGTATAGTTAATCCTTGGCTTCTTTATTATTTATCAGTGAGGTCAGTGAGGTTAGATCGTATTTATTACATTTGGTTTTTGTTTGGTTGGTTTTTTTTTGAGTCTCACTCTGTTGCTATAGTTAGGGTGCAGTGGCGCAATCACAGCTCACTAGAGCTTTAACTTCCTGGGCTCCAGCAATCCTCCCACCTCAGCCTCCTGAGTAGCTAGGACCACAACCAAGCACCACCACACCTGGCTAATTAAAAAAAATTGTTCGTAGAGACAGGGTCTCACTATGTTGCCCAGGCTGGTCTCAAAACTCCTGGGCTCAAGCGATCCTCCCACCTAAGCCTCCGAAAGTGCAGGGATTACAGGTGTAAAGCCACTGCATTCAGCCTGCATTTTTGTTTAATTGCCTGTGTCCTGCGTTCATTTTCAGTTGTGGCATATTTTTATTTAGTATCTGTTTTATTTCATTTCTTACATAGAAATTCTTCTTGGAATTTATTTGAAAACTTTTTTTGTTGTTTTGTTTTGAGACAGAGTCTCGCTCTGTTGCCCAGGCTGGAGTGCAATGGCACCATCTCGGCTCACTACAACCTTCACCTCCTGGGTTCAAGCAATTCTCCCCCCTCAGCCTCCCAAGTAGCTGGGCTTACAGGCACCTGCCATCATGCCCGGCTAATTTTTGTAATTTTGTGGAGACGGAGTTTCACCATTATTGGCCAGGCAGTAAAACACACATATTTATTTTAGGTCTCCTCCTGGACATATTTTTGTTCCATAGATCAGTGTTTTTATTTCATTGCCAGTACCTTTTTAAAGCTTTATAATATACTTAAATATTGGGAAGGCAAGTAATCTTGTTTCCATATTTTCACATATTCAATATCTAGTTTCTTGATCTACAATAATTATGCTGCTGATGATAATTAACATTTACTGGGCAATTTGTGCCAAGCATTTTTCTTAGTGAGGAACCCATTTAATCCTTCTAAGGTGGGTACTGTTAACAGTTTACAGATGAGGAAACCATGGCAGAGAGAGGTTAAATAATATTACTACCATCACAAAGCTAGTAAGTGTTAGAGTAATGATCCAAACCCAGGCAACTTTGACTCCGGAGCTAAACTTTTAACTATGCTGATCAAAAATTAAGCTAATACCTACCTCATCTGTTGGTAGTAGCAGTTAAATGAGATGATATAGCATTGCCCTACTTACTTTATGTATAGTATCTCTACTCTTTACAATAGATCAGAGTTGTGTTTTTGTTTTTGTTTTTGTTTTAATAAATTTTTTCCTTTCAGCTCTGTTGGACTTGATTTTTTTCCTTTTACAGATAATGACACAGATTCAGAAAGGTTAAGTAATTGGTAGCTCAGCAAACCAGTAATTAATGAAACCTCAGACAAGTATAGTTTCTGACTGCCTCAGTTGAGATTTTACAGTATTATGCAATTATGAAAGCAAAAACATTCAAGTGTATTTTTTGCCCTCAAAAAGTTAGATAAAAATGGAAAAAGTTCTAGACTACAAAAGGTTCTGAAGCTAACAGCTTTACAATAGAAGACACAAAGATTTGAAAGTTTAGGAAAAAAAGGACCGGGCATGGTGGCTCATACCTGTAATCCCACCACTTTGGGAGGCCAAGGCGGGTGGATCACCTTAAGTCAGGAGTTCAAGACTAGCCTGGCCAACATGGTGAAACCTCGCCTCTACTAAAAATAGGAAAATTAGCCGGGCACGGTGGTTCACGCCTGTAATCCCAGCTACTCGGGATGGTGAGGCAGGAGAATCACTTGAACCTGGGAGGTGGAGGTTGCAGTGAGCTGAGATCGTGCCATTGCACTCCAGCCTGGGCAACAAGAACGAAACTCCATCTCAAAAAAAAAAGAAAAAAGAAAAAAAAAAGGAAAGCTGGGCACAGTGACTCACACCTGTAAGCCCAGTGCTTTGGGAGGTCAAGGTGGGAGGATTGCTTGAGTCCAGGGGTTCAAGAATGCAGTGAGCCATGACAAAATCTGATTAGTGATTTTCCTTTTTATTTAATCTTATAATTACATAAAATAGTTACCTTGCCAAAGTTAAAATTATAATTCAAGGTACATTTGGAGTATTTTAGCATCCATCTTTATCCTCATTATCCTCTTTTTTCCTTTCTCCTCTAGTTAACCATTGTATTACTAATTTTTGTTTCATCTTTTCATTCATTGTTTCTTTTTAAAAGTATAAGTAGGCCGCATGTGGTGGCTCAAGCCTGTAATTCCAGCACTTCGAGAGACTGAGGCTGGAGAATTGTTTGAGCCCAGGAGTTCAAGACCAGTCTGGGAAATGAGCCATGATCATGCCACTGCACTCCAGCCTGGGTGACAGAGTGAGACCTTGTCTCAAAAAGGAAAAGAAAAATATAAACAAACACGTATATTGGCAGTCCTACACATACTCACATAAGGTAGCATACAGAACAATCTGTTCTGTACTTCGTTTTTTTTCACTTAATAAATCCTGGAAATCATACTTTAGCAGTATAAATACGTTCCTCATACTTTAGCAGTATAAATATTTCCCTCATTTCTCTTTTTATGGCTTCATAATTTTCCACTATGTAGACATACTATAGCTTATTTAACCAGTTTCTTATTGATGGACGTTTGGGTTGCTTATGGTCTTTGGCTATTAAAAATAGTGCTACAGTTAATATCTTTATACATAAATTTTTTGTTTTTTTTTTACTAGGTATTTTGACCAACGTGATTTAGCTGATGAGCCATCTTGATGTAGCTGATCTCTCAGGGATAGAAGATATTTCTCATGAAGGCAGCCTAACTCTGAGGAAAACAATGCCAATTCAAGTACAGATTTCAACACATCTTCAACACTATGTGAAGGGTTCACATCTTAACCTGTGCAATTCAGATTGATACTCAGAATATGGGTTGATTTGAATATCTGAAATATCAATGGAAAATCCCACTCAGTTTTTGATGAACAGTTTGAACAGTTTTCTGTAATCAAGCAGCTTGCATAGAAATTGTATGATGAAATTTTACATAGGTTCTTGGTGCTGTTTTGTTCTTTTTTTGTTTTTTGTTGTTTTGTTATTTACTTATATACATATAAAATTTTATTGAAAATATGTTTTGGTTACTAAAATTTTGTTTGACTCCTAACAAAAGACAATGGATGGCCTTAGCATCAGAATTAAAATAATCTGGATTAAATGGCAATGTGTTCATAGTCAGCAATAAAATTAAACATTTTTCCCTTTAAGCTCAGCACTTTTTTTTTTTTTTTTTTTTTTTCTTTGAGATGGAGTCTCGCTCTGTCATCCAGGCTGGAGTGCAGTGGCAGGATCTCAGCTCACTGCAACCTCTGCCTCCCAGGTTCAAGTGATTCTCCTGCCCCAGGCTCCCGAGTAGCTGGATCTACAGGTGTCCGCCACCAAGCCTGGCTAATTTTTGTATTTTTAGTAGAAACAGGGTTTCACCATGCTGGCCAGGCTGCTCTTGAACTCCTGATCTCAGGTGATCCGCCCGCCTCAGCCTCCCAAAGTGCTGGGATTACAGGCATGAGCCACTGTGCCTGGCCTCAATATTTTTATTTTTAAATGCTTTATTGCACAAATAGAACTTTATCTAACAAATCACTTTCAAAAATAACAGGTCAACTGTTTTAATTTGTTTATGTCACTTATAACTTACCTATTTCTGTATCAGGTAGGAATGTTTTCTGCTTTAAGTAACACAAAAGATCCAAGTGGCAATGGTTCTTCAAATAGGGGTTTTTCTCAGATAACAAGAAGTCTAAAGGAGCTGGCCACTGGCATTGGTTTAGTGACTCAGTGATATCAGGGGCTCAGATTCCTTTAGCCTTTCTGTCATGGAAACAAGATGGCCATTGCAGTTCAAGCCAATGTGTCTGTATTCAAGACAAAAAGAAGGGGAAGCAGGGCCTTCCACATCTGATCCTTTTCTCATAAATGTAAAATCTTTTCTAGAAATTTAGATCAGACTTGTGTTCATCTGCTAGCCATAAATGTACAACATGATCACCCCTTGTTCCCAGGAAAGTGGGAAAATGAAGCTGTACGCCTTTCCAGTCTCACTAATGGAAGGTGGGAAAGGAAAATGGGGATTGGGAATTACCATGGATCAGACAACCAACAGTTTTGCCACCAGTTATAATTAGAGCAGAGGTCATTTTATATTTGAATCTTTTCTGTAATGTCTTCATAAAGCTCACTTTATTATTATTTTTGTTTGTTTTTGAGACGAGTCTCGCTTGGTTGCCCAGGCTGGAGTGCAGTGACGCAATCTCGGCTCACGCAACCTCCACCTCCCAGGTTCAAGTGATTCTCCCACCTCAGCCTCCTGAGCAGCTGGGACTACAGACATGCACCACCGCACCCAGCTAATTTTTTTGTGTTTTTAGTAGAGACCGGGTTTCACCATGTTGGTCAGGCTGGTTTCAAACTCCTGACTTCAAATGATCCGCCCACCTTTGCCTCCCAAAGTGTTGGGATTACAAGCATGAGCCACTGTGCCTGGCACATAAAGCTCACTATAAAACTGCAGTCCTAAGTACTTAAAAATTTCCTCATTGTTGGATATCTAGTTTTGTTTTCAGTGCTAACCTAATATAAAAAAATACTACACAGATATCTTCATGTATGCAATGTTTCTTTTCAAACTTTTTTCCTTTGATCAAAAGTTTCCTTTTCCCAAAAGTAGGCAAGCCATAAGAGTCTATCATTTAATACTGCATTTGAAAACTTGGCTAAACTGAGGTTTCTAAAATTGTTTTTGTTTCTCATATAATTCTGGTGTGAGAAGTTCAGGATGGTGCAGCAGCTTTACAATGTCTTAAATATTCTGGGCTCCATCCAGATTTCTCTTTCATCATTTGAGTATGCAGTTTTCATCTTTTTGTTTATGAAGTATGGTTTATCTCTTGCCTCACATCTACACTCCAGGGAGGGAAATGGCACCACCCCTTCTTGTCATTTATATCTGGGAGCAGAGCATTTTAAGAAACCTTCAACTCGATATCTCATTGGCCAGAATTATGACATATGACCAGCCCTAATTGTAAAGAATGCTGGAAGATGTACCTGGACACATTGCTACTCCTAACAAAAGTGGAGTTCTATTTTGAAAGGGGAGAGTGGATATTGGGTAGGCAGCCAGCAGTCTACTATAAAGGGTTTAGATTACCAACCTGTACCACAGCTAGCTGTGTTATAGCCTCACATTTTTTGCTGATATGATGCTTGGGGTGGGGGTTTGGGAAGTGGGTTGGGGATTGCTTTAATAGAAGTAAAGTGTCAATTGTTTTATATTTCTCTCATAACGTGGCTGGGCATACACTTAGGCATTCTACTCATAGAGAATAAAATTACTGAGAACTAGATAATATTAAGAAGAAGGTGGCTGGGTGCAGTGGCTCACACCTGTAATCCCAGCACTTTGGGAGGCCGAGGCGGGTGGATCACGAGGTCAAGAGTTCAAGACCAGCCTGGCCAACATGGTGAAACCCTGTCTCTACTAAAAATACAAAAATTAGCTGGGCGTGGTGGTGCGTGCCTGTAATCCCAGCTATTAAAGAGGCTGAGGCAGGAGAATTGCTTGAACCTGGGAGGTAGAGGTTGCAGTGAGCCGAGATTGCGCTGCTGCACTCCAGCCTGGGTGACAGAGCAAGACTCCATCTCAGAAAACAAACAAACAAAAAAGGCAATTTTGCATGTGCAATAGACAAGAGGTGTAAAAAATTTTGGCCGAGCATGGTGGCTCATGCCTGTAATCCCAGCGCTTTGGGAGGCCGGGGCAGATGGATCACCTGAGGTCACGAGTTTGAGACTAGCTTGGACATTTCACAACATGGTGAAACCCCATCTCTACTAAAAATACAAAAAAATTAGCCAGGCATGGTGGCAGACATGTGTAATCCCAGCTACTCAGAAGACTGAGGCAGAATCGCTTGAACCCGGGAGGCAGAGGTGGCGGTGAGGCAAGATCACGCCACTGCACTCTAGCCTGGGCAACAGAGCAAGACTCCCATCTCCCAAAAAAAAAAAAAAAAAAAATTAATGCAGTTACACCTCTACTAGCAAGCTGGAGGATCTCTAATAGTTAACCAAGAAACCATTTTTATAATGACTTACCTTGGCATAAAGCCATTTTTCAGGAGGATAGAGACAAATAGAAATAAACATTTCATTGTATTTATTTATTTTTGATATAGAGTCTTGCTCTGTTATCCAGGCTGGAGTGCAATGGTGTGATCTCAGCTCACTGCAACCTCTGCCTCCCGAGTAGCTGGGATTACAGGTGCCCATCACCATGCCGGGCTAAGTTTTGTATTTTTAGTAGAGAGAAGCTTTCGCCATGTTGTTCAGTCTGGTCTTGAACTCCTGACCTCGGGTGATCCGCCCACCTCAGCCTCCTAAAGTGCTGGTATTATAAGTGTGAGCCACTGTGCCTGGCCAGAAATAAACATTTTAAACCAGAGAAGCAGATATTTTAAACCAAAAGGTCTTTACCAGCTGCATCTGTTGACTTCCTGTAACTTCAGGGCTATCCCCCTACCCCTACCCAGCTCCCAGCCTAGGGCACTGTATTAGCACACTGCTGACAAAGAAATACCTGACAATGGGCAATTTACAAAAGAAAGAGGTTTAATTGGACTTACAGTTCCACGTGACTGGGGAAGGTCTTATAATCATGATGGAGGGCAAAAGGCACTTCCTACATGGCAGCAGCAAGAGCGAATGAGGAAGGGCTGGGCACAGTAGCTCATGCCCGTAATCCCAGGTGTGAGCCTGGGATTTGGGAGGCCAAGGCCAGTGGATCACCTGAGGTCAGGAGTTCAAGACCAGCCTGACCAACATAGTGAAGCCTCTACAAAAAGTACAAAAAAATTAGCCAGGCATAGTGGTGCATGCCTGTAATCCCATCTACTCGGGAGGCTGAGGCAGGAGAATTGCTTGAACCTGGGAGGCAGAGGTTGCGGTGAGCCAAGATCAGACCATTACACTCCAGCCTGGGTGACAAGCAAAAATCTGTCTCAAAAAAAAAAAAAAAAAAAATGAGGAAGAAGCAAAAGCAGAAACCCCTGATAAACCCATCAGATCTAACCAGCCTCCATGGTTCAATTACCTCCCCCTGGGTCCCTCCCACAACACGTGGTAATAATGGGAAATACAGTTCAGGGTGAGACTTGGGTGAGGACACAGCCAAACCATATCATTCCAATCCCCTGGCCCCTCTAAATCTCATGTCATCACATTTCAAACCAGTCATGCCTTCCCAACAGTCCCCCAAAGTCTTATTTCAGCCTTAACCCAAAAGTCCACACTCCAAAGTCCCATCTGAGACAAGGCAAGTCCCTTCCCCCATGAGCCTGTAAAATCAAAAGCAAATTAGTTACTTCTTAGATACAATGGGGGTACAGGCATTGGGTAAATAGCCATTCCAAATGGGAGAAATTGTCCAAAACAAAGGGGCTGTGGGCCCCATGCAAGTCCAAAATCCAGTGGCGCAGTCAAATCTTAAAATGATCCCCTTTCACTCCATGTCTCGCATCCAGGTCACGCTGATGCAAGAGGTGGGTTCCCATGGTCTTGGACAGCTCCACCCCTGTGGCTTTGCAGGGTACAGTACAGCCTCCCTCCTGGCTGCTTTCACAGGCTGGTGTTGAGTGCCTGTGGCTTTTCCAGGTGCATGGTGCAATGGTAGGTGAATCTACCATTCTGGGGTCTGGAGGATGGTCACCCTCTTCTCACAGCTCCACTAGATGATACCCCAGTAGGGACTCCGTGAGGGCTCCAACCCCACATTTCCCTTCCATACTACCCTAGCAGAGGTTCTCCCTGAGGGCCCCACACCTGCAGCAAACTTGCCTGGGTATCTAGATGTTTCCATACATCTTCTGAAATCTAGGTGGAGGTTCCCAAACCTCAATTCTTGACTTCTGTGCACCCACAGGCTCAACACCACATGGAAGGTGCCAAGGCTTGGGGCTTCCACCTCTAAAGCCACAGCCTGACCTGTACATTGGCCCCTTTCAGCCATGGCTGGAGCAGCTTGCACAAAAGGACCAAGCCCCTAGGCTGCACATAGCATGGGGACCCTGGGCCTTGCCCACAAAACCACTTTTTCCTCCTGGGCCTCCGGGCCTGTGATGGGAGGGGCTGCTATAAAAGTCTCAGACATGGCCTGGTGACATTTTCCCCATGGTCTTGAGGATTATCATCAGGCTCCTTGCTACTTATGCAAATTTCTGCAGCTGGCTTGAACTTCTCCCCAGAAAATGGGTTTTTCTTTTCTATCGTAGTCAGGCTGCAAATTTTCTGAAGTTTAATGCTCTGTTCCCCCTTTAAAACTGAACGACTTTAGCAGTACCCAAGTCACCTCTTGAATGCTTTGCTGCTTAGAAATTTCTTCAGCTGGCTGGGCGTGGTGGCTCACGCCTGTAATCCCAGCATTTTGGGAGGCTGAGGCAGGCAGATCATGAGGTCAGGAGATCGAGACCTTCCTGGCAAACACAGTGAAACCCCGTCTCTACTAAAAAAATACAAAAAAATTAGCTGGACATGGTGGTGGGTGCCTGTAGTCCCAGCTACTCGGGAGGCTGAGGCAGGAGAATGGCATGAACCCAGGAGGCAGAGGTTGCAGTGAGCCGAGATCGCGCCACTGCACTCCAGCCTGGGCAATAGAGTGAGACTCCGTCTCACAAAAAAAAAAAAGAAAAAGGAAAAAACAAATTTATTCAGCCAGGCCGGGTGCAGTGGCTCACGCCTGTAATCCCAGCACTTTGGGAGGCCAAGGCAAGTGGATCACTTGAGGTCAGGAGTTCAAGACCAGCCTAGCCCACATGGTGAAACCCCCGTCTCTACTAAAAAAAATACAAAAATTAACCGGGCATGGTGGTGTGTGCCTGTAATCCCAGCTACTCAGGAGGCTGAGTCAGGAGAATTGCTTGAACCTGGGAGGCGGAGGCTGCAGTGAGCTGAGATCGTGCCACTGCACTCCAGCCTGGGCGACAGAGCAAGACTCTATCGAAAAAAAAAAAAAAAAGAAGTTTCTTCAGCCAGATACCCTAAATCCTCTCTCACAAGTTCAAAGTTCCACAAATCTCTAACGCAGGGGCAAAATGCCACCAGTTTCTTTGCTAAAACACAAAAGTCACCTTTGCTCCAGTTCCCAAGGAGTTCCTCATCTCCATCTGAACCACCTCGGCCTGGATTTATTGTCCATATCGCTATCAGCATTTTGGGCAAAGCCATTCAACAAGTCTAGGAAGTTCCAAACTTTCCCACATTTTCCTGTCTTCTTCTAGCCCTTCAAACTGTTCCAATCTCTGCTTGTTACCCAGTTCCAAAGTCGCTTCCACATTTTCGGGTATCTTTTCAGCAACACCCCACTCTACTGGTACCAATTTACTGCATTAGTCCGTTCTCACACTGCTAGTAAAGACAAACCCAAGACTGGGCAATTTACAAAAGAAAGAGGTTTAATTTGACTTACACTTCCACGTGGCTGGGGAAGGTCTCACAATCATGGCAGAGGGCAAAAGGCACTTCTCATATGGCAGCAGGAAGAGAGAATGAGGAAGAAGCAAAAGTGGAAACCCCTCATAAACCCATCAGATCTCGTGAGACTTATTCACTATCACAAGAATAGCATGGGAAAGGCTGGCCTCCATGATTCAATTACCTCCCCCTTGGTCCCTCCCACAACATGTGGGAATTCTGGGAGATATAATTCAAGTTGAGATTTGGGTGGGGACACAGCCAAACCATATCAGGCACCCTGTGGAATCCCAGGACTCCAAAAAAGTCTAAAAATCACTGGTTGTTTTATCATGTTTTCCCACTCCAGATAAAAAAATCTGTATTGGGGGAATGATTATTTTAAAATCCCAAATAGGCCAGGCACAGTGGCTCACGCCTGTAATCCCAGCACTTTGGAGGGAGAGGTGGGTGGATCACCTGAAGTCAGGAGTTCAAGACCAGCCTGGCCAACATGGTGAAACCCCATCTCTACTAAAAGTACAAACAATTAGCCAGGTGTGGTGGTAGGCACCTGTAATCCCAGCTACTCAGAAGGCTGAGGCCGGAGAATTGCTTGAACCCGGGAGGCAGAGGTTGCAGTGAGCCAAGGTCATGCTATTACACTCCAGCCTGGGCAATAAGAGCGAAACTCCCTCTCAAAAAAATAAAAATAAAATAAAAATCCCAAATAATATAGAAACTTAATGTCAAAAATTCCAGAGAATTGGCCAGGCATGGTAGTTCACGCCTGTAATCCCTGCACTTTGGGAGGCCGAGGCGGACAGATCACCTGAGGTTGGGAGTTTGAGACCAGCCTGACCAACATGAAGAAACCCCGTCTCTACTAAAAATACAAAATTAGCAGGGCATGATGGCGCATGCCTGTAATCCCAGCTACTCAGGAGACTGAGACAGGAGAATTGCTTGAACCCAGGAGGCGGAGTTTGTGGTGAGCCAAGATCATGCCATTGCACTCCAGCCTGGGCAACAAGAGCGAAACTCCGTCTCAAAAAGAAAAAAAAAGTTTCAAGAGAACTACTGTATAATTTACTTTTAACTTTCAGTCTTTTTGACACTATGTATATATTCATTATATATACTTAAATATTACATTTGCAGTATCCTGTAGCAAAACTTTTTCTCTTAATATACCAGTTAACATCTTTCCATGTAAATTCATGTAAATCTATTTCATCCTTTTTAACAGCTGCACAGAATTTCCTTGAATGTTAGCATCATAATTTTTTTTTTTTTTGGGACGGCGTTTCGCTCTTGATGCCCAGGCTGGAGTGCGATGGCACAATCTTGGCTCATTGCAACCTCCCGCTCCCAGGTTCATGTGATTCTCCTGCTTCAGCCTCCCGAGTAGCTGGGATTACAGGCATGCGCCACCACGCCCGGCTAATTTTGTATTTTTAGTAGAGACAGGGTTTCTCCATGTTAGTCAGGCTGGTCTTGAACTCCTGACCTCAGGTGATCCACCCGCCTCGGCCTCCCAAAGTGCTGAGATTACAGGCATGAACCACCGTGCCTGGCCGTTAGCATCATAATTTTTTTTTTTTTTTTTTTTTTGAGATGGAGTATCACTGTCACCCAGGCTGGAGTGCAGTGGCATGATCTCGGCTCACTGCAACCTCCGCCTCCCAGGTTCAAGCAACTCTCCTGCCTCGGCCTCCCAAGTAGCTGGGACTACAGGTGTGTGCCACCACGCCCGGCTAATTTTTTTATTTTTAGTAGAGACAGGGTTTCACCATATTGGTCAGGCTGGTCTCGAACTCCTGACCTCATGTTCCACCCGCCTCGGCCTCCCAAAGTGCTAGGATTACAGGTGTGAGCCACCGCACCTGGCTGTTAGCATCATAATTTAATAAAGTACCATCAATGGACACTTAACCAAATAGTGAAAATCCTTATACATACAAGTTCTCATACTCATTTACTTAATTAGGTTAACTTTGTAGAAGTGGAATTGCTGAGTTAAATTATATGTTTTAAAGTTATACGTGCATTTTTAAAATGCAAATATGTGGCTGGGAGCCGTGGCTCCCGCCTGTATCCCAGCTCTTTGGGAGGCTGAGGCAGGTGGATCACTTGAGCCCAGGAGTTTGAGACTGGCCTGGGCAACATAGGGAGACCCATCTCTATTATTACAAAAAAATTTGCAAATATTCGCTTATGTGGTATGCACTGTAAATAATTTTCCTTTTTAAAATTGTGCTTTCTGCAATGCAAACTTTTTGTTATGTCATTTTGTTACTGTGGTTAAAAAACATGAAATCTGGCCCTAAGCCAAATTTCTGAAGCCCTCATATAAACTCTACACCCTGACCTCGTCATTGTGTACATTCACAGGTTGAACATACCCAGGGAGAAAGAAAATCCCTTATCTCGCCGGTCCCAGGCTGGAGTGCAAGGGCACTATCACAGTTCACTGGAGCTTCAACCTCCCATGCTCATGAAACCCTTCAGGCTCAAAAAATCATCTTGCCTCAGCCTCCCAAGAAACTGGGAGTACATACTTGGCTAACTTTTTTTTTATTTTAAGAGATGAGCTCTCGCCACATTTCCCAGACTGGTCTCCTGAGCTCAACCAATCCCATCTTGGCCTCCTAAAGTGCTTGGCTAACAAGTGTGAATCACTGCACCCAGCCTGCTTGGCCTGCTCTGCCATCTTGTATACTTGATTGATTGATTGATTGATTGACTGATTGAGACAGAGTCTCACTCTTGTCACCCAGGCTGGAGTGCAGTGGTGAGATCTCGGCTCACTTCAACCCCCACCTCCCAGGTCCAGCTGATTCTCCTGCCTCAGCCTCCCAAGTAGCTAGGATTACAGACACCAGCCACCACACCCGGCTAATTTTTGTATTTTTAGTAGAGACAGGGTTTCATCATATTGGCTAGGCTGGTCTCAAACTCCTGACCTCAGGTGATCCGCCCACCTCAGACTCCCAAAGTGCCGGGATTACAGATGCGAGCCACCACACCACCATATACTTTAAATCATCTCTAGGCTGGGTGCAGTGGCTCACACCTGTAATCCCAGCACTTTGGGAGGCTGAAGTGGGCGGATCACCTGAGGTCGGGAGTTTGAGACTAGCCTGACCAACATGGAGAAATCCTGTCTCTACTAAAAATACAAAAAAATTAGCCAGGTGTGGTGACGCATGCTTGTAATCCCAGCTTCTTGGGAGTCTGAGGCAGGAGAATCACTTGAACCCAGGAGGCGGAGGTTGTGGTGAGCTGAGATTGCACCATTGCACTCCAGCCTGGCCAACAGGAGCGAAACTCTGCCTTAAAAAAAAAAAAAAAAAAAAAAAAACTCTAGATTACTTATACCTGCCACATGATCAATACAGAGAGGAAAAAAATTACTTATACCAAGCACACTGTAAATGCTACGTAAATCATTGTCATACTGTAGTTTTAAAATGTGTTTTATATTGTCTTTGGTTTTCTTTTTGTTTTTTGGACATGGAGTCTTACTCTGTCACCCAGGCTGGAGTGCAGTGGCATGATCTCGGCTCACTGCAACCTCCACCTCCACGGTTCAAGTAATTCTCCTGCCTCAGCCTCCTGGGTAGCTGGGACTACAGGCATGTGCCACAACACCCAACTAATTTTTGTATTTTTAGTAGAGACAGGGTTTTGCCATGTTGGCCAGGCTCGTCTTGAACTCCTGATCTCGGGTCATCCGCCCACTCTGGCCTTCCAAAGTGTTGGGATTACAGGTGTGAGCCAGGCCTTGTCTTTGTTTTTTTTTTTTCAAATATTTCAAACCAAGGATGGTTGAATTCTTGGTTGAACCGTCAAGATAGAAAGGGCCGAGTGTATATGGCTTACAAATATTTTCTTCCATCCCTAAGTTGCCTTTTCACTGTCCTTTCTGTGCATCTTATTAGTTTGATGTAGTCCCACTTGTCTATCTCTGCATTTGTTGCCTGCTTTTGGTGTCTTACCCAAGAGATCATTGCCAAGACCAATGTTACGAAGCTTTTCCCCTATGTTTTCTGCTAGAATTGTATAGTTTCAGATTTTACTTTTAAATCTTCAATCCATTTTAAGTTGATTTCTTTTTTTTTTTGGAGACAGAGTCTCACTGTGTCGCCCAGGCTGGAGCGCAGTGGCTCCATCTTGGCTCACTGCAACCTCCGACTCCCGGGTTCAAGCAATTCTCCTGCCTCAGCCTCCCAAGTAGCTGGGACTACAGGCGCCCACCACCACACCCAGCTAATTTTTGTATTTTTTTCAGTAGAGACAGGGTTTCACTGTTTGGCCAGGCTGGTCTTGAACTCCTGACCTCATGATCTGCCCCACCTCGGCCTCCCAAAGTGCTGGGATTACAGGCTTGAGCCACCACACCCGGCCTTAAGTTGATTTCTATGTATGGCATTAAGGCAACAATCCAATTTCATTCTTTTGTATGTGGATGTCCAGTTTTCCCAACACTATTTGTTGAAGAGATTTTACTACATTTCTTTGTTTTATAGTTTTCCTTTATGATTTCCTACATTTGTGTGTTGGAAAGGCCTTCTCCACCACAAAATCACGAAAGTATTATCACATTTTCTTTAGTACTTTATTGTTTTACAAGTGAACCTTTAAGTTTCTCCCCACCTACTCCCGCAGAAAAAGGCATATTCAATTGTCCCATACTAATTTTTGAATAACCTAACTCTCCCTTTGTTTCTACTAAGAGAGGTTTCTTTTTGGCTACAAGTAACAATATACATATACCCAAAGCAAATGGAACAATATAAAGAATATCTCACATAACAAAAAGTCCAAAGGTAAAGCAGTTCCTGGATTGGTTAATTCAGAAGCACAATTCAGGTGCTTTCTATCTACATCCCACTATTCTCAGTGTGATAGCTTTCATCTCCATACTTGTCCTTTCATGGCCATCAGAAGGCTGTTGCAGATTAGCTTCAAACATCCATATCACATATCTTCACTGAGAAGCAGAAGAGGGATGCTGGCAAATCCCTAACTTGTATCAATTGTTAAGAGCAACAGAAAATTTCTTATTCAAAGCCTTCAGACTTCCTTTGTCTCGTTAGCCTAGATTCCATCAAATGATCAAGTAAGCCAATTACCATGATTGGCACAGAATCTAATCAACACTCACCCTCTCTAGGCTAGGGAAGCACCCTATTCTATAGCACAAGGCAGCCATACAGAGTTTTAGGCCAAAAAAAAAGAAAAAAAAAATGGGGCTTTGTCAGCAAGGAAGGGAGAACGAAATGGCTGATGGGTAGGCATATGAATGTCTAACAAACCAACTTATTTGAACCCAGCTTTTTCACACACACAATTCTCACACCTGTTTTATTTTGAAGTTCTCTATTGTGTTCTATTTTGATCTACTTCTGTGTCATTAGCTATTCCTGGGTCATTATGACTTTTAATAAACTTTATACATGTATATTTGGTAGGAACTTTCCTAAATTTTTTCAAAATTAAAATTTTTTCCCCAAAACATGTGAGAATTAGGATTGCAGTCATGCATTGCTTAGCAAAGGGGATACATTCTGAGAAATGCATCATCATTAGGAGATTTTAAAATTGTACAATCACAGAGTGTACTTACACAAACCTAGATGGTATGATCTACTATACACCTAAGCTATGGCCTATTGCTCCTAGGCTACAAACCTGTACAGCATATTATTGTAGTGAATACTGTAGGACACTGTAACACAATGGTAAGTACTTGCATATCTAAACATAAAGAAGGTACAGTAAAAATACAGTATTGTAATCTTATGGAACCACTGCCATATATGAGGTCTGTCACTGACTGAAACATCATTATAGGGCACATAACTAGAATTTAATAAATCAAGTTAAACAAATTATCTTTGTAATACTGTACCCTTCCATGAAAGGAAAATGGTATGCTTCTAACTTGAGTTTTCTTTAATGTCCTAAAGTACATTTTTATAGTTTTTATTTTGTGTTTTTAATATAATGTTTGGTATAGTCAATCTTCTTAATCTGCCATTTCTATGGCAGAGTACCCAGTGAAACATCTTGTTTGGTGTGTCAGTCACCCCCTGCTGCAGAGTTCCCTGTCACACAAATACATGCAAAAGGGTAATAAATAAATGGGAAACAAAGTATAGTTTTAGTAATCAACATGCAAGATTCTAACAAAAGCTGGAGATAACTGCTTATGCCAGATAATTTAAGTAAGAGAAAGTAAGTAGAAGAGGTGGTAAGAAAGATATATCAGATGAGCACTGACCCCAAACCACTAAGATGATATGGTCCAAAGAATGTCAGAATGACTAATTCAATTATCCAACTCTGCTCAGCTGGAAGAGGAAAGAAGGGAATAAAGATGTTAGATCCTTTACCAGGACTTCCATGCACGGGGAGAGAAGTTGAAAGTCAAAACTGTAACAGGAATAAATACAAAAATTCTTTCCAAACATACCTAATATTCTTTGGCCCTAGAGTCACTGAATTCACATTTAAACTAATCTATATTTCATTTTGATTACATTAATGGAGCTCTGAAGGAATGAAACCTATTAAAGAAAAATTAAATTTATAAACAATTTAGGCAGTCATATATGTATTTATATATACACACATACAATGTATATATGAAATCCTTATACAGGTGTAAACATTCTTAATAAATTATAAGCAATAAAATAAAAAAAATTTAGTATGTTTGCTTTTTAAAATAAAACAAATTCATACTTTATCAAAATTTGTTCATTCTTCTCACAAATAATTCTGTTGGTACATAATTTTCTCTCATGCTAATTCAACAAACCCTGAGCTTTGTTTCTCCATCTATGGCTAAATACATATCACTCTAACCAAATAAAAAGGTTTAAAATAAGGGCCCTGCATCTTGGTGTCTGGTTATTTGAAATCCGGTTTTCATTTTGAATAGTTTTGGTTAAGTGTATGTCATGGCAGAATGTCCCTTCATCTCCTTTGATCTGTGTTAAATTGATAAAAATACATGCTTACTCCTGTACAAACATCGAACAATGTAATTAAATCATCACTACTTGAAATACTTTTACATGAATAATTTATCTCTTTACACTGTTGAAGCCTTGCATTTCAGTATGTTCTACAGCTTCTGTATCATCACCTGAAATTTGCCTAAAAAAAAAAATACAAATAATTCTTTGATTTTAGATACAAAGAAAACAAGTCTAAACATCAATTTTCTGTTCCATATAGGAAATAGTTTCAGTCAAGAAATCTGCTATGTCAAAAACTTTTTCGCATTCTTCATAATATTCAATAAAGTCAATTCTATTTTTTCTTTTTTTTTGAGATGGAGTCTTGCTCTGTTGCCCAGGCTGGAGTGCAGTGGCACGATCTCTGCTCACTGCAACCTCCACCTCCTGGGTTCAAGTGATTCTCCTGCCTCAGCCTCCTGAGTAGCTGGGACTACAGGCGTCTGTCACCACGCCCAGCTAATTTTTGTATTTTTAGTAGAGACAGGGTTTCACCTTATTGGCCAGGCTGGTCTCAAACTCCTGACCTCATGATACGCCCACCTCGGCCTCCCAAAGTGCTGAGCTTACAGGTGTGAGGCACCACACCCGGCCAGTCAATTCTATTTTTATGGGATGATTATATGGTTTGTTGAGTAAGCACTTTTGTTTCTCTTTATGAATCCTACATTTGGGTACAGTATTTCATGGCTAATGATCATTGTAAATTGAAAAGAAATACAATAAAGCTCAAGTCCATTTTTTCTTGGTTGGTAGCTCTGGTGAAAAGATCTTTAGGGAGACATTTAGTGATAAAAGAATATTTGGTTTTACTTAGCTTGATATAATAGACATATCCTAAACAATTGTTTAAAAATAGCATTTTCGGGCCGGGCGCGGTGGTTCATGCCTGTAATCCCAGCACTTTGGGAGGCCGAGGCAGACGGATCACAAGGTCAGGAGATGGAGACCATCCTGGCTAACACGGTGAAACCCATCTCTACTAAAAATACAAAAAATTAGCTGGGCGTGGTGGCAGGCAACTGTAGTCCCAGCTACTCGGGAGGTTGAGGCAGGAGAATGGCGTGAACCCGGGAGGTGGAGCTTGCAGTGAGCCGAGATTGTGCCACTGCACTCCAGCCTGGGCAACAGAGCGAGACTCCGTCTCAAAAAAAAAAAAAAAAAAAAAAAATAGCATTTTCAATGTTCTAGGGAAATTTGCTATCTTAAAACACTGCAGGAGATATTCAGAAGAATATCTTTAAAAAAGTTACAGTTTGAATAACTTTAGAAAAGTTAAAAATCATCCCTTAAATTGTCTTATAAATTTGGATTTTAGTCCATTATTCAAAAATTACTGAAAATGAATGTAGTATGCTACATATTACTACACTAAAGTGTTACATTGATAAAACTAAAATGAAAGTTTCAGCATTTTAAATTTCCTCTCAGTTAAATTAAAAAAAAAAACAGACCTGAAAACAAATTACTAAAACATTTGTAAGAAAGGCGAATTCAACTTACAAGCAGGCATTGAAGACACTTCAGCTGTTACAATACTTTTTATTCCCAAGTTTGATAAGCCACCTCTGATTAAGCCACACGTAAATGCTAAATACTAAAAGGAAAAAAAATCATTAAAAATAGTAAGGATTTACTAAAATAGTAAAGCTATTGATAAATACAACATTACATGATTTATCATCAGTAAGTCATTCCTGTTTAAAAAAAGGATTTTGAAGAACTGTTCAAATTACTGAAAAATATTGATATATTTCCCAGCTCCCTGGAAACTAAAGCATGGACGTAGGACTTAAGACTTAAGCTCAGCCAATTAAGTACTCCAGTCCAGGACTGTGAATCTAGACTCAGTGACAAAAACAAGCCAGAAACTGATCAGAATTAGTTCTGGAGGCAGTAAAGGTAGTTTGTGTCTACAGTCCCTGCTGCCTGCAGGATTCTAAGTAGATACAGTCTGCAGAGTGACTTGGCTATCTTACTGGCTGCCTTAACCTCCCCTGGTTATTGCCTATTCTTTGAGCTTATCAATTTTGTTAGCTTACAAGCAGAATTTCTTTCCCCTATTTACAACCAAGAATCTTGACTTGTTCAAGACTTATAGCTTGCCACAACAAAGAATTATCTGGTTGAAAGTATCAACAGTTTGGACGTTGAGAAACCCTGTCATATAGAAACAAAGAAAGGGAATAGGGCTGAGCTACAAAACCAAAAGTCATGACAAGAACTGGATTGAAAAATTAGCAATTCAGGGAATTTTTGATTACCCACATCTATACTGCATGATGTTCAACATACTACATTATCTACGAATAATATAAAATATTATCTTATAAATAATATACATAAATGGGCACTAATAAGTAACTAGATCTGAGTCATGAAATTTTAAGCTGGAAGAGGCCTTAGAGATTGTTCATCCCAAGAGTTCTTAATCGGGGAATTTGTGACCCCTATGAAAATAAAAACCATGTATATGTGCGTATTTATGGGGAAAGGTGTTCCAGTTCTCAAAGATGTCCATAACTCAAAATAGTTAGAAATCACTGAATTGGTCCAACTTACTCTTTTCACAGCTGAAGAAACCAAGATCCCAAAAAGTTAAGTGAGAACCAGAAATATTAAACTAAGAAGTTAGTAAAAAAGAGAAAATATGCCAGGCATGGCCTATAATCCCAGCACTTTGGGAGGCTGTAATCCCAGCATTTTGGGTGGCTTTTGTAATCACGTCTGTAATCCCAGCACTTTGGGAGGCTGTAATCCCAGCATTTTGGGTGGCTTTTGTAATCACGTCTGTAATCCGAGCACTTTGGGAGGCTGAGGTGGGTGGATCACGAGGTCAGGAGTTTGAGACTAGCCTCGCCAACATGGTGAAACCCTGTCTCTACTAAAGATACAAAAAATTAGCCAGGCATGGTGGCGCACACCTGTAATCCCAGCTACTCAGGAGGCTGAGGCAGGAGAATCACTTGAACCCAGGAGGCAGAGGTTGCAGTGAGTCTCACACTCTGTCCGAAAAAAAAAAAAAAGAGAGAAAATATACACATTAACCATAAAAATGTAATTAGAGCCTGGATACCCCAAAAATATAGAAAATAGGCAATCAGGCCGGATGCAGTGGCTCACACCTGTAATCCCAACACACTGGGAGGCCGAGGTGAGGTGATCACTTGAGCCCAGGAGTTCAAGACGAGCCTGGGCAACATCGTGGGATCCCATCTCTAAAAAATTTTTTTAAAAATTAGCCAGGCATGGTGGCCCACACCTGCAGTCCTACCTCCTTGGGTGACTGAAGTGGGAGGATCACTTGAGCCCGGGGGGGTCAAGGTCAAGATAGGCCATGATTGTACCACTACACTCCAGCCTAGATGACAGAGCAAGACCTTGTCTTAAAAAAAAAAAAAAAGTGATCTACCATACATCTACATTTCACTGTCATTTAGTTATAGTGTTTCTTTTTTTTCTTTTTTTTTTTTTTTGAGATGGAGTTTTGCTCTTATACCCCAGGCTGGAGTGCAATGATAGCACGATCTCAGCTCACTGCAACTTCTGCCTCCCGGGTTCAAGTGATTCTCCTGCCTCAGCCTCCCGAATAGCTGGGATTGCAGGCGCTCGCCAGAACGTCCAGCTATTTTTCATATTTTTAGTAGAGAAAGGGTTTCCCCATGCTGGCCAAGCTGGTCTTGAACTCTTGACCTCAGGTAATCCACCTGCCTTGGCCTCCCAAAGTGCTGGGATTACAGGCGTGAGCCATAGCGCCCGGCCAGTGTTTCTTTAATTGGTCACTCTATGACTATTTAGCTACAGTTTAGTGTTATTGTAACATGTCTCTCATTTCATAGAAAACTCTTTAAACAAAAAAGAACACCTTAAAACATATTTTTAATTCAATAGTTTGTTATGATTAGCACTGTACTTTTCCCTGTAGTCCTACTATTAACAAAAACCCCAACTTCTATTCCATTAAATACCTTAGATGCATGTTCTAAATACTGTTTTCCTGCAGACATCTGAGTAAGCAGGCGAAATTTGTTGTCCTGAAGTACATAGATGCCCTGTTCCAAAAATAGAAAAAAAATCCAAAGTCAATGTACCTAGCAGTCCTTAAAATTATTTTATTCTTATGAAACAATTTAAGTGTTTTTTAAAGTTATTAAAAGTCTCCTTCCCATTGGCCAAGTTTTCTTTTTCTGTTCTTTGAGACGGGGTCTCCTCTGTCGCCCAGGGTAGAATGCAGTGGCACAATTACGCCTCACTGCAGCCTCCAACTCCCAGACTCAATCAATCCTCCCACCGCAGGCTCCCAAGTAGCTGGGACTACAGGCGTGCATCACCATGCCCTGCTAATTTTTATATTTCTTGTACAGATGGGGTTTCGCCATGTTGCCCAGGCTGGTCTCAAACTCCTGGGCTCAAGCAATCTGCCCACCTTGACCTCCCGAAGTGCTGGGATTACAGGCATAAGCCCACGTGCCCAGCCTGGTCAAATTTTGTTTAAATGAAGGAGTTTTGCAATGTTCAAGCTGAAGAGTTGCGAGTTCAGTATTTTCACAACACTAATGTATACCGAACGGTTTTATACACTGAAGATAAAAACACTGTCTGAGACATAGTCCCTATCCTTAAAAACTCATAGTCTAGTACGATGGAATCATTAATACATGTCCACATGAAATAAGCTGTTTGTTTGTATAGTTATTTATTTAGACATGAGCTCTCACTCTGTTGTCTAGGCTGGAGTGTGGTGGTGCAATCACAGCTCACTGCACCCTCAAACACCTGGGTGTTTAGCAATTCTCTTGCCTCAGCCTTCCGAGTAGCTGGGACCACAGACACATGCCACCACACCCGGCTAGTTTTATTAATTTTTTGTAGAAAGGGGGTCTCCCTATGTTGCCTAGGCTGGTCTGGAACTCCAGGGCTCAAGTAATCCTCCTGCCTCAGCCTCCCAAAGTGCTGAAATTACATGTATGATCACCACACCCGACCTAATTTTTATTTTTATTTATTTATTTTTTTGAGACAGAGTTTCACTCTTGTTGCCCAGGCTGGAGTGCAATGGCTCGATCTCAGCTCACCACAACCTCCGCCTCCTGGGTTCAAGTGATTCTCCTGCCTCAGCCTCCCAAGTAGCTGGGATTACAGGCATGCGCCACTACGCCCAGCTAATTTTGTATTTTTAGTAGAGACGGGGTTTCTCCATGTTGGCAGGGCTGGTCTTGAACTCCCAACCTCAGGTGATCCACCCGCCTTGGCCTCCTGAAGTGCTGGGATTATAGGCGTGAGCCACCGCACCCGGATTTATTTGTTTATTTGAGACAGAGTCTTGCTCTGTCGCCCAGGCTGGAGTGCAGTGGTGTGATCTAGGCTCACTGCAACCTCTGCCTCCCGGGTTCAAGCAATTCTCCTTCCTCAGCCTCCTGAGTGGCTGGGACTATAAGCGTGCGCCAATATGCCTGGCTAATTTTTGTATTTTTAGTAGAGACAGGGTTTCACCACGTTGGCCAGGCTGGTCTCGAACTCCTGACCTCAGGTGATCTGCCCACCTCGGCCTCCCAAAGTGCTGGGATTACAGGGGTGAGCCACCGCGCCCAGCTTTATTTTTTTAAGAGACAGAATTTTGCTGTTATCCAGGCAAAAGTGTAGTATTTCACTGTATCCTTGAACTCCTCCCATGTAGCTGAAACCTCAGGCACATACCAATATGCCTGGTGAAATTTTTTTCAAGTTTTTTGTAGAAATAGGTTCTAAGTATGTTGCTCAGGCTGGTCTCCAACTCCTGAGCTCAAGCAATCCTTCTGCCTCAGCCTCCCAAAATGCTGCAATTCTAAGCATGAGCCACCATGTCCAGCCAGCTGATATATATTAGTAAATCATGTCTAGAGAGTAAAAAAATCATAGTCATTTCTTCCTATTAGCATTTCCAGTAATTCCAAGCTAAAGTTGGTACAAAATGAATTCCAGGCCAGGCACAGTGGCTCACACCTGTAATCCCAGAACTCTGGGAGGCCAAGGCGGGAGGATCCATTGAGCCCAAGAGTTTGAGACCAGTCTGGAAAACATAGTGAGACACTGTCTCTAATTAAAAATAAATAAATAAATGAATTATCCTATTGAGAGTACCAGATACATTTAATTTTTTACTTAATCAAAATTCCAAATCTACTCTAAGTATTTCCTTGAAGTTCATAAAATAAAATCTAATGAAGCTGGGAGTGGTGGTGCATGCCTATAATCCCAGCTATGCAAGAGGCTGAGGCCAAAGAATTACTTGAGTCCAGGAGCTCAAGACTAGTCTGGGCAACAAAGCGAGACTCTGTCTCCCTTTTAAAATTTTAATAAATACATAGTTTTCTATGTAATCTATTAATTTTGTAGTAAGAAAATCTTTTAAGAGTAGAAAATATGACAGCAGTAATAATCCAGGAGTTATTTAAGAGTAAAATGCTCTATAAATTAGACTTTAGAAATGACTATAAAGAATCTCTTCCTGCCACCCAAGATGCCAAAAGGAAAGGCCAAGAGGAAGGAGGTGGCTCTGGCCCTTGGTGTCATGAAGAAACAGGAGGCCAAGAAAGTGGTGAATCCTGGTTGGGCGTGGTGGCTCACGTCTGTACTCCCAGCACATTGGGAGGCCGAGACAAGCGGATCACTTGAGGTCAGGAGTTCGAGACCAGCCTGGCCAGCATGGTGAAACCCCACCTCTACTAAAAATACAAAAATTAGCCGGAGTGGTGGCACATGCCTGTAGTCCCAGCTACCTGGGAGCCTGAGGCAGAATGGCTTGAACCCAGGAGGCGGAGGTTGTGGTGAGCCGAGATCGCACCATTGCACTCTAGCCTGGGCAACACAGCAAGACTCCATCTCAAAAAAAAAAAAAAAAAAAAGAAAGAAAGAAAGTGGTGAATCCCCTGTTTGAGAAAAGGCCTAAGAATTCTGGCATTGGACAGGACATCCACCCAATATGGACCTCACTCACTTTGTGAAATGGCCCCGCTATATCAGGTTGCAGTGGCACAAAGCCATCCTCTGTAAGCAGCTGAAAGTGCCTCCTACAATTAACCAGTTCACCCAGGCCCTGCACCGCCAAATAGCTACTTAGCTGCTTAAGCTGGCCCACAAGTACAGACCAAAGACAAAGCAAGAAAATAAGCAGAGGCTATTGGCCCGGGCTGAAAAGAAAGCTGCAGGCAAAGGGGATGTCCCCACTAAGAGACCACTTGTCCTCCGAGCAGGAGTTAACACCATCTCCACCTTGGAGGAGAACAAGAAGGCTCAGCTGGTGGTGACTGCACACTATGTGGATCCCATCGAGGTGGCTGTCTTCCTGCCTGCCTTGTGTCATAAAATGGGGGTCCCTTACCGCATTATCAAGGGGAAGGCAAGACTGGGATGTCTAATCCACAAGAAGACCCGCACCACTGTCGCCTTTACACAGATTAACTCAGAGGACAATGGAGCTTAGGTTCAGCTGGTGGAAGCTATCAGAACCAATTACGACAGACAAAACGAAATCCACTGTCACTGGGGAGGCAATGTCCTGGGTCTCAAGTCTGTGGCTTGAATTGTCAAGCAGGAAAAGGCAAAGGCTAAAGAACTTGACACCAAACTGGGTTAAACATACACTGTTGAGTTTTCTGTATATAAAAATAATTAAAATAATCCAAATTCTTCTTCTTCAAAAAAAAGAAATGACTCTAAAGACATAAAGGTGATATATTTGTGGTTCTGCATATTATTACCACTAATTAACAGTAACTAAGGAACCAAATAGTAAAAGCTATTCTCATCCTGACTTATGCTACTTTAAAAAACTTAACATAGCATATAATTGGGTGAAAGGAACAGCTATCATTACTGATAACTGTCCCTTTGTCTTTACTCAGTTCACACTATTAGAAGAAAAAAACTAATAACTCATTAATAACATAAACATATTCCAAAGTTAACCAGAAATTATTTTAGGTTTTAAATAAGTCACTAAAATACGATATTTATATCAAGTTAAAGGACTTTAAAATATAGGCCTTAATTAATTTAATTACCTGATGATTTGTCCTTAGATTGTCGATTTGTTTCTTGAATACCGTAGTCCAAAAATCTTTACAAATGAACTTCATGATATCTAACTCATCCTTGAACCTTGCAGTATCTTTTGTAAACCTAAAAAGATCAACTAGAAGTAATACAGTATTTCTCCTCCAAAAAAAGCAAGAGGGACTAATTATTAACTAATTTCCAAATGCCAGAACAGCACTGAACATTTATTGGGTTTTTTAATTTTAATTTTTTTTTTGAGACAGATTCTGGCTCTGTCGCCCAGGTTAGAGTGCAATAGCATAATCTCGGCTCATTGCAACGTCTACCTCCCTCCCAGGCTCAAGCTATCCTCCCACCTCAGCCTCCCTAGCAGCTGAGACCACAGGCACATGTCACCATGCTCAGCTAATCTGTATATCTTTGTAGAGACAGGGTTCCACTTTGTTACCCTGGCTGGTCTCAAACTCCTGAGCTCAAGAGATTCTCCCACCTTGGCCTCACAAAGTGCTGGGATTACAGGCATGAGCCACCACACCTGGCTGAACATTTATTAACACTAATAAAGTCATAAGCACCAGGTAACATGATCCTATCTCAATGGATTCACATTATGTTATATAAATTATGAGGCCTCAAATTAGTCTAACATTATAGCCAAAATTTCAGGTGCAATGCATTCTAGCACATCAAAAAACCACAAAAGAACAAAGAGCTGAGCATTATCATGACATTGTTATATAAAATATACTCCGAGTTTAACTATTCAGGTAGTGAGAAAGAAATACTAAAAAGAACTGATTTATAAGTTCAAAGATAATTACACGCATAAACATAGACTATAGTTATTTCAAACCTATGTACTTAAAAATTCTATGCAGGTTAAAGAACCTAGCAGATCTTAAGTTGAAAATGCAGTAAGATTTTAGATAGTTGCTTCAATAGCTTCAGGAATAAAGTCTAAAATAGCTTCAGGAAGAAAGTCTAAAATATATAAAATATATATTTTCTTTAAACATTAAAATAAAATTTGAATAAATGAGTTAAATGGCATTGGATCTAAAAAGAAATTTTAATTTTTGAAGTAAAGAGAATAACATTCAGGAATTAAAATTAAAATATCCCAAGTTTTATGCAATCTTTTGAAATAGATCACCTTTGTTTATAACCTACCTGCAAGAAAATTTTCAAATCCAACCTGCTCACCTTTCTATCAATCCTTGTCCCACTCGAAACCCCATGTTTTCCAGCTTAGTAATACATCGTCCGTTTTCCTATTTTAAAAAACAATAGTTTTAAATACTTTTAGAATGCTAGGATGTTAGTATTCAGAAATTGTTTTACAAGATTGGTTAAAAATATTAATGTAAACATTTATACTTTTTTCCCTGAAACAGTTTAAGAAAAAGTGAATTATAAGGTTGATTTTATTTATTTTACTTTACTTTTACTTACTTTACTTTTTACTTTTTTTTTGATAAACAAGTTAATTCATAATTTAGTCAACATATACATGATTAACCTAAAAACTTCAATAGAAGGATACATTTTTTTAATTTATTTTGAGATGGAGTCTCGCTCTGTCATCCAGGCTGCAGTACAGTGGGGCCATCTCGGCTCACTGCAACCTCCATCTACAGGGTTCAAGTGATTCTCCTGCCTCAGGTTCCTAAGTAGCTGGAATTATAAGCACCCACCACCATGCCTGGTTAATTTTTGTATTTTTAGTAGAGAAAATACAAAAATACAAAATGTTGGCCATGCTGGTCTCAAACTCCTGACCTCAAGCAATCCACCTGCCTTGGCCTCCCAAAGTGCAGGGATTACAGGCGTGAGCCACCGCGCCCAGACAGAAAGATACATTTTAAAACCACTTGGAAGGCCATCTCTATAGAAGTGATTTTCCCAGGATAGTAACCAGATGTAACCTAACCCAACACCATCTTAACTGTCAGAGGTTCAATGGGTTAAAGCTTTGTGCTCCTCCCTGACACCAAGTCTTTTAATAGAAACAAACCCCTCAAGACACGGTGGCTCATGCCTGTAATCCCAGCACTTTAGGAGGCCAAAGCAGGAGGATCACTTGAGCTCAATGGCTCAAGACCAGCCTGGGCAACATAGCAAGACCACATCTGTACTAAAAGTAAAAATAAAATAGCTGGGCATGGTAGCATGTGCCATTTTGGAGGCTGATGCAGGTGGATTGCTTGAGTCCAGGAAGTTGAGGCTGCACTGAGCCATGATCATGTCATTGCACTCCAGCCTGGGCAACAGGTTGAGCAAGGGACCCCATGAAAGAAAGAAAAGAGAAGAGAAGAGAAAGAAAAGAAAAGAAGAGGGGAGGGGAGGGGAGGGAAGGGAAGGGAAGGGAGAAAGAGAGAGAGAAAGAGACAGAAACAGAGAGAAAAGAGAAAGAAAATAATTTCACTATTGTTTTCTCTTAGAAGAGGAGAAAAATCCAACCTACTTAGGAGACCAACCACAACACAATGAAAAGTTGCACTAACTACTTCAGAATATTAGTAACAGCCGATGTTGGTAGGAATAACTGGTATTTATTCTAGAGTTCTTATAAATAAAATCCCACAGTTAGCATCTGCATTATCATCTAGAGGGTTAGTTAACACGTAGTAGAATGAGGACTTATGCAAGGTGTAATACACATAACATTTTACTACTATGAAAACAAATGCAGTCCAGTTAGGAGAAAACCAAGTGGATTCTAAGTTATACACACCTTAATGACAAGACTCCCCACCATTTGCGAATGTAAAAGAATTAATTTTTGAATGTTGACACTACAATATTTAAAATAGCTATTATAAATGCACATAATGTACTCCATGCTAGGTTTTTATTTCTTTGTTTGTTTAAGGAAACTGCAAGTTATACTGTGGTTAAGGCTTGTATCTTCACCCTTGAAAAGGCCCACATTCTATCACAGTAATGTATGGTCAGACTTAGCTCCAAATGTTAAACACTTGGATCAAGTAATAACCAGTTATATTGCAAAAGGAACCTATACACATTTATTTATCAACTCTAGTTCCTTAATAGCTACCTAACAAGTCATTAACTTACAGAAACATGCGTCATGAGAATGAAAAAATGTCACCCATCCCTTCTGCGTATTAGCAACTTGTCACTCCTGAGCAACAGTGCTTACGTCACTGAGGTCTATGAACAGTCACTTTTCACATTCATCCCAAAAGACGGAATGACTTAAGCACAAATGCAACATATTATAAATAATTTCTCCCCAAAAAGTCACAAATTAAACCAAAGTATTTTACAGAATTCATATAAAATGCCTTAAAATCTGCCTTCACTTAAGCTCGCTCACTCCGTGTCTGGCGAGCCAACTGGATGTCTTTGGGCATGAGAGCCAACTCTCTTACCGTAGATGGCACACAAATTAGCATCTTCAAACCAACCCACCAGGTACACTTCACTAGCCTCCAGGTACACTTCACTAGCCTCCTGCAGCACCCCAATGACTGTGCTCTGAAACCTAAAGTTGGTTTTGAAATCCTGGGTGATCTCTCTCACCAACCTCTAGAAAGGCAGCTTCCAGATGAGAAGCTAGGTCAATTTCTGGTAACGAGAATCTCTAGAAGTGCCACAGTCCCAGGCCCGTAGCGATGAGGTTTCTTCACCAGACCGGTAGAGGGGACACTTTTTTTCTGGCAGCGTTAATAACCTGCTGTTAGGAGGAGGGGCTCCCACCAGTGGATTTACAAGCACTTGTCTTGGCTTGGGCCATCTGCTTCTACCTAACATCAAAGTTTTAGGTCACTTCTTCAATCGCCACATTGCTTCTGCTGCCCAAGGAAAAACCGCAGTGTCCAAGCTAAGAATAGACGTTCCTCCAACAAAAGACCAAACTGCTATTTACTTATTTATTTGACAAGTCTTGCTCTGTCGCCCAGGCTGCAGTGCACTGGCGAGATCATGGTTCATTGAAGCTTTAAATTCCTGGGTTCAAGCAATCCTCCCACCTCAGTCTCCCAAGTAGCTAGGACTACAGGCACATCACCATGCCTGGCTATTTTTTTTTTTTTTAAGAGATGGGATCTCACTCTGTTACCCAGGCTGGTCTCAAAGTCCTGACCTCAAGATATCCTCCTGGCTTGGCCTCCCAAAGCTGTGGGACTACAGGTGTGAGCCACTGCACCTGGCACAAGGCAACAGGATAAACAGGGAACTACTGCTTATAATTGATTTTCAGAAATCAAATCCTCTTCCTAATTACTCCTCGTCTCCCTTTTATCCCAATTTCAATCATTCTTCTCTCCTAGGTTATAAAACCTGGTATCACCTTTGATGTTTTTCCCTGAGTCATTTGCTTTCTGCTCTAAGTTCTATTGTTCCTTGCTTCAAAATGTCTCAGAATCATCCAGGCTTCCCAGTTCTCAGTGTCTTAGCTGATTATCACACTTTGCCTTAAATCATGAGATTGCTTTGCTCTTTCTTTGACAATCTCATTCAATCTTAAGGCTTGAAATAGTACCTCTATGCTGAACACATCCAAATCCTATGGATGACTGATGGACTGTCCTCTACAATCCAGACCCCATACCTCTCTGGCTTCAACCTTCTGCAGATGCACTCTGCCCCGTCCCTTAAACATGCCAGGCACATTCCAGGGGCTTTTGCATCAACTCTTCCTCCAGATAGTCACACAACCAACTCCCTCACTTCCTTTGAGTCTACTCTCATGTCACCATCTTAGGCCCATTTTAACCATCTTCTTTAAAAGTGCAACATCATACCCCTTTGGCAACTCTCTATCCTAGTGATTTTAAAAATGTGTTGGCTGGGTGTGGTGGCTCACATCTGTAATCCCAGCATTTGGAAGGCTGAGGTGGGCGGATCACGAAGTCAGGAGATCGAGATCATCCTGGCTAACACAGTGAAACCTCATCTCTACTAAAAATACAAAAAATTAGCCGGGCATGGTGGCACATACCTGTAGTCCCAGCTACTCAAGAGGCTGAGGCAGGAGAAACGCTTGAACCCAGGAGGCAGAGATTGCAGCGAGCCGAGATCATGCCACTGCACTCCAGTCTGGGTGACAGGGCGAGACTTCATCACCAGAAAAAAAAAAAAAAAAAAGACCAGCAACATCAGCATCACATGGGAACTTGCAAATTCTCTAGTCCCACTCCCAATTTACTTAATCAGAAACTCTGGGTATGGGGCCGCTAATCAGCTTTAACAAACCTTCTAAAAATTGATTTTGATACTCAGTCCCACTTCCTTGCTTAATCTGTCTCCACAGAACTTCTTTCACCATTTAATATACCATACATTTTACTATTTTATATTGCCCATGTGCCCCTTGTTCCCCTCTCTGCTAAAATAAAGCTCCAAAAAGGCAGGGATTTTTGTATATTCTGAAGGCTGTTTGTCTCCCACTAAGGAAACCATAGGGCTTATTATTTGCTAAACTTTCTTCTAAGGAACCATGCACTCTGCTTATGGTGCTGTGACTATTAAATCTGCGTTTCTAGTACAGACTTTATTGGGCATAGACATCTAGTGGTCCCACAGGACCTTCGAAGTATGCATATTCAAATGATATTCATTTTATTAATGTCTTCAGCCTGCTCTGCCTCCAAAATTTCCTAACTTCATTAATGGCACCACCATTCACCTAGTTACTCCAACCAGAAAACTTCCATTTTCTTCACCCCTGTGCTCCCAACCCCCCATACACTGTAGTCCGGTGGAGCCTATCTTTTACAAGCTTTTCAAAATTCATCGTCTCTCTCTACCCTTACTTCTTAAGTAAAGCCTTATCATTTCTCTCCTGGTTTTTAGCTATAGCTTTCCAACTGGTCTTGTCTCATTTTTTCCTACTTTGTGTCATCTTCTATATTTCTGGTAGTGTAACTTCTACTAAAGTAAATTTCTAAAAAAAATCATGTTATTCTCGGCCGGGCATGATGGCTCACGCCTCCTAGCATTTTGGGAGGCCGAGGCAGGCGGATTACCTGAGGTCAGGAGTTCGAGACCAGCTTTACCGACACGGAAAAACCCCATCTCTACTAAAAACATAAAACATTAGCTGGGCATGGTGGCGCATGCCTGTAATCCCAGCTACTCGGGAGGCTGAGGCAGGAGAATTGCTTGAACCCAGGAGGCGGAGGTTGCAGTGAGCCAAGGTCACCCCATTGCATTCCAGCCTGGGCAATAACAGTGAAACTCTGTCTAAAAAAAAAATCATGTTATTCTCTACTGGAATTTCAGCACCTGCTCCCCTTTCTTCAAAATAAAGTCCAGGCCTGATGTAGTGACTCATGCCTGTAAATCCCAGTACATTGGGAGGCCAAGGATTGCTTGAGCTTAGGAGTTCGAGGGCAGCCTGGGCAACATAGTGAAACCTCATCTTTAAAAAAATTACAAAAATTAGGTGAACATGGTGGCATGCACCTATAGTCCCAGCTACTTGGGAGGCTGAGGTAGGAGGATGGCTTGAGTGCAGGAGGCAGAGGTTTCAGTGAGCCAATATCTAGCCACTGCACTCTAGACCGGGCAACAGAGTGAGATCCTGTCTCAAAACAAACCAACAAACAAACAAAAAATAAAGTCCAAACTCCTTAGCATGGCATCATGGTATGTCCTTTCCTTAAAGACTCCTGGCTAGTTAACCAAATTCACAAACATCCTTCCCTTTTACCACTCTGAAATTTCTGCAGCAACTCCAGAGTGCCATGTTCTCTTCTGTCTCCCTGCCTTTTTATGTGCTATTCCCTAGACTTCACATTCTTTTTTTTTTTTTTTTGAGACGGAGTCTCGCTCAGTTGCCCAGGCTGGAGTGTAGTGGCGTGATCTCGGCTCACTGCAAGCTCTGCCTCCCAGGTTCACGCCATTCTCCTGCCTCAGCCTCCTGAGTAGCTGGGACTACAGGCGACCGCCACCACGCCCGGCTAATTTTTTGTATTTTTAGTAGAGATGGGGTTTCACCATGTTAGCCAGGACGGTCTCGATCTCCTGACCTTGTGATCCGCCCGCCTCGGCCTCCCAAAGTGCTGGGTTACAAGCGTGAGCCACCGCGCCTGGCATTCACATTCTTTAAATTCTGCTCAAGTATTACATTCTCCCAGATGGCTTCCCTGAAACTTCCTTAGGCCCTATGCTGTCGTAAAATTCTGTACATACATCTATTACTGTACGTATCACTATCTTCAGTTTTTCTGCTATTCTCCACACTTCTCAAACATGCTTAGGATGAGGCCAGGCGCAGTGCTCATGCCTATAATCCCAGCACCGTAGGAGGCTGAGGCAGGAGGGTCACTTGAGACTAGGAGTCTGAGACCAGCCTGAGCAACATAGCAAGACTCTGTTTCTACAAAAAAAAATTTTTTTAATTAGCTGGACATGGTAGCATGCCCATAGCCCTAGCTATTCGAGAGGCTGATGTGGGAGGATCACTTAAGCCCAGGAGGTCAAGGCTGCAGTGAGCCAAAGTCCCAACACTGCATTTCAGCCTGCATGACAGAGCAAGACATTGTCTCTCTCTCTCTCTCTCTGTTTTTTTTTGAGACTGAGTCTTGCTCTGTCACCCAGGTTGGAGTGCAGTGACACAATCTCGGCTCAATGCAACCTCCGCCTCCTGGGTTCAAGTGATTCTTCTGCCTCAGCCTCCCGAGTAGCTGGGACTACATGCGTGCACCACCACACCCAGCTATTTTTTGTATTTTTAGTAGAGACGGAGTTTCACCATGTTGGCCAGGCTGGCCTGGAACTCCTGTCCTTGTGACCTGCCTGCCTTGGCCTCCCAAAGTGCTAGGATTACAGGCCTGAGCCACCGTGTCCAGCCTCTTTTTTTTTTTATTTAAATAGAGACACTGTTTCACTATGTTGCCCAGGTTGGTCTCCAACTCCTGGGCTCAAGTAATTCTCCCACCTCAGCCTTCCAAAGTGCTGGGATTTACAGGTGTGAGCCACCACACTAACCCAGAGACTTGTCTCTTAAAAAAAAAAAAAACAAAAAAACAAGTTCAGCTAGAATAAGTGTCTGTAAATCATGATGCTCTTTTTGGAATAATCTGCTCTCTGTAGAATCACCTAGGAACATATTTATTAGCAGGAACTATTGAAACCACCTTTGCAAAGATTGTAACAGTAAGAAAATCATGACTGTAAAAGAGATCTCACCTAATCAACTCCATCTTGCCTTTAACCTCCAAGCTGCCCTTGGTCATTTCTGGATGCAGCCCAAGCTAACTTTGGGAGAAATTTAGTTTATAGTGTAAGCTTAAAGCAAGAATGATAATAGCCCTTCCCGAAACTAAATCACCTTTGCAAAACTAATGAAAGACTATAAGGTTAGGCTTATGAGAGGGGTCTGAATTCTGCTAAAATGTAGGTAGTTAAATGATAATCAGACATTATTCTGGAAGTCACAGATTTGTAACTTCCCCAATTACTCCTGTAAATAATATCACTATTGTAGAACCTAAAAAAGGCCTTTTGAGATGTCTTTTCAGACTTTTGCATTTCGGATGACTCCAACTGGTCCTCTGGCCCCCACCTCTGTAACTGCATCCCCAACCAACCAGGAGCACCCATTCCCCAGCCCCCAGCCTACCAAACTATCCTTGATAAACCCTAGACTCTGCATGTTTGGGGAGGCTGATTTGAGCAATAATAAAACTCTGCTCTCCCATTTAGCAGCTCTACATAAACTCCTTATTGCAATTCTCCTGTCTTGATAGATCAGCTCTACCTGGGCAGTGGGGAAGAAGAACCCACTGGGCAGTTACAATATGCTTATATGCAGACACTTTCAAATCCTATGATCACATGAGCTTTTGAATTAAGCCCTACTACTTAATTTTGCTACTTGTTCATGCACTTTTGAGTAGGCACCAAATTTTTAAGAAAAATTCAACTTGAGAACATTTTATCCATTAGCCTTTCAAAATCCATTCACCATAAATTGAGAAATGCCCAATTAGTCCATTTTAAGAGAATTCCTCTTTAAGCATAGTTTGAAAAACCTTGATTTGGAGGGTTAGAACACTGTTTCTTTCTTTTATCTCACCTCAAGTCTTATGGAAGTTTATTTTGCTATACTGAAAATTTATAAAACTTTATTTCATTTAAAAAAACTTTCCATAACAAAAACAAAAAAAAAGACACATAATCCTGTCAGCGAGAAATGGATTTTATAGGTCTTTTCAGACATAAACAACATAGTTTTTACAGATCTTTTTATGTCTGAAAAAAATCTCTAAAAATCACCTCTGGATGACAGGATTATGTATCTTTTACATTTTTCATGATGAAAAATTTCAAGCACACTCAAAGTATGGACACTAATGTGAACCCTTATATACCCGTATTTCAGTATGGGTTCTGATTATGAAGACTACCACATAACTGTTATTTATATAATTTTTGCTTATTATGTACTTTCAATTTTCCCCCCCATCATAAATACACTGCAGTAGAAAAAGAAAGTTATTTTTAGCTTAAATGATTCAAAACTATGAACTTCCTTTCTCTTGTATGTTAGTCCATCTCTTAAAATTATCAGGCCTGAGTAGAACAGCTCTGTTCATTTTATTTAGGATTAACCCACGGGAAAAAAAAAAGATATTTTAAAAAGAAGAAAAAATATTATTCTAGACAAGAGTCAGAAAAGGGCCAGGCGCAGTGGCTTACGCTTGTAATCCCAGCACTTTGGGAGGCCAAGGCGGGCAGATCACCTGAGGTCAGAAGTTCAAGAACAGCCTGGTCAACAGGGTGAAACTCCGTCTCTACTAAAAATACAAAAAAATTAGTCAGGCATGGTGGCCGGCACCTGTAATTCCAGATACTCAGGAGGCTGAAGCAGGAGAATCGCTTGAACCCAAGAGGCGGAGGCTGCAGTGAGCTGAGATCACACCACTGCACTCCAGCCTGGGAGACAAGAACAAAACTCCATCTAAAAAAAAAAAAAAAGAGAGAGAGAGAAGAGGAAAGGTAAGAAGGGAGGGGAGAATGAAGAGAACTGAATACGCAAGTGGTTTGGGGGGATCGGGGGTTATGACAAAAAAGTAAAAGGGGTGTGTTAACTGTTCTAGAGGGAAAAGGAAGGCTAGCTTTGCACAAACAGTAAACCTTGAGGTCAATAATAAAGTCAGAAGTTTGTGACTTGAAAAAAATCTCTATTATAGATGGGTCATTTGAATAAGAATAGAATTCGCTTCATTTCCAATAACCTTCCAAATGTATCCTGCCTATCCTTCTTGTGCAAACTGGCAGTACCTTTTTTTGGATGTCATACAGGCACCTCAAAAGTTCAACCTGCCCCGAAATAACTCATTATCTTACCTCCTTATTTTTTTCTTCTCCTTTATTTCCTTTTCTGATTAATAGTACCACCATCCAACCCAGCTGCTCAAGCTGAAAACCTGACGATAATTTTCAACTCCCACTCCCATCCTTAAACAAGGCCTACAGAATTCCACTTTCTAACTTTCAAATCTGTTATCTCCTTTTCTCACTATCCCTGTCTTAATCCAGATCTTCATCTCCTCCTGCAGTGACTCCCGTAATAAAGGATTTTCCCCCTACAAGGATCTTCCCTCTCTAGCCCAAACACTGGATTACTTTTCTAAAATGCAAATGGTCCACATCATTCCCTTCCTTAAAAATATTCCCTCGAAAAGATCCGAATTCTTTAATTACACAAAGCTTTCTAACTTCACCTCTCAATTCTTCTCACTCTCTATTCAGTCTAGTCCAAAGAAATGCTTAAGTGTATTTAAATCCACCACTCTTTCATACCTCTACCACTTTATCTTTGCCTAGGATACATTTCCTATCCCCACTCTCCACTCATTTTTTATCAATAGCATTAAAGAAAGGGCTCCTGACTTGAGCATGACTTTGGAGTATTTCTAAAATCCGTTACAACTCCATGATTCTACCAGCCAATACTCAGTGTTAACTATTCATTAAATCACTATTCCCTAAATACTGTGAGGCAGGAGTATTATTTTATTTAATTTATCTAGCAGTGTCAGCAGTGACAGGCCCACAATGATTGAATAAGGACTCCCACATATTAGAAGTAACCGCTACATACTATCACATTTCGGATTAAATTAGATTAAAAAAAAATCTCTACAAGGATGGGGCCATTGTTTCATTCACTACTATATCCCTGGCACCTAGAAATCGCTCTGACATAAGGGCACTAAATAAATACTTTCTGAAATAATTAATTTAAATTATGTTCCCTAATTATCCTAACGCCTGCAAACTTTCCTTTGCAAACTCAACCTTCATTAGGCTTCAGGTCTCAAGTTGTGTGGAGTTGTACTGAGCATTAGGAATGAGGAAGGAGGGACAGGCTTCTCAGGTTGGCACAGGTCTGTCCAGTGCATGGCTCAAGTGCTGGAAGTGCCAGCAAAACTAAGTAGGCTCTGCAGTTAACCCTCTCGTAAATAATGGCAGGGACAACACTAAAAGTACCAAAATCTGTGGCGTGCAAGACAAACGTACGGGAATAGACAAAAGAGAATCAAATAGAAGAAGATACGAAAGAGAAAACGATGAAAGATGACGGTTCAAAGGAGACAACTGACAGGTTCTAGGGTTTAGGACACCTGGAGGTGGACCATTTTGTGTACACCTCGGGAGGCGTCGGGTGGCGATGGGACAGGGGTTGAAGGAAAGCACTGAGGGGAAACAAGGTGTGTCACCGCAAAAGGACCTCAAGGTTGTGTGGCAGCACTCACCACCTCCCCCTGCTCCGCGGACTTGTACACTCCAGACACCATCTCGTTATGGAGAAGCAAAAACAACGCCTCATCCGCCATTTCCTGCTAATTCTTCCAAGCTTCGAGTTTTGGCTCCCGTTTGAGCTGGTCTGGGGGTTCCAGCTCGCGCCTCAGCGACTTCGCCGGCGCCGCGGCTCCGTCAGGCCGCCATTCTATCCCTGTGGCTAAGAGACCGAGGTATTCACACGACTTCCCAAAGGCTGGTACTGAAATGAGTCTGGTACTGGAGAGAGCCCACACTTCGGGGCTACCAAATCCTAGGGCCGAACTAAAGTCTGACGGGAGCTCTAACCAAAGCCAACCAGCTGAGATGCGATCCGGCCGCTGGGCGGGGGCGAAAAAAACAACTTCCGGTCCCCTCTACCCCGGCATTCGGCCAGCTCTATGATCACTGAGTTCCTCTCTCCCAAGCCCGGAGAGGCCAGCGCCCAGATATGAGGAAGGTTCCCCTCTCACCACGATGTCGGGGGCAGAGCAAGATAAAATAAGACCTAAAGCTCCCGCCTGGCCCGGGCGCGGTGGCTCACGCCTGTAATCCCAGCACTTTGGGTGGCGGAGGCGGGTGGATCACATGAGGTCGGAAGTTCGAACCAGCCTGAGAAACCCCGTCTCTACTATAAGTACAAAATTAGCGGGGCCTGGTGGTGCATGCCTGTAATCCCAGCTACTCGGGAGTCTGAGGCAGGAGAATCGCTTGAACTCGGGAGGCGGAGGTTGCGGTGAGCTGAGATCGCGCCACTGCACTCCAGCCTGGGCAACAAGAGTGAAACTCCGTCTCAAAAAAAAAAAAAAAAAAAGAGCTCCCGCGGCCACCTCCTTGTTAATTAGCAATAGAAGTTAAAAAAATTCTTTTGGCTTCATCAAAAGCATCCACTTCCTGCCATATGTTCTTCAAATATGAAAAGTTGTAGAAAGAGTTTAAAATATACGTTTTCACAGTGCAAATTTTTTAAATATTGAAAAGTTATCCCAATTCCTATTGAATTAAGCCCGGGTATACAAAAAGAATTAGAGCCATTTTGACCACCAGGAATTTTCCTGTTAGTGGGGTGCAAGGGACAAGGGAAGTGGAGCAAACGAAAAACAAGATACACTTGAACCGGAAAATACAGACTAATCAGAGGATTAGGTGAAAAGTGCTATAGAATTCAGAAAAGCGATGTCACTGCAGGATGGAGTTGCTAATAATCTACAGCAGTGTGAGACAACTGTAGGAATTGTCCCACTGCATGTGCAAATAAATACACATGCTACATCATAGTATGTACATCTTAAATTTGGCAAATTCAACCGTAAGCATGTTGCTTAGCCTGTGATTAGTTCTTCCATTGGTAATTCACAAAACAAAATTTTTCCCCAATTGTCCCTGTTGTTTTCCCCCAAATTAACATACCGCAAGGTGGCTCATGCCTGTAAAATCCAGCACTTTGGGAGGCCGAGGCACGGGGGGTGGGGGGGATCACGAGGTCATGAGTTTTGAGAGCAGCCTGGCCAACATGGTGAAAACCCGTCTCCACTAAAAATACAAAAATTAGCCGGGCGTGGTGACAGGTGCCTGTAATCCCAGCTACTCGGGGGGCTGAGGCAGGAGAATCACTTGAACCTGGGAGGCAGAGGTTGCAGCGAGCAGAAATTGTGCCACTGCACTCCAGCCTGGGCGACAGAGCAAGACTTCGTCTCAAAAAACGAAACACACACACAAACTCTTCATGCCCTTTCACAGGAATTTAAGATCATGTTCCAAAATTTTAATTGTGGTAGGTTTTTTTTTTAAGCATGTCCCTTCTAATGTTTGAATCAGTTTATTCCATTCATCACGTAAATCCAGCATAAAAGCTCCACTTAAGCCTTTGAAAACACTAAATTGTGTAATTTTGAAGAGTATTTTGCCATGGTAATCTTAATTTTTCCAGCACTAAATTTTCAGTTATGCGAAATCAGGTCCTTTATGTCTAGATGACATTCTTGCCCTCATCACTACCATCAAGAAAAAGGAGTCCAAGTCCACCACACAAGTCAAAAAGTAAGTAAATGGCCAATTTATCAAAGTTGACTTCTCCAACCACAATAACATGAGGCTTTTAAAGTACGTTTCTGGATAGAAAGGAAACTTATTTAATGAGGACCTACTAACTATTGAACACAGCATCCTACTTATCCTTCTCCATAAAGTTAAATTGCCAAGGCTCCTAGGAATAGATCCTATGGAAGCAAGGACAGTGAGTGTGGTGTGTGTGTGTGTGTGTTTTGAGACAGAGTTTTGCTCTTGTTGCCCAGGCTGGAGTGCAATGGCACTATCTCAGCTCACTGCAACCCCGCCTCCCGGGTTCAAGTGATTCTCCTGCCTCAGCTTCCCGAGTAGGTGGGATTACAGGCATGCACCACCAAGCCCAGCTCATTTTGTATTTTTAGTAGAGACGGGGTTTCTCCATGTTGGTCAGGCTGATCTCGAACTCGTGACCTCAGGTGATCCGCCTGCCTCGGCCTCCCAAAGTGCTGGGATTACAGACTTGAGCCACTGTGCCCAGCTGTGTGTGTTTTGTTTTGTTTGAGACAGAGTCTCACTGTTGCCCAGGCCAGAGTGCAGTGGCATGATCTTGGCTCACTGCATGCAACCTCCACCTCCCGGGCTCAAGCAATTCTGCCTCAGCCTTCCAAGCAGCTGACACTACAGGCACTTGCCACCATGCAGGACTAATTTTGTATTTTTAGTAGAGACAGGGTTTCATCATGTTGGCCAGGCTGGTCTTGAACTCCCAATCTCAAGTGATCCGCCCACCAAGGCCTCCCAAAATCCTGGGATTACCGGGCCGACCATACATGCAAACATTCTTACACTTGCTGAATACGCTCTACTATTATCACACTCTCATGCCTCAGGTACTGCCTAAGGTTGTACACAGACCTGTAATAAGATCAATGAGGCTAAGTATGCTCACAATCAGAATTAGATAATTGTCAATCTTCATCCCCATTATTCATCTCTACATTTTTTTCTCCTATAGTACTTCCCGCTTTCTAACATGCTATACTATTTATTTATTTATTTATTTATTTTTGAGACAGAGTCTCACTGCTGCCCAGGCTAGAGTGCAGTGGTGTGATGACAGCTCACTGCAGTCTCAAACTCCTGGACTCAAACAATCATCCCGCCTCAGCCTCTCCAGTACAATTTTTAAAATTTTTATTTTTAGAGACAGGATCGTTGCTATGTTGCCCAGGCTGGTCTTAACTCCTGGGCTGTAGCGATTCTCCCACCTCAGTCTCCCAAGTATCTGGGATTACAGGCACAATCCACTGGACTTGCTCAGAGATCTTTATTGTACACTGATATACCCAAGTGCCTAGAATAGCACCTGGCACATAGTGGGCCCTCAGTATTTGTTGAACTAATGAATGATCATTGCTCCTTTGGAAGCCTACAAACCCCACAGAAGCAGGAATCACAACTATCTTGTTCTAGGCTTTATTTTCAAACCCTAGCTTACTGCTGATACACAATGGAAGCTCTAAAAGATTGCTGGATTAAAGTGGTAGCTTGAGTTAATTAATACACTGGGCCCACTAATTCTTTGTACAAGGAAGATAGATGCCTGGCTGAGATTATTTAAAGCATTGTTTCTGTGGGAAAGTGTTTTGTTTTTTTGTTTGTTTGGGACGGAGTCTCACTCTGTCGCACAGGCTAGAGTGCAGTGGTGCAATCTCGGCTCACTGCAACCTCCGCATCCCGGGCTCCCGAGTAGCTGGGATTACAGGCGTACACCACCACTCCCAGCTAATTTTTGTATTTTTAGTAAAGGCGGGGTTTCCCCATGTTGGCCAGGCTGGTCTCCAACTCCTGGCCTCAAGTGATCCACCTGCCTCAGCCTCCCTAAGTGCTGGGATTACGGGCGTGAGCCACTGTGCCTGGCCTGTGAAAAAATGTTTTCTGAGCTTCAATTTGTATATATATTTATAGAACAAAACTAGTTCCTACATTGGCAGTGCAGGTAGGGCAGAACCAGAAGCGGGACAACACACACAGACACCACTAACAACAGGGCCGCTCCCTTAGGTCTGGTCTTAACCAGCTCTAGGCCAGGTGAAGAGGCTAACTCAACCATGACTGCGTGTCTGTCTCGCCATTGCTTTCTTTTCTCTAGTATAGATGCTCAGCGTCTAATCAGAGACTGATTCTCAACTGGCGTGACCAAAGGACAGTTATATTATCTCCAGTCTCAATTTCCTTATCAGTAATAACAGGCATTTTATCCACACTTTCAGTTTGTGAGAAATAAGGCATGTAGACGGTTTCACAGAGGGTCGGGAACAAGATCAACCCCTAACAAACGTTAGCCATTATGACTAATGACTTTTACTAGTTTTCATTTTTGTCTTCCCTCTTCTCACTTTAACCTAATCAGGCTGGGCGTGGTGGCTCACGCCTGTAATCCCAGCACCCTGGGAGGTCGAGGCAGGCGAATCACCTGAGGTCAGGAGTTCGAGACCAGCCTGCCCAACATGGTGGAATCCGGTCTCTAATAATACAAAAATTAGCCAGGCGTGTTGGCGCGCGCCTGTAGTCCCAGGTACTCAGGAGGCTGAGGCAGGAGAATCGCTTGAACCCGGGAGGAGGAGGTTGCAGTGAGCCGAGATGGTGCCACTGCACTCCAGCCTGGACGACAGAGCGAGACTCCGTGTGAAAAAAAAAAAATTAACCTAATAGAGGAAAGCACGCGCCCACCCCCTCTCTGAGCATGCGCACCAACAGAATAGCCGCGCCCTTTCCTAATTAAATCATTAACCAAGGTGAGGGTAAGGAAGAAAAGGAGGCTTGGCTAAGTCCCACTCTGATGTGATCACGTTAAAACGGTGTAAGGCACATTACATCATAGGTTAAAAGGCCTAGAAAACTCCGCGCTCCCCTTGCCAGAACTGCAGACTCGCGAGCCTAAGTCTCCGAGAACTCAGGGATTGTGAAACCCGCCCCGACTCTGCGCTAGCAGCGGGATCCAGGCACCCGCAGCTAACTGGGGAGGGAGATGACTGCCTGGCTGACTTTTCATTGGCTCAGAGTCACAAAGGCTGCAGGTTCTTCCCCCTTCCGGTCGCTGAGTGGTTGAGGCCGGAAGACAACGCTCATCGTCATTGGCTGAGCCCGGCTGTCAGTCCTTTCGCGCCTCGGCGGCGCGGCATAGCCCGGCTCGGCCTGTAAAGCAGTCTCAAGCCTGCCGCAGGGAGAAGATGGCGGTCGCCGTGAGAACTTTGCAGGAACAGCTGGAAAAGGCCAAAGAGAGTCTTAAGAACGTGGATGAGAACATTCGCAAGCTCACCGGGCGGGATCCGAATGACGTGAGGTAAGGGCCTAACGGGAACTCGGAACTCGGAGCTCGGAGAGGCAGCCCTCAGGTCGGGGTGAATTGGGGGCGGGGAGGGCGGCCAGCCTTAAGAAGACTGGAACCTCGAGGCCTGTTCGCGGGGCGGCGGGTAAAACCCTGTTGTCGCCGAGGTGGAGAGGCCCCAGGTCCCCTCCGTAGAGCGCTGGTCTCAGGTCCCTGAGGAAGGAGAGCGAGGCCTGGGTGCGCCGGCATGCTTTCTTGGCCTGTGAGAAGACCCGGACTGCTGATTCCCGCTCTCGGCCCTGCAGGCCCGGAACTGCAGCACAAAGCCCCTTCCCGCTCCGGCGGACACCCGGCCCGTTGCTGGCCCCGAGACCCTGCCGGGACGCAACAAGCCGCCTTACCCCAGCTTCCTGTCCACGTGCAGCCTCCTCGGGGATGGCGGGATGGGGACCTGATCCAGGCTTGTTAATGTGTGGGGGCATCGAGGTGAATATAATTTCTGTGACACAGGTCCTGGAGAAACGAGGAAGTTAAATGAAATAGTACTTCCTGTCCTGTTTCAGACATTTAGATTTATTTGAAACTATCTTTTTGGAACTTTTGTGATTTTTTCTCCTTATGATCCACATCTCTGAAAGTATTTGGGTGCGACTGTGTGTGTCTACATATGATTTTGCACTGATTTGTAAATCTTTTACAGGCCCATCCAAGCCAGATTGCTGGCCCTTTCTGGTCCTGGTGGAGGTAGAGGACGTGGTAGTTTATTACTGAGGTAAGATTTCCTTTGGACTTTACTCATGCTGAAACTACTGGTACTTTACTAAATATGTTGGTTTGAACAAAACCTGTGATAAAATCAATAACCCAGTGTTTGTCGTCTTTGTTTTGTTTAATGTTGTAATAGACTAGATTTCTGTATAAATATAGTTATCCTGAAAAACTGGAGGTTGAAGAATATATTAAGTTTACCAATTTTGAGTGAACTTAATTCTTATAAAGTAACACTATAAAAGCATTTTGGAATGAATGCCCGTTTAAGGCTACTTTAGTTGGAAAGATTTTTGAAAGTTTAACCATATTCTCTTGTCAAATGGAAATACCATTTATCTTGTATTTCAAGTGTTTTATGTTGAACATTTTAAATTTCAGGCGTGGATTCTCAGATAGTGGAGGAGGACCCCCAGCCAAACAGAGAGACCTTGAAGGGGCAGTCAGTAGGTAGGTTTAAAAAAAGATTCCTGAAGGCTTCTTTAGTTTCTGAGGTACCACACAAATATAAATGTTTATTAACAATAATTCTGTTTCAGCAATATTAAAATTGAGTGGTATGCCACTCCCTGCCCCCCCCAAGTTCTGTTGGTATTTGACTGAACAGTTGACTATCAGTTCCCTCAAAACGCAGTTCTGCACTCATGATAACCTAAATTTTATCCAAATAAAGGTCATGTGAAGAGTAAAATTGGAAAAATTGTCAATTAGTACCATTTTTTCTGACTTGTACTTGAAAAACTTAACCAGTTTGAAATACTTAGAAAATACAGGAGAGCAAAATTGGTTTGGGCGTTAGTTCACACATTGTAGTATCCTTTCTCTGCTGGAGGAAAGAATAAAATGGGATGGAGACTTGATAGAACAAAGCTTCTGGAAACGAGTCCTAGAAGAGAGGGCATTTGCCCTTGGTGTGCAGTTACATAAATACCTCAGTGGTCATTTAAATTAATTTTTGGCCAGGCACAGTGGCTCATCCCTGTAATCCCAGCACTTTGGGAAGCCAAGACCAGCAGATCACTTGAGCCCAGGAGTTGGAGAACAGCCTAGATACATGGTGAAATCCCATCCCTACAAAAAGTACAAAAAAGTTACCCAGGCATGCTGGCTCACGCCTGTAGTCCCAGCTGCTTGGGAGGATGAGGCAGGAGGATCACTTGAGCCTGGGAGGTCGAGGCTGCAGTGAACCGTGGTGGCACCACTGCACTTCAGCCTGGGTGGTATAGTGAAACCCTGTCTCAAAAAAATTAATATTTTCTATGACAGGCTGGGCGGGGAGCGTCGGACCAGAAGAGAATCACGCCAGGAAAGCGACCCGGAGGATGATGATGTTAAAAAGGTATTGAGATTGAAAGAACTTAAATGAATGTAGTACCTTCACTTTACTACATTTAAAAGCACACCACTCATATGCTAGTTAAATTACTGAGATTTTCTTTTTCTGCAGCCAGCATTGCAGTCTTCAGTTGTAGCTACCTCCAAAGAGCGCACACGTAGAGACCTTATCCAGGATCAAAATATGGATGAAAAGGGAAAGCAAAGGTATTTCCCTGGGGGAAAAAAACTCTAGTGAAATAATGCAGTTATAAGGAAAATCAAGGGATTGTTCAAGCATCCTGTAGTATTTCTTAGAAAATGATGGGTTTAAATGAAATGGATCCTGTTGACAGTAAATTTTCTTATTCTGTTCTTTAGGAACCGGCGAATATTTGGCTTGTTGATGGGTACCCTTCAAAAATTTAAACAAGAATCCACTGTTGCTACTGAAAGGGTATTTATCCAAGTTTTGTTTTGCATCATATATTTAAGTTATCAAAGTAGTAGATTAATGTTTTTTTTAAAAAATCCTTAAAGCTCTTTTAAGACCTAACTGTAAACCTGAAACAAAGCCAAGTAAAAACTTGGTTTAACTTCTTATAGAACAGCTTTACTTAAACATTGTGTTGGAATATAACAGTTGTTGATATCATAGCTAATAGCCTTGAAATTTAGATATGTGAAAAAAAAAAGCCTCAAGTCTCCATTTCCTTAAAGACAAATTACAGTCAGTACCAAGTGCTAAGTTCTAGTTAGTTGGTATCCTGAATTGAAAATGTGAAGCGGCCAGGTGCAGTGGCTCATGCCTGTAATCCCAGCACTTTGGGAGGCTGAGGCAGGTGGATCACCTGAGGTCAGAAGTTTTTCGAGACCAGCCTGGCCAACATGGTGAAACCCTGTCTTTACTAAAAATACAAAATTAGCCGCCTGTGGTGGCATGCGCCTGTAATCCCCAGCTATTTGGGAGGCGGAGGCAAGAGAATCACTTGAACCCTGGAGGTGAGGTTGCAATGAGCCAAGATCACACTATTGTACCCCAGCCTGGGCAACAGGCGCAAAACTCCATCTCAAAAAAAGAAAAAATGTGAAGCATATGCAGATACCTTTTTTTTTTCTTTTTCTTTTTTTTTGTAGAGATGGGGTTTTATCATGTTGCCCAGGCTGGTCTGAGCTCAAAGCAATCCACCCACCTCAGCCTCCCAGAGTGCTGGGATGACAGGTGTGAGCCACTGTGCCCGGCCTGCAGATACCTTTACATAGTGAAAAAAAAAAAAAAAAAAAAAATTTTTTTTGAGATGGAGTTTGGCTCTTCTTGCTCAGGCTGGAGTGTAGTGGCGTGATCTCAGCTCACTGCAACCTCCGCCTCTGGGGTTCAAGTGATTTCTCCTGCTTCGGCCTCCCAAGTAGCTGGGATTATAGGTGCGTGCAACCACGCCCTGTTAATTTTTTTGTGTTTTTAGTAGAGATGGTGGTGTTGGCTTCTGACTTCAGATGATCTACCTGCCTCTAATGTTTCACGTAATTAGTATGTGTAATAACTTTTTATCATAATTGAACTGAAATCATATATACCTTTTGTTGTAACTATTTCAACACGTAAGTATTAAAGCAGGCTACTTAACTTTTAGCAAAAGCGGCGCCAGGAAATTGAACAAAAACTTGAAGTTCAGGCAGAAGAAGAGAGAAAGCAGGTTGAAAATGAAAGGAGAGAACTGTTTGAAGAGAGGCGTGCTAAACAGACAGAACTGCGGCTTTTGGAACAGAAAGTTGAGCTTGCGCAGCTGGTGAGTGGTAATTTGGAATTCTAAGATTGGTAATCCTTTGTGTTTACAAAAGCACTGACCCTTTACCTTTTCTTTAGCAAGAAGAATGGAATGAACATAATGCCAAAATAATTAAATATATAAGAACTAAGACAAAGCCCCATTTGTTTTATATTCCTGGAAGAATGTGTCCAGCTACCCAAAAACTAATAGAAGAGTCACAGAGAAAAATGAACGGTAAGTATGCGAAGAGGTCCATTGAATTGTTCATAGTGGGTAAGGTAATATGTTCATATGCACACGTTTGTTTTCTAAAATAATTATGATTCAGTGATTGGTTTGCTGTGTTTGCTTTTTTTTTTTAAATAAGATAATAAGATATTCTAGGCCGGGCGTGGTGGCTCACGCCTGTAATCCCAGCACTTTGGGAGGCTGAGGCAGGCAGATCATGAGGTCAGGAGATCGAGACCATCCCGGCTAACATGGTGAAACCCCGTCTCTAGTCTCTACTAAAAATACAAAAAAAATTAGCTGGGCATGGTGGTGGGCACCTGTAATTCCAGCTACTTGGCAGGCTGAGGCAGGAGAATCACTTGAACCTGGGAGGCAGAAGTTGCAGTGAGCCGAGATTACGCCACTGAACTCCAGCCTGGGCAACAGAGCTAGACTCCATCTCAAAAAAAAAAAAAAAGATACATTCTGAGATGCTGGTGAGTTTGTAGTATAGGAATATTTGTATCATGATGGAGTTTAATGTGAAAGTTATAGACAGTGCTTATGCATCTGTATTCCTTAAGCATTTGTGTAAAATTACTTTTTTTTGCATGCTATTATTGTTCTGATAAAATGCTAATAAGACAAATGTGAAAACCAACTCAGTTTCTAGATGGAAAACACATGGAAGGATAGACACTGCTAAGATGATGATTTATCTCTTTGGGATCAGAAAAATTAATATATATGATTTTATGCCAAAACTGGTTCTGTTTTACAGAAGTTTTATTTTTCATCAGACATAAAGATTGATCTGTTTTCTTCATCAGTTAGAAAATGTGTAGTTCTGTCTGCCACAATTTCTAGTATGTAGATTTCCCATGGATCTTTGCTTTTATAATTTTATGTCAGTTTGTGGTTACTTAATTGCCATAATCTTTTGTCATAACTTTACAAAAACAAATTCAGATGAAGCTTAATGACAATTTGTGACCAGTTATAAAATTATGGCTTTGAATTTTCTTAATCGGTAAATTTTACACATGTAAATTTTTATTCTTTAGCTTTATTTGAAGGTAGACGCATCGAATTTGCAGAACAAATAAATAAAATGGAGGCTAGGCCTAGAAGACAATCAATGAAGGAAAAAGAGCATCAGGTGGTGCGTAATGAAGAACAGAAGGCGGAACAAGAAGAGGGTAAGGTGGCTCAGCGAGAGGAAGAGTTGGAGGAGACAGGTAATCAGCACAATGATGTAGAAATAGAGGAAGCAGGAGAGGAAGAGGAAAAGGAAATAGCGATTGTTCATAGTGATGCAGAGAAAGAACAGGAGGAGGAAGAACAAAAACAGGAAATGGAGGTTAAGATGGAGGAGGAAACTGAGGTAAGGGAAAGTGAGAAGCAGCAGGATAGTCAGCCTGAAGAAGTTATGGATGTGCTAGAGATGGTTGAGAATGTCAAACATGTAATTGCTGACCAGGAGGTAATGGAAACTAATCGAGTTGAAAGTGTAGAACCTTCAGAAAATGAAGCTAGCAAAGAATTGGAACCAGAAATGGAATTTGAAATTGAGCCAGATAAAGAATGTAAAACCCTTTCTCCTGGGAAAGAGAATGTCAGTGCTTTAGACATGGAAAAGGAGTCTGAGGAAAAAGAAGAAAAAGAATCTGAGCCCCAACCTGAGCCTGTGGCTCAACCTCAGCCTCAGTCTCAGCCCCAGCTTCAGCTTCAATCCCAGTCCCAACCAGTACTCCAGTCCCAGCCTCCCTCTCAGCCTGAGGATTTGTCATTAGCTGTTTTACAGCCAACACCCCAAGTTACTCAGGAGCAAGGGCATTTACTACCTGAGAGGAAGGATTTTCCTGTAGAGTCTGTAAAACTCACTGAGGTACCAGTAGAGCCAGTCTTGACAGTACATCCAGAGAGCAAGAGCAAAACCAAAACTAGGAGCAGAAGTAGAGGTCGAGCTAGAAATAAAACAAGCAAGAGTAGAAGTCGAAGCAGTAGCAGTAGCAGTTCTAGTAGCAGTTCAACCAGTAGCAGCAGTGGAAGTAGTTCCAGCAGTGGAAGTAGTAGCAGTCGCAGTAGTTCCAGTAGCAGCTCCAGTACAAGTGGCAGCAGCAGCAGAGATAGTAGCAGTAGCACTAGTAGTAGTAGTGAGAGTAGAAGTCGGAGTAGGGGCCGGGGACATAATAGAGATAGAAAGCACAGAAGGAGCGTGGATCGGAAGAGAAGGGATACTTCAGGACTAGAAAGAAGTCACAAATCTTCAAAAGGTGGTAGTAGTAGAGATACAAAAGGATCAAAGGATAAGAATTCCCGGTCCGACAGAAAGAGGTCTATATCAGAGAGTAGTCGATCAGGCAAAAGATCTTCAAGAAGTGAAAGAGACCGAAAATCAGACAGGAAAGACAAAAGGCGTTAATGGAAGAAGCCAGGCTTTCTTAGCCATTCTTTGCAGCAGAAGATTTCTTGATAAAAAAGGATTACCTTTCCTTGTAAAGAGGATGCTGCCTTAAGAATTGCATGTTGTAAAAAATCTTTTTGGAAAATACAGACTGTTTGTTTACCAGACATTCTTGTACTTTTTGCATAATTTTGTAAGAGTTATTTATCAAAATTATGTGAGGTTCCAAAATATGTAAAAATGATAATAATAAAAAAAGATTAACATCCCTTGTCATCTTTTTTAAATATCCTATACTCTTCAGTAAGAATCTGTATATTTTAATAGGCAAATCTTTAAGTCTGTTCCCTTCTAATTCTGTATCATACATTGCTTTTGTAGAAATAAATGTGTGTTTATTTCATTATTTTTGGGATGTCCTCGTTGACACTTGTATAATAAATATCCTCTTTATCATTTTCAGCTTTTAACACTAGATACTGCACGTGATTAGAATGTTTTTGAAGGTTTCCTCGTTTTTATTTGCCTTGGACAGTTTTTAGTTGTCAGAGTCAGAGCTTTGCAGCTTTGAGGGGGAACAGTTCTCTTTAAAATCATTTGCTATTTTCTATTCTCCCTTGTTATTTTAATCTAAGCATTTTCCCCCGTTTCTCATATTTTAACCATATGTTCGGTAGATAACTAAACAGTATGATCTGGTTGGCATTTTCTTCCTGATGATGGGAGCGTCATTCTTTTGTCTTCATGGTTACTTGTGTGATATAACATACATCTGTTAAAGAAAATCACTTCTTTCTAGGGGAGGGAGGTAGAAAAGTATCTTTCAAACTTGGTTTTTGAGTTTGTGTCTTGTCTTAACTTTGTGTTGGCTCTAACTTAAACATGCTGATATGTGTTTTCAAGAATTTTGTTTAAGGAAGTATTGTATGGAAGTCCACAAAATGAAGGAAGTTCATCTAGGTTTTAATATGTAAGCAAGATAACACACAAGTGTACCAAGTGATTATTAACTTTGTTGTTTTACAAATTTGTATGAACTTGGAGTATCTGTTGGCCATTACTATACATGTGCAAATAAATGTGGCTTAGACTTGTGTGACTGCTTAAGACTAGTACTTGTATTAACTTTCTGATGCTTTATACAAGAGAGCACTTAAATTGCATCCTTCTTTGAGTTTAACACTGTAGCTTTAGCCTTGACTTTGAATATTCATTTTGCCTTCCCTTGACAAGTAAATGGTTACAGTGAAAATGTGAAGAAGTATTTCCAGTTAGTTTTTGTGTGTATATAACTCACTTGTGTAAGTGGATGTGTTAAAAGATCTCTTTTTAAAAATCCTTTTATTGGAGTAATTATTAAAACAGTAAATGCATAGAGCTTTGCACAGCAATCTGTATCCATGAGCCAGTTCCACCACTAGTACCTTCATCTGTGGCTTATCCAGCAAAATGTTTCATTTCCTGTGTGCCCTGGCAGGAAAGAGGTTGGTAAATAGTGAATTAAAGGGATGATCATAAAATTTAACCTGGTTAAAAAGCACCTTATTTGATGACAGTTTGTATGCACTAAAATCCTTTATACAAATTAAGTTTTGTCTACTGATTTGTACCTGGAAAATCTGAACAATATTCATGTTGCTTACAGAAAAGGCTAGTATTGGCTTGAAGCTCTACTATAGGAGGGGTAGTAATGGGGGTATAATGAATGCTTGAGGGGAAAGTAATTTTCAGTAATTTCAGTTAAGCGCTACTGATCATAGTATGTGAAAGGAATTTTTCTTATATGGAATGCTTGATGAATTTGCATGTCATCCTTGTGCAGGGGCCATTTTAATCTTTTTTTTTTTTTTTTTTTTTCTCGGAGACAGGGTCTTAGTCTGTCACCCAGGCTGGAGTGCAGTGGCACAAACAATCTGACTGCAGCCTCGACCTCCTGGGTTCAAGGGATCCTCCCACCTCAGCCTACCAAGTACCTGGGACTACAGGTGTGCACCACCATTCCCAGTTAATTTTTTATTTTTTGTAGAGACAGGATCTCACTATGTTGCCCAGGCTGGTCTCGAACTCCTGGGCTCAAGCGTTACTCCTGCCTTGGCCTCTGAAAGTGCTGGGATTACAGGCGTGAGCCACCACTCTTGGTCTGTGTTCCAATTTTAGTATGTGCTGCTGAAGTGAGCACAGGAATTTTAATAACAGATTGTACTAACATTTTTAAGTGGTATTCATTTTTAGGTTGGAAGGTTTAATTTTTTAAATATAGTATTTTAGATTTTTTTGTTTCCGATCAGTGCTTTATCCTTGAACTAAAATTTTATGGAACTTAATGTTCAGAGAACCATGGAATTGCACTTGAAGAGACACAAGGAAGAAGAATGTAAAAGTAATGACAGTTTCCCAGGGGGAAAAGACATGCAGTAGTCTTTTTTTTTTTTTTTTTTTTTGAGATGGAGTCTCGTTCTGTCACCCAGGCTGGAGTGCAGTGGTGCGATCTCGGCTCACTGCAACCTCCGCCTCCCAGCTTCATGCAATTCTGCCTCAGCCTTCCAAGTAGCTGGGATTACAGGCGCACACCACCACACCTGGCTAATTTTTTTTTTTTTTTTTTTTTTTGTATTTTTAGTAGAGTTGGGGGTTTCACTGTGTTGGCCAGACTGGTCTCGAACTCCTGACATCGTGATCCGCCTGCCTTGGCCTCCCAAAGTGCTGGGATTACAGGCATGAGCCACGGCGCCCGGCTAACACGCAGTAGTCTTCCTACTGGAGATTACAAATTAGTGTTTATGGTTGAGTGCAGTGGCCTGTAATTCCCAACACTTTGGGAGGCTGAGGTGGAAAGATTGCTTGAGCCCAGGAGCCAGAGACCAACCTCGGCAACATGGCAAAAAACTGTCTACGAAGAGAAAAACTAGCCGATTGTGGTGGCATGAGCCTGAGTCCCAGCTACTCTGGAGGCTGAGACAGGAGGATTGCTTGAGCCCAGGAGGTTGAGGTGAAGTAGCTATGATCACACTACTGCACTCCAGCCTGGGTGACAGAGTGAGACCCTGTCTAAAAAATAACAAAAAAACCCAAATAGTGTTTATGGAAAACTTAGGAGCTGAAAGGGGATAGAGATGGTGAGTTAGGACTGAAATCAGTTTAGAGCTGTATTAGGAAAGACAGGCTGGGTGCTATGGCTCACACCTGTAATCCCAGCAATTTGGGAGGCTGAGGGTAGAGGATGGATGGCTTGAAGCCAGGAGTTCAAGACTGACCTGGGCATCAGCAAGAATCTATCTCTACAAAAAATAGAAAAATTTAGCCATGTGTGTACCTGTAGTTCTAGTTACTTCGGGGGCTGAGGTGGGAGGATTGCTTGAACCCAGGAGTTTGAGGTTATAGTGAGCTTTGATGGCACCACTGCACTCCATACTGGTGACAGACTGTCTAAAAAAAAAATTGGCAGAGATGTCTAAGGGGCTATTAAGGAAACATCTTTTAAGATACCAAGGTTTGGGTAACCACCAAAATAAAGATAGTTTGAACTTCAATGAGCTGTATTTCCAATCTAGGGTCCTTCTACACACTATCTGTAGAATGATAACAATTTACATGATTACTCAGGTAATTTGGGCAAAGCAAAAGCCACCATACCAATAATGTATTGACATAAATTCAAAAGGAAAGAGAGTAGTGATTACATGGGCCAATGCTATTAGAGTCAGTCAAGATGTGGGTTTAAAGTACATAAACAAGAATTTCTTTTATGGCTAATATTGTGTAAGAATTTTTTTATGACTAGTCAAACTTTAAAATATCTTCTGAAATCCAACGACAAATCCAACCCATTTTCCCTTTTTGAGGTTAAAATGAATGTTATTAAATCACATAGCCCAGAAAATGTAGCTATGTATTTGATTCAATACCACTACTCTAGTAAGCCAGTGGGGTAGAGACTACAACTTGGTAAAAATAAACGAGGTATCTGAGAATGTTTTTCTTACGCCTGTCTTTGTCTCAGCTAGCAGGACTTTTTTTTTTTTTTCTTTTTTTAAATAGAGATGAGAGTCTTGCCCTGTTGCCCAGGCTGGTCTCGAATTCCTGAGCTTAAGCGATCCTCCCATTTTGGCCATCCTAAGTGCTAAGATTACAGGTGTGAGCTACCATGTCCAGCCAATCTTTTCAAAAAAGGAACTTAAATAATTATACTAAAAAAAATGATGATACTCAAATGCCTGCAACTCCACTTTCCATGGCCAGTTGACTACCCTATTCAAATTTGTAATAGCTGCCACTCCTTGCCATGACTGTCCCAAAATCTTTGGTGTTGGCCGGGCACGGTGGCTCATGCCTGTAATCCCAGCACTTTGGGAGGCTGAGGCGGGCCCCTGATCATGAGGTCAGGAGATCAAGACCATCCTGGTTAACATGGTGAAAACCCCGTCTCTACTGAAAATATAAAAAATTTAGCCAGGCGTGGTGGTGGGCACCTGTAGTCCCAGCTACTCGGGAGGCTGAGGCAGGAGAATGGCATGAACCCGGGAGGCGGAGCTTGCAGTGAGCCGAGATGGCACCACTGCACTCCAGCCTGGGGGACAGAGCGAGACTCCATCAAAAAAAAAAAAAATCCTTGGTGTTAAGTGGCTTGGTCTCTCTTTCCCACTTTCTTTCCTCTCTTTCAGCACATCCAAATATGTTTGAAACAATGAGCCAAGTCACATCCTGAAATTTGTCCTCGTTTTCTTCCAAATAATGGAAACAACAGTTTCTGTGACATTTTTTGTAAATATTTTGTGTGCTGTGCAGCTAAAGGGTGACCAGAGTGCTCCTTGTACATAGTAGATCTGAAAAGGAGTATGGAGGAATCAAAATTATTTGGGGCTCTTTGTCAAATTACTCAGCCTTTTTGGAGATTTCAGATACAGCCCAACCCTTTAAGAATCTTTGTTGTCTTAGTGAACTAGTGTTACCTCTTTAAATATGTTATATATCTCTTTTGATGGATGAAGAACAAAGTTATCTAGGAACTGAGATTATATAATGAAGATTAAAAAGGGCTTTTGTTTCTCTTCTAATTTCTTATTTATGTGAATTTAGTTGCCTTTCATACTCTCAGACTTCTTTTTCATCCAGATACCCCTCCCTCAAATCACAATCCTTTCGTCTAGTTTTCTGTATTAAGACCTGCCATTTGTGATGTTCTGGACTCTACATCAAACAATCCTGACCTTTCCAAAAATTTGCTTTTTGACAGCCAGCACGTTAACTATAAGGAATGATCTTTTATTGTGGAATTCAGTATCCCCTGGTGCTCCAGAGTGAAATAGGGGTGAGTGGGGAATGGGCCACAAAATAAATGCACCCTTCAAATTTAAGTTTTCTGTTAATGCCTGTTGGGCCTTTGTTCTCACAGCCCTGTGTATGTGCTTCTGTTTATAGGTACATACCCACAGAGCAGTATGTTCAAGGCTGCTGACCTTTGTGTTAGAAATGCAAAATGCTAGGCTATGCTAGGCTTGGTGTGATGGCTCACGCCTGTAATCCCAGTGCTTTGGGAGGCCGAGGCAGGCAGATCACCTGAGGTCAGGAGTTTGAGACTAGCCTGGCCAACATGGCAAAACCCTGTCTCTACAAAAATAGAAAAATTAGCCTGGTGTGGTGGCATATGCCTGTAGTCCCAGCTACTTGGGAGGCTAAGGCAGGAGAATCACTTGAACCTGGGAGGTGGAGGTTGCAGTGAGCCGAGATTGTGTCACCACACTCTAGTCTGGGCAACAGAGTGAGACTCCGTCTCAAAAAAAAAAAAAAAAAAAAAAAACCTACAAAATGCTATTTTCATGCAAATGATGTGATAATTGGGTCACCAGGGAAGGCTTTGCAGGTGAAGTGACCTGGAAGAATAAAGAAAAGCTATTTAATAGCTCTTGAGCATATGTTGTATTCTAGGTACTGTTCTCATTACTGAGTTGCAACAGTGAACAAAACAAAAGTTTCTGCCTGCATAGAGCCTACATTTGCAGGAGGGACAGAAAAGGGCCAAATGAGAGTGATAAATGTTACAGAGAGGAAGTAGGGAAGGAAGATTAGGAGTTCTGAAGTGGGATGGCTTTGCAGTTTTTGGTAGGATGGTCACAATGCCTCGCTGAGGTGATGTTTAGAGATCAGATAGGTAAAGACGCAAGCCATTTGGATATGAGGGAAGAGAATTCCAAGCAAAGGAATAACAAGACTGGTCCTTTCAATAAACAGTAAAGAGCCCTTGTGGCTGGAGCAGTGTATGCAAGGGAGGAAAATGGTAAAGTAATTCAGAGAGGTAATAGTCAATGAAAATGGCTGAGGATTTGCTACAACAGGAGAAACACAACAAGCCTATGGTCTTGAACCCAACTTGGATAAATATCGACAACCAAAATAAGTGACTGAGACCTAAGTCTTAGTCATCGAGGTTTATTGAGCTAGCTTGTGGGCATGCCCGGTGGAAAAAAAAACTTGTAAAAACTTGTTTCACGGATGTATCTGTGCCTATTTTTTTCCAAAGAGGTTCTCGGGAGGTTTAGTATTTATACATTTTCCTTTAAAAGTCTGAGGAGGGTGAGGGTGGCAGTGAGATGAATGATTACAGACTTATGAGACTTTAGTTAGTGCCCAGCAAATCTACATTTTACATAAGGTAAGGTGAACATTTGAAGAAATAGGAATAGAGGAAGCAGAGAGGTGAAGGACTGATTAATCTTGTCTTTGTTCTCTCCCTGGGGAGATAAGCTAGTAATCGACATTATCAATGTGGAGTCTTGAAAGGGCTGCTTTCTGGTTAGCCCTTGGGGAGGAAAGCCTAATGGCATTTGGTGAGGGAGTAGGTATAATGAGGCATGTTGGACCTCTCATCCCGTCATAGCTATGAACTGTTTCCCAGGTTTCTTTGGGGTCCCCTTGGCTAAGAGGGGGTCCATTCAGTTGGGGACTTAGAATTTTATTTTTATTTCTCAATATAAAACCACAACTGGCCAAGTGTGGTGAATCACATGCCTGTAATCCTAGCACTTTGAGGGGCTGAGGTGGGCAGATCACTTGAGCCCCAGGGGTTCAAGACCAGCCTGGGCAACATGGCGAAACCTGCCTCTACGAAGAATACAAAAATTAGCTGGGCATGGTGGCGGGCACCTGTAGTCCTAGCTACTCCGGAGGTGGAGGTGGGAGGATCACCTGAGCCTGGGAGGTTGAGGCTGTGGTGAGCTGTGATTGTGCCACTGCACTCCAGCCTGGGTGACAGAATGAGACCGGATCTCAAAAAAATAAGTAATTTTTAAAAAAACCACATGGGCACATCATAATAAAACTTTTGAAAACCAAATCCCAAATGTATGGGAATTTCTAATTATCTTTTTATTATCTATTTCTGGCTTAATTCCACTTTCATTAAAGAGCATTCTCTGTATAGTTTCAATCACTTAAAATTTGTTGAGAGTTGCTATTGGGCCCTGCATATGATTAAGTTTAGAAACTATAGGCATGTGGCCCTGAAAAAAAAGTTGATTCTTTAGCTATCATATGCAGTTTAGCTTGTGCCAATTAGGTCAATTTTATTACTTGTATTATTTAAATCTTTTATATCCTTACCAAGTCTTTGTGGGCTTGTTTTATCACATACCAAGGGAAGTATGTTAAAATCTTCCACTGTGATTTGTGGATTTATCTTTCTCCTTTCTTTTTTTTTTTTTGAGATGGAGCCTAGTTCTGTTCTGTCACCCAGGCTGGAGAGCAGTGGCACCATCTTGGCTCACTGCAACCTCCGCCTCCTGGGCTCAAGCTATTCTCCTGCCTAAGCCTCCCGAGTAGCTGGGATTACAGGCACCTGCCACCATGCCCAGCTAATTTTTATATTTTTAGTAGAGACGGGTTTCACTGTGTTGGCCAGACTGGCCTCGAACTCCTGACCTCGTGATCCACCCGCCTTGGCCTCCCAAAGTGCTGGGATTACAAATGTGAGCCACCACACCCGGCCTCTCCTTTCTATTTTTATTTTACATATTTTGAGGCTATTATAGTAGGTGCATATACATTTAAAATTGCTTTATCTTCCTTATGAATTAATCCTTTTGGAATTTTCAGATATCTGTATTCCAAACAAGGCTTTTGTCTTAAAGTCTACTTTGCCTGCCATTAGTATAGCTACTTAACCTTTCTTTGGGATAATGTTGGTATGGTTTATCTTTTCCTATCCTTTTACTTTCAAGCTTTCTGTAATCCTTTTATTAACAATGTGTCTTATAAGTAGGTTTAAAAAAAAATTAGGACAGCCTTTGTCTTGGCAGTCTGCTTAAGTTTATTGGCACGTTTAGGTTTAAATCTAGCATTTTACTAATTGCTTTTTTTTTTTTTTTTGAGACGGGAGTCTCATTGTCACCCAGGTTGGAGTGCAGTGGTACAATCTCAGCTCACTGCAGTCTCCACCTCCCGGGCTCAAGTGATTCTTCTGCCTCAGCCTCCTAAGTAGCTGGGACCACAGGCCTGCACCATCACACCTAGCTAATTTTTTGTATTTTTGGTAGAGACAGGGTTTCGCCATGTTGGCCAGGCTGGTCTCAAACTCCTGAGCTCAAGCGACCCAGTTAAATAGATCCATCCGCTTCTTCCTCCCAAAGGGTTGAGATTAGAGGCGTGAGCTACCGAGCCCTGGCTAATTGCCCTCAACCCCGCCTTTTTTTTTGTTTTGCCTATTTTGTGTTTTTCTTTTCTTCCTTTGAACTGGATGAATAATTATTAATCTGTTATCTCCCTCTGTTAAATTGATACTTCTGCATTCTTTTACAGTTGTTTCAGTGGTTTTCAGTTTTCCTAGAATTTACAACACACATCCATACATGATGCAAGACCCTTAGAACATTTTAGTCCATTTATGGTACTTTTTCTATGTAGTTTGTCTACTTATATTTTAAGCTTCACAATACATTATTATTGATTTATACAACATTCAGTATTTATTTATTGAATACCGCTTTTTAACATTGCTTTTCATACCTTCTTACATCTGTGGATCTTGCTCTGTTGCCCAGGCTGGAATGTAGTGGTGCAATCTCGGCTTGCTGCAGCCTCGACCTCCTGGGCTTGAGGCTCCCAAAGTGTTGGGATTACAGGCGTGAACCATCACACCCGGCCACTTATGATTTATTTATTGTAAGAACATTCAAATCCTTTCTTCTAGCTATTTGAAATATACTATGCAGCCTGGGCAACTGGGAAAAACCCCAGCTCTACAAAACACACACAAATTAGACAGGCATGGTGGCATGCACCTGTCGTCCCAACTACTCAGGAGGCTGGGGTGAGAGGATCGCTTGAGCCCAGGAAGCAGAGGTGCAGTGAGCCGAGATTGTGCCATTGCACTCCAGTCTGGGTGACAGAGTGATACCCTGTCTCAAAAAGCAAAAAACAAAACAATATGTTATTTTTAGCTATAGTCACCCTACTGTGCAATAGAGTGTCAGAACTTAGTCCTGTTTAACTGTAACATTGTACGCATTGACCAACGTTCTTCCATTTACCCCCTCCTCCTATTCTCCCCAGTCTCTGGTAACTACTATTCTATTCTCAACTTCTATGAGATCAGTTTTGTTTAGATTCAACATATGAGTGAATGAAGTCATGTGTTTTTTGTCTTTCTATTCTTGGCTTATTTCATTTAATGTAATGTTCTCCAGGCTCATCAATGTTGTTGCAGTTGACAGGATTTTATTCTCTTTTTATGCCTGAATAGTATTCCATTGCTTATACATGCCACATTTTCTTAGCCTGAAGAACATCTTTTAGAATTTCCATTAGTGTGGATCTTCTGGTGATATTATCTCAGTTTTTGTTTGTCATAAAATTACTTCACCTACCTTTCTGAAGGATATATTTGTTCAGTTTGGAGTTCTATTGGTGAGTATTTTCTTTCTGCAATTTGAATTATTGTTTTAATTATCTGTTTTCTGCATTCCATTGTTTGTGTTGAGAAGCCACATGACAGTCTCCTTTGAAGGTAATTCAAACCTTTTCCCTGAAGGGAGATGAAGGCAGGGAGTAGATGAAATACTCCAGTCCAGAAGATTTCATTAACTAATTTTATCAATTCATACAAATTCCAGAGAATAGAGGAAAAGGAATCAATTCTTAGCTCATTTAATGAGGCGTATATGACCCTGAAAGCAGGTCACAAATATATCACAAGAAAGGGAAATTTACATGGTAATCTCACATATATATGTAAAAATCTTACACAAAATATTAGAAGATTAAGTCCAGCCATATATGAAGAGGATACACAATGGTGTAATATTGAACACTTTCCCCTTGAGATTGGGAACAAAATAAGATATCCAGTATTCCTGCATGTATTCAACATTTTACTGGATGAACCATCTTAGTGCAATAAGGCAAGAAGATGAAATAGATGGGAGGAAGATTGGAAAGGAAAAATGAAAACTGTCTACGCAGAAGACCATAAAAGATTGAGACAATTTTTAAAAGAAATAGGTAGAAGAATGTACCAGGCTCAATCCTTAGAAGATTCACTATAATAAAGATGTTAATATTCATCAAGTTGTTCTTCAGATTCCATATAATTCCAGTATAGATTTCAGCAGTGTGTGTAGGAAGAGGGAGGTGAGGTATGAGAAAATGGACAAGCTGTTTCTAAAATGTGTATAGGAACAGAAAACGTAAAGAACTAAAACAATCTTGAAGAACAAAGTGAAGACTTTCTCTACCAGACAGCAAGACGTTTAGGCCAGATGCAGTGGCTCATACCTGTAATGCCTGCGCTTTGGGAAGCTGAGGCTGGAGGATCACTTGAGACCAGGAGCTCAGGACTAGCCTGGGCAACATAGCGAGACAACTTCTCTACAAAAATTAAAAAAAAAAAAAAAAAAAAGCTGGTTGTGGTGGTGCACTCCTGTATGTAGTCCCAGCTATTTGGGAGGCTGAGGTGGGAGGATCACTGGAACTTGGGAATTCAAGGCTGCAGTGAATGGTGATTGTGCCACAGTACTCCAGCCTGGGCAACAGAGCAAAACCCTGTCTCAAAACAAAACCTTATTCTTCAACATAAACAAATAAAAAGATTATTATTCCAGCTATCCCCTTTTCCTGTTACTGCAGATTTTTTCATGAAGAAGGGGGGAAATTTCAATGGAGGATTTGTTTGTTTTTTTTTTTAAGTTGTGGGTGGAGGGTGGGGGAGAAGAGAGTAGAGGATATAGTGTGGCCTTTGAAAGATTTTAATGTACTTGCCATAACTAGTGCTGTTTCAACTTGTTCTCCAAAATACCTCTTATAGAGGAAAAAATGCCCCCCAAATGGAGTAAAAGGATGAGCTCAACCACAAAACTTCTTTGTTTTTTGAAGGTTCAGGTTTTATTTAAAAATACACACAAATTTGTTTCTGCAAAGGCTCCTTTATCTCATCTTCTGCCTCTAATTTGACAAAAGTTTCCTTGGGATCTCAGAAATAATTTTAAGAAGATTTTATTTTTACATTTTACCCAGTTTTGAATGTTTTCAGTGGGATGGTTTATGTAAGTGTATAGTTTCTCATATTACTGGAAATAGAATCCAACATAATTCAACAAATATTTATTAAGTACTTATATATCAGGCTTTAGTCTAGGATTAGGGATACAGTATTGGGGAAAAAAAATTCTGCCCTCATGGGGCTTACATTCTTAACCAACATCTCTTCAAATATTGCTTGTGTCCCATTCTCTCTTTTCTCCTTGAATTCAGCTTAGACATGTTATACCTCAATCTGTTCTAAGTATTTTTTCTTTCTTTCTTTTTTTTTTTTTTTGAGACAGAGTCTCACTCGTCGCCCAGGCTGGAGTGCAGTGGCACAATCTCAGCTCACTGCAAGCTCCGCCTCCCGAGTTCACATCATTCTCCTGCCTCAGCCTCCCGAGTAGCTGGGCCTACAGGCGCCCGCCGCCACGCCTGGCTAATTTTTTGTATTTTTAGTAGAGACGAGGTTTCACCGTGTTAGCCAGGATGGTCTCAATCTCCTGACCTCGTGATCCGCCCACCTCGGCCTCCCAAAGTGCTGGGATTACAGGCGTGAGCCACCGTGCCCGACCTGTTCTAAGTATTTTTGAATCTATCTTTCACATTTTTATGTCTCTCTATTCTGAATTCTGTATAATTTCTTTATATAAATTTTCTAGTTAATTAATTTATGTCATAGAATTGCACGTGTTTCCCCTCAATGAATATTCAAACCACTGTTATTTTATTTTGTTTACATATATATGTGTACACACCTCCTCACATATGGAATCTGCCATTTAATCCCAGCACTTTGGGAGGACAAGGCGGGCAGATCACCTCAGGTCAGGAGTTTGAGACCAGCCTGGCCCACATGGTGAAACCCCATCTCTACTAAAAATAGAAAAATTAGCCAGGTGTAGTGGTGCAAGCCTGTAGCCCCAGCTACTTGGGAGGCTGAGGTGGTAGAAACACTTGACCCAGGAGGTGGAGGTTGCAGTGAGCCAAGATCATGCCACTGCACTCCAGCCTGAGCGACAGAGACCACATCTCAAAAAAAACAAAACAAAACAACAACAACAAAAAAAACCCTCCAATTAAAAATATAGAAAACTCGGCCGGGCGCGGTGGCTCACGCCTGTTATCCCAGCACTTTGGGAGGCCGAGGCGGGTGGATCACGAGGTCAGGAGATCGAGACCATCCTGGCTAACACAGTGAAACCCCGTCTCTACTAAAAATACAAAAAATTAGCCGGGCGAGGTAGCGGGCGCCTGTAGTCCCAGCTACTCGGGAGGCTGAGGCAGGAGAATGGCGTGAACCCCGGGGGGCGGAGCCTGCAGTGAGCCGAGATCGCGCCACTGCACTCCAGCCTGGGTGACAGAGAGACTCCGTCTCAAAAAAAAAAAAAAAAAAAAAAAAAAAAAAAAAAAAAAAAATATATATATATATATATATATATATATATATATATATAGAAAACTCTTTAGAAGCAAAAGTTTTGATGAGAGGTATTCTTGGAAAATGTTACACAAGCTGGGTGTACATTTCAAGTGCACAGTAGCCTCAGTGCCGCTACTACTCTTGAAGTTTTGCTTGTAGTAGATTTGGCTAGAACTATGCATTTTTCCTAGTTAACTCCAAGTTCACTGAAAATTTCATGTATCTTGTTAAAAATGTATTTTCTTTGCAAATTAATGTCTTCTCAGTTATAAGTTTAAATATGACAAAGAATAAGCAAAATAAGTCAATACAATTTGTAATTCACCTTCTAATACCATCATGTTGGGGGTTGGAATTTCAACATATGAATTTGGGAGAAACACAGATATTCAGACCATAGCAAAGTCGTAATTCATTAGTATGTAATTTTTTCAAACAGAATTCACTTTATCTCTACTTGTCATCCAGTTAAAACATTTTACTATGTAATATTTCAGACAAGAAAAAATAGCCAAAATTATAGCAAATACTTATGAACCTTATCATCTAGTGAAATAAATAAAATGTGATAAAAAATTAAAGTATCCTCTAATTTTATTTAGTGTGTTCATTTCCCTTCCCCCAACCACCCAGAGTCAATTATGTTTTCTTATGTCTTTGAGTATATTAAATCCATCACTTTATAATGTCTTTCAATAAGAGCACTTTTCTCATCTTGCCTAAATTAATTAATTACTCTCAGAGCTTAACCAAATTTTCTCCAATATTATGTGAGCTTCACCTTTACTCTCCGGCAATTTTTTTTGCGGGGGCGGAGACAGAGTTTTGCTCTGTCTCTCGGGCTGGAGTGCAATGGCAAGATCTTGGCTCACTGCAACCTCTGCCTCCTGGGTTCAAACGATTCTCCTGCCTCAGCCTCTCAAGTAGCTGGGATTTCCGCCACCACTCCTGGCCAATTTTTTTTTTTTTTGAGACGGAATCTCACTCTGTCGCCCAGTCTGGAGTGCAGTGGCGCGATCTTGGCTCACTGCAAACTCTGCCGCCCAGTTTCAAGTGATTCTCCTGGCTCAGCCTCCCAAGTAGCTGGGATTACAAGCGCCTGCCACTGCGCCTGGCTAATTTTTGAAGTTTTAATAGAGAGGGTTTCACCATCTTGGCCAGACTGGTCTTGAACTCCTGACCTCATGATCCACCCATCTCAGCCTACCAAAGTGCTGGGATTACAGGCGTGAGCCACCGCGCCCAGCCCACTCCTGGCTAATTTTTATGTTTTTAGTAGAGACGGGGGTTTCACCACGTTGGCCAGGCTGGTCTTGAACTCCTGATCTCAAGTGTTCTGCCCACCTCAGCCTCCCAAAGTGCTGGGATTACAGGCATGAGCCACCTGGCCTGGCCTACTCTCAAGCCTATTCTCAAGCAATTTTGAAACTGACCTTAAAAGCAAGTTTGAAGCAGTTATTTCTGGATATTTTATTTTAAATCGTGTATGTTTTTGCTTTAAAAAATGTTTCGGTTGGGTGTGGTGGCTCATGTCTGTAATCTCAGCACTTTGGGAGTCCAAGTCAAGCTGATCGCTTGAGTTCAGGAGTCAAGACTAGCGTGGGCAACATAGTGAAACCCTGTCTCAAAAAAAAAAAAAAAAAAATTTGCCGGGTGTGGTGGTACGCACCTAAAGTCCCAGCTACCTGGGAGGCTGAGGTAGGAGGATCGCTTGAGCCCAGAAGGTCAAGGCAGCAGTGAGCCATGATCGCACCACTGCACTCCAGCCTGGGTGACAGAGCAAGACCCTGTCTCAAAAAAATTTTTTTTCATTGTTTTGTATAAAAGAAAAACTGTAAAATAGACATTCACTTTCAATCTCATTCTCCAGAAATAACTGCCATTTATACGTTAGGGAACATTTTCCCAGACAACTCTATATTTTCAAATATATACATTTAATACATAAATACAAACACATACACACTGGTGCCTACATGTATACCTATATATATTCACAACACACATAATTTTCAAATAGAATTATCCTATGTTTGTAGTTGCAGTTTTCACTCACTGTCAAATACAACTTTATATAACAGTGACCATATACATAATGTATAATAATACATATTTTTTAGGTCTTGCTTTATCACCCAAGCTGGAGTGCAGTGGCACAGTCATAGCTCACTGCAGCCTCAAATTCCTGGGCTCAAGCAATCCTCCCACGTCAGCCTCCCAAGTAGCTGGGACTACAGACACACGATTACACCCCACCAATTTTTTTTAGAGACAGAGTCTTCTAATGTTGCCCAGGTTGGTCTCTAACTCCTGTTCTCAAGTGATGTTCCCGACTCGGCCTCCCAAAGTGCTGGGATACACGTGTGAACCACCAAACCTGGCCTGTCTCTTATTTTTAATGGCTGCAGAGTTTTTCACTGAATGATGTAGTGTACTTTAATCGATATCGCTGATGGAAAGGGATAATAGTCTTTGAAATCCATTTTTTACCTTCTTCCTTTGATTATTAGATAGTCTCCAAGCTGGAGACATGTTGCTTATGTGTACAAACTACATTTCTCATTGGCTCATTCAGCTAGGCATGGCTATCATGTGATGTGAGTGGAAGTTATGAGGAAACTTCCAGGTCAGACTCTACTTTCTTTCCCTTTTACCAACTGTAGCATGTGTTTGGTAGTGGTAAGGATGGACCACACAAAGGAGGAAAGTGGAGTAAAGTGACAGAAGGAATCTGAATGATCTTGTGAAACATACCCATCGTACCTCCTATCCTCATTGCAATTTTGTGTGAAAAATACATTTGTCGGCTGGGCGTGGTGGCTCACGCCTGTAATCCCAGCACTTTGGGAGGCCAAGGCAGACGGATCACAAGGTCAGGAGTTTGAGACCAGCCTGAGCAACATGGAGAAACCCTGACTCTACTAAAAATACAAAAATTAGCCGGGCATGGTAGCGCGCACCTGTAATCCCAGCTACTTAAGAGGTTGAGGCAGGAGAATCTCTTGAACCCGGGAGGCGGAGGTTGCAGTGAGCTGAGATCGCGCCACTGCACTCCAGCCTGGGCGACAGAGCGAGACTCCGTCTCAAAAAAAAAAAAATACATTTGTCTTGTTGAAGACAAGGTTATTTGTTCCCTTTGAAAGCAAACAGACATTCTATAACTAACAATACTTTAGAGATGGACTTCTAAGTTGTTTACAATTTTTCTTTTTTTGAGATGGAGTTTTGCTCTTGTTGCCCAGGCTGGAGTGCAATGGCGCGATCTTGGCTCACCGCAACCTCCGCCTCCCGGGTTCAAGCAATTCTCCTGCCTCAGCCTCCCCAGTAGCTGGGATCACAGGCATGTGCCACCACACTTAGCAAATTTTGTATTTTTAGTAGAGACGAGGTTTCCCCATGTTGGTCAGTTTGGTCTCGAAATCCCAACCTCAGGTGATCCGCCCACCTCGGCCTCCCAAAGTGCTGGGATTACAGGTGTGAGCCACCGTGCCGGCCTACAATTTTTCAATATTATAAGTAATTCCAGTGCATATATCTCTTCCCATGTGTAATATTATATCCTTAGAGTAAATTCATATATGTAAAATTGATGGGTCAATGAGACATTTCAAGTATATTGGAAATTTATACAAATTTATAAATTTATACTGCTACCGACTATAGAGGAGGTTGCTTTTTTTCCCCATATCCTTACCAACATGGATTTTGTCAGCTTTATTTATTTGAGGTTGAAAAGAGCAAGCTCATAAAGAAATTTTGTACTCTTCTACTTTTCTTTCTTTTTTTTTTTCTGTTTTGAGACAGAATTATGATCTTGTTGCCCAGGCTGGAGTGCAGTGGCACAGTCTCGTTCACTGCAACCTCAGCCTCCTGGGTTCAAGCAATCCTTCTGCCTCAGCCTCCCAAGTAGCTGGGATTACAGGCGCCTGTCAACACACCCAGCTAATTTTGTATTTTTAGTAGAGACAGGGTTTCACCATGTTGGCCAGGCTGGTCTTGAACTCCTGACCTCAGGTGATCCGCCTGCCTCAGTCTCCCAGAGTGCTGGGATTACAGGTGTGAGCCACTGCGCCTGGCCTTCTACATTTCATTAATAAAGAGTCAAATGTGTTTTCTAGCACATTTGTAGTTTTTTTTACATTTAACTGTTAATATATCTGAAATTTATTTAGTTGTTTAAAAAAAGATAAGAATGGCCAAGCACGGTGGCTCACGCCTATAATCCCAGCACCTTGAGAAGAGGGCGGATCACCTGAGGTTGGGAGTTTGAGACAAGCCTGACCAACATTGAGAAACCCCATCTCTACTAAAAATACAAAATTAGCCGGGCGTGGTGGTGCACGCCTGTAATCCCAGCAACTCTAGAGGCTGAGGCAGGAGAATCGCTTGAACCCAGGAGGCAGAGGTTGCAGTGAGCTGAGATCACACCATTGCACTCTAGCCTGGATGACGAGAGTGAAACTCCATCTCAAAAAAAAAAAAAAAAAAAAAAGGTCAGAATTAACTTTTTTTTTCAAGTTGCTGTTAGTTCTTCCAGTATAATTTATTGAATAATCTTTGTCTCCCTCCCTGAATTAAAATGCAACCATATAGCAAATTATCATATTTTCTTGGGTCTATTTAATTGAATGCTATATTAAATTTTTTTTTTTTTTTTTTTTTGAGACAGAGTCTTGCTTTGTCTCGCAGGCTGGAGTGCAATGGGGCGACGATCTCGGCTCACTGCAAGCTCTGCCTCCTGGGTTCATGCCATTCTCCTGCCTCAGCCTCCCGAGTAGCTGGGACTACAGGCACACGCCACCATGCCCGGCTCATTTTTTGTATTTTTAGCAGAGATGGGGTTTCACCGTGTTAGCCAGGATGGTCTCGATCTCCTGACCTCGTGATCCACCCGCCTCAGCCTCCCAAAATGCTGGGATTACAGACGTGAGCCACCACGTCCAGCCTAAAATTGTTTTATAGTAGGTTTTAATATCTGGTATGCTAAGTCCCCCCCAATATGCTTCTTTTCCAATTTTTCCAAAATATTTATTTTTATTGTTATTATTTTTTTGAGACAGAGTCTCTCTTTGTTGCCCAGGCTGGAGTGCAGTGGTGCGATCTCAGCTCACTGCAACCTCTGCCTCCTGGGTTCAAGCGATTCTCCTGCCTCAGCCTCCTGAGTAGCTGGGACTACAGGCATGCGCCACCATGCCTGGCTAATTTTTGTATTTTTAGTAGAGATGGAGTTTCACCATGTTGGTCAGGCTGGTCTCAAACTCCTGATCCTGTGATCCACCTGCCTAGGCCTCCCAAAGTGCTAGGATTACAGGCATGAGCCACCATGCCTGGCTATATATTTATTTTTAATGAAAACTTTAGAATCATTTTTCAAGTTCCCCAAAAAGTTAACATTTTCATTGCAATTATATGGCCTTTATAAATTTAGAAGTAATCAACATCTTTAGAATATTGACTCTAAACAGAAACAAGTATAACTCTGCATTTATTCTATCATCTATATTCTGCAGTAACATTTTATAGTTTTCTTCATCAGGTCTTGTACATTTTTATTAAGTTTAGCCGTAGAGTGTCTTTTGCTAAAACAAATTATTTGCTATTGTGAACAGGATTTTTTTCTTTTTATTGCATTTCCACCGATTTGTTGTTTATGTATAGGAAATTTAAAAATATTTTTCCAGTTTGCAGGAAGCTCCTTTGTCTACCTCTTGTCTACAGTGGAAACTCCTGTGACTATTTTCTAAGCCATACTTGACTGGATCACAGTTAAAGAAAAAGTGAGGCACTTCTTCAGGAAGACAAGAACATTTCTTTTGGTGGTTGGACTTATAAAATGTTGGAATAATAAGTCTGTCTTTGTCCACTCTGGCTGCTATAACAAAATACCATAAACTGGGTAGCTTATAAACAACAGAAACTTCTCACAGTTCTGGAACCTGGGAAGTCCAAGAACAAGATAAGATTAGGTGTCTGGTAAGGGCCCGCTTCCTCATAGATGGCATCTTCTTGCTGTGACCTCACATAATATAAGGGATGAGGAGTCTCTCTTGGCCCTCTTTTATAAGGTCACGAATCCACTCAAGGACCTCACTTTCTAGTACCATCACCCCTGGGGGCTAGGATTTCAACATATGAATTTGATGGGGGGGGGGTGGGACACAGATATTCAGATCATAGCAAAGTCTTAATTCATTAATATGTAATTTTTCACCTGGTGCAGTGGCTCACACCTGTAATTCCAACACTTCCAGAGACTGAGGCAGGTGGATCACTTAAGCCCAGGAGTTCAAGATCAGCCTGGGTAAAATGGCAAAACCCCATGTCTACAAAAAATACAAAAATTAGCCAGGCATGGTGGCGTACCTGTAGTCCTTCCTAAGGCAAGAAGATCACCTGAGTCCAGGAGGTGGAGGTTGCATTGAGTCATGATTGTGCCACTGCACTCCAGTCTGGAAGACAGGGCAAGGCTGTCTCAAAAAAAAAAAAAAAAGTGTGTAGCACCCCATTAATTAAAAAATGAATAAATATATAAAAAGATGTAACTTCCCTTCCTGAAACTGTTACCAAAAATGTTCTCTTGGGCCAGGCGTGGTGGCTCACACCTGTAATCCCAGCACTTTGGGAGGCCGAGGCGGGCGGATCATGAGGTCAGGAGATTGAGACCATCCTGGCTAACACGGTGAAACCCCGTCTCTACTAAAAAATACAAAAAATTAGCCGGGCGTGGCGGCGGGCGCCTGTAGTCCCAGCTACTCGGGAGGCTGAGGCAGGAGAATGGTGTGAACCCGGGAGGCGGAGCTTGCAGTGAGCTGAGATTGTGCCACTGCACTCCAGCCTGGGCGACAGAGCAAAGACTCAAAAAAAAAAAAAAAAAAAAAAAAGTTCTGTTGACTTTCCCTGTGATATCAGGCGATCTTCACAATTCAGTCCAATTCCATAACCTTAAAAAACATGTTTATTGTTTGATTTTTTAAAATTTTATTTTATGAGATAGGATCTTGCTCAATCTCCCAGGCTGGAGTGCAGTGGCAGGATCACAGATCACTACAGCCTCAACATCCTGGCTCAGCCTTCCAAGTACCTGGGACTACAGCTGCATGTCACCGCGCCCAGCTAATTTTATTTTATTTTTTGTAGAGACAGGGATCTCACCATGTTGCTCAGGCTGGTCTCGAACTCCTGAGCTCAAGTGATCCTCCTGCCTTGGCCTTCCAAAGTGCTGGGACTACAGACATGAACCACCACACCTGGCCAAAAAACATGTTTATTGTTAAAAGTTTTAAACACACGAAGGTAGAAAGAATGTTATAATGAACCTCTATGTACCTATCACTCAGCTTTAACAATTATCAACTTATTGCTATTTTTGTTTCAACACTCCACATATTCCTTACCACACACACACCCTTAGTCTCTGCCACTTGAATCATTTCCAAAACTTTTTGATGGCCTAGGTTTCCTTGCCCACTGGGGCGACTAGCCTCTTTCCACAATGTCTATTTGATCATGAGGACAGTCACATATTACTATGCCATGCAGTAGGAAGACATTGGTCCCACCACTCCTTTCTTTTTTGTTCATTTCTTTCTCTACTGAGTGGCAGCAAGCCTGAGGCGTTACATATTGTGCTACTTTTTGGTTTAGCAATCTATAGATGACACTATGAACAGATCCCTTGGTAGATGGGTTAACTTGAACACCTCCTAGTTAAATAGCAAGGGGGAGGGGACAAACTGAATGCCAAACATCCCCATTCCCATCACCGCACATCAGAAGAGAAGGGAGAAGAGATGATTGACACTACTATGAGCTCTGTGTGCTACCTCCCACCTCCAATATTTAGATTTACAGAAGGCTTGCAAAGAGATTATTGGACTCAAAGATGTCGGTTTTCTGAAAATAGAATATAAAAGTACTCAGTGCCATTTTTGTTCTCAGCTGTTAAGTTCTGTTAGGAAATACATGGAAGACAAGAAAGATACTGCTTGACACATCTATCACCATGTTACACATATAAACTCAAGAAATGTAGGAAATGGCTCCATTGCTGCACTGCTGTTCTGCCTTGCGAGAGAACTCTGGCACAGGCTGCGGGTCCAGAGGCCTGGCTCTGCTTGAAGTAGCTCCCCCTTGCCCTATTTCACTCTGCAGGGCCACTAAGGCCCTGGGACACTGCGAGTGCTAAAGCTACAGACTGTTTGGTTGCAATGTGGTGTCCCTCAGGCGTATAGATTCTTTTTTTTTTTTGGAGGTGAAGTTTTGCTTTTGTTGCTCAGGCTGGAACACAATGGCACGATCTCAGCTCACTGCAACCTCTGCCTCCTGGGTTCAAGTGATTCTCCTGTCTCAGACTCCCAAGTAGCTGGGATTACAGGTGTCTGCCACCACGCCCAGCTAATTTTTGTATATTTAGTAGAGACGGGGTTTCACTATGTTGACCAGGCTGGTCTTGAACTCCTGACCCCAGGTGATCCACCCGCCTCGGTCTCCCAAAGTGCTAGGATTGCTGGCGTAAGCCACTGCGCCTGGCCTAGACTCTCTTTTTAAAGATTAACTGGAGATCATCATGGCGGATGGGAGGCAGAACTAGACTGCAGCTCTGACTCTGATGGACAGAGCAGTGTGTGGAGGCTCACGTCATGAATTTTAGCTTCAGATCAACTGCAATAACAGACCACCAATCCTGAGAGGACCCACAGACCCTCTGAGGGAAGCAGACTGCTCCTGCAGGACCTTGGAGACACCCCAAATATTGTGAGAGCCCCAATTGCGGAAGTGGGAAAGCGAGATCCTCCTCTCCCGAACACACACCCCCTCTGGAGAAACTGAAGGACTGTTTGCAGGAGAAGTTTTTGATCTTACCTGGAGCTGATTCAATTTAGACAGCCCAACAAAATACAGGTGTAGAGGAAGCAGTAGGAAAGGCCCTGGGAACTTGCTGGGTCCCCAGCAGGCCATTCCTGCCTGGCACCACAGGGATCTATCAGGAGAGTGGGCAGAAGAGTGAGGGAAAACACCACAGGGAGAAGGAAATCTCCAGCTGAACTTTGTGACAATTTGAACCTGGTGAGAAGCCTCCTGGCCAGAACTCAGGGGAGGATGCATATCAGTGTGCAGACTCCACAGACTGGGGTAGAACTAAAGCCCTTTTATGTTGCAGCTGGGAGGAGGGTAGCCTGGGGCAAGTTCTCAAGCCCAGCCCACCCACTGTCCAGAAACAGACTTGACGCTGTCAGGGGGTGCATGGTGGGTGTGGGACCAGCTCTTTAGTTTGTGTGGGAGGTGGATGAGGCCTGTGACTGCCAGCTTTCCCCCACTTCCCTGACAACCTGCATGACTCAGCAGAGGCATCTATAATCCTCCTAGGTACACAACTCCATTGACCTGGGAACCTTACCCCATCCCCCACAGCAGCCACAGCAAGACCCGCCCAAGGATAGTCTGAGCTCAGACATGCCTAGCCCTGCCCCCACCTGATGGGCCTTCCTTATCCACTCTGGTAGCTGAAGACAAAGGGCATATAATCTTGGGACTTCAAGGGCCCCACCCACCACTGGTTCCTCTCCATACTACCATAGTTGATGCTCTCTGGAAAGCATCACCTCCCAGCAGGAGGCCAACTAGCACAAAAATAGAGCATTTAAACCACCAAAGCTAAGAACCCTCACAGAGCCCATTGCGCTCCCCTGCCACCTCCACCAGAACAGGTGCTGGTATCCATGTCTGAGAGATCCATAGACAGTTCACATCACAGGGCTCTGTGCAGACAACTCCCAGTACCAGCCCAGAGCTGGGTAGACGTGCTGGGTGGCTCGATCCAGAAGAAAGACAACAATCACTGCAGTCTGGCTCACAGGAAGCCACATCCATAGGAAAAGGGAAGACTCAAGGGACAAAAGAATCTGAACAACAGCCTTCAGCCTTAGACCCTCCCTCTGATAGAGCCTATCCAAATGAGAAGGAACCAGAAAACCAACTCTGGTAATATGACAAAAAAAGGCTCTGTAACACCCCCCAAATAATCACAGTAGCTCACCAGCAGTAGAACCAAACCAAGAAGAGATCCCCGATTTACCTGAAAAAGAATACAGGAGGTTAGTTATTAAGCTAATCAGGGAGGCACCAGAGAATGGTGAAGCCCAGCACAAAGAAATCCAAAAAACAATACAAGAAGTGAAGAGAGAAATATTCAGGAAAATAGATAGCATAAAGAAAAAACAATCAAAACTTCAGGAAACACTGGACACACTTATAGAAATGCAAAATGCTCTGGAAAGTCTCAGCAGTAGAATTGAACAAGTAGAAGAAAGAAATTCAGAGCTCGAAGACAAGGTCTAACAAAGACAAAGAAAAAAGAATAAGAAAATATGAGTCTGGGCAGGGTGGCTCACGCCTGTAATGCCAGCACTTTGGGAGGCTGAGGCGGGCGGATCACGAGGTCAGGAGATTGAGACCAGCCTTGCCAACAGGGTGAAACCCCATCTCTACTAAAGACACAAAAATTAGCTGAGTGTGGTGGTGCCTGCCTGTAATCCCAGCTACTCAGGAGGCTGAGGCAGGAGAATCGTTTGAACAAGGGTGTCGGAGGTTGCAGTGAGCCGAGATGGTGCCATTGCACTCCAGCCTGGCGACAGAGCGAGACTCCATCTAAAAAAAAAAGAAAGAAAGAAAATATGAACAAAGCCTCCAAGAAGCCTGGGATTGTGTTAAATTACCAAACCTAAGAATAATTGGTGTTTTGAGACTAGCCTGGCCAACATGGTGAAACCCTGTCTCTACTAAAAGTACAAAAAATTAGCCGGGCATGGTGGCATGTGCCTGTAGTCCCCGCTACTCAGGAGGCTAAGGTAGGAGGATCGCTTGAACCCAGGAGGCAGAGGTTGCAGTGAGCTGAGATTGTGCCACTGCACACCAGCCTGGGCAACAGAGTGAGACTCTGTCTCAAAAAAAAAAAAAAGAAAAAGAAAAAAAAAGGAATAATCAGTGTTCCTGAAAAAGAGAATTCTAAAAGCTTGGAAAACATATTTGGGGGAATAATTGAGGAAAAGTTCCCCAAACTTGCTAGAGACCTAGACATCCAAAAACAAGAAGCACAAAGAACACCTAAGAAATTCATCACAAAAAGGTCATCACCTAGGCACATTGTCATCAGGTTGTCATCAGGTTATCTAGAGTTAAGATGAAGGAAAGAATCTTAAAAGCTGTGATACAGAAGCACCTATAAAGGAAAACCTATCAGATTCACAGCAGATTTCTCAGCAGAAACCCTACAAACTAGAAGGGTGTGGGGCCCTATCTTCAGCCTCCTCAAACAAAACAATTATCAGCCAAGCATTTTGTAACTAGCAAAACTAAGCATTGCATATGATAGAAGGATACAGTCTATTTCATACAAACAAATACTGAGAGAATTCACCCCTACCAAGCCACCATTACAAGAACTGCTAAAAGGAGCTCTATATCTTAAAACAGGCTGGGGGCAGTGGCTCATGCCTGTAATCCTGGGACTTTGGGAGGCCGAGGCGGGTGGATCACCTGAGGTCAGGAGTTCAAGACTAGCCTGGGCAACATGGTGAAACCACATCTCTACTAAAAATACAAAAATTAGCTAGGCGTGGTGGTGGGCCCCTGTAATCCCAGCTACTTGGGAGGCTGAGGCAGGAGAACCACCTGAACCTGGGAGGCAGAAGTTGCAGTGAGCCAAGATTGTGCCATTGCACTCCAGTCTGGGAGACAGATTGAAACTCTGTCTCAAAAAAAAAAAATCTTAAATCCTGGAAACACATCAAAACAGAACCTCTTTAAAGCATAAATCACACAGGACCTATAAAACAAAAATACAAGTTAAAAAGCAAAAACCAAAACCAAAAAACCCAAGGTACACAGGCAACAAATAGCACAATGAATGCAATGGTACCTCACATTTCAATATTAACATTGAATGTAAATGGCCTAAATGCTCCACTTAAAAGATACAGAACTGCAGAATGGATGAGAACTCACCAACCAACTATCTGCTGCCTTTAGTAGACTCACCTAACACATAAGGACTCACATAAACTTAGAGTAAAGGGATGGAAAAAGAGATTTCTTGCAAGTGGACGCCCAAAGCAAGCAGAGGTAGCTATTCTTATATCAGATAAAACAAACTTTAAAGCAACAGCAGTTAAAAGAGACAAAGAGGGACATTATATAATGGTAAAAGGCCTTGTCCAACAGGAAAATATCACAATCCTAAACATATATGCACCTAACATTGGAGCTCCCAAATTTATAAAACAATTATTAATAGACCTAAGAAATGAGATAGACAGCAACACAATAATAGTGGGGGACTTCAGTACTCCACTGACAGCACTAGACAGGTCAAGACAGAAAGTCAACAAAGAAACAATGGATTTAAACTATACCTTGGAACAAATGGACTTAACAGATATATACAGAACATTTCATCCAACAATCACAGAATACACGTTCTATTCAACAGCGCATGGAACTTTCTCCAAGATAGGCCATATGATAGGCCACAAAATGAGTCTCAATAAATTTAAGAAATTGAAATTATATCAAGTACTCTTTCAGACCACAGTGAAATAGAACTGGAAATCATCTCTAAAAGGAACCTTCAAAACCATGCAAATACATGGAAATTAAATAACCTGCTCGTGAATGAGCACTGGGTCAAAAATGAAATCAAGATGGAAATTTAAAAATTCTTCAAACTAAACGACAATAATGATACAACCTATCAAAACCTCTGGGATACAGCAAAGGCAGTGCTAAGAGGAAAGTTCATAGCCTAAAAGCTTACATCAAAAAGACTGAACAAGCACAAACTGACATTCTAAGGTCATACCTCAAGAAACTAGAGAAACAAGAACAAACCAAACCCAAACCCAGCAGAAGAAAGGAAATGATCAAGATCAGAGCAGAACTAAATGAAATTGAAACAAAAAAATTACAAAAGCTAAATGAAACAAAAAGCTGGTTATTTGAAAAGATAAATAAAATTGATAGAGCATTAACAAGCTTAACCAAGAAAAGAGGAGAGAAAATCCACCAAATAACCTCATTAAGAAATGAAACAGCAGATATTTCAACAGACACCACTAAAATACAAAAGAGCATTCAAAGCTACTATGAACACCTTTATGCACGTAAACTAGAAAACCTAGAAGAGATGGATAAATTCCTGGAAAAGTACAACCCTCCTAGCTTAAATCAGGAAGAATTAGATGTCCTGAACAGACCAATAACAAGCAGCAAGATTGAAATGTTAATTTAATAATTACCAACAAAGAAAAAGTACAGGACCAGATGGATTTACAGCAGAATTCTACCGGACATTCAAAGAATTGGTACCAATCCTTTTGACACTATTCCACAAGATAGAGAAAGAAGGAACCTTCCCTAATTCATTCTATGAAGCCAGCATCACCCTAATACCAAAATCAGGAAAGGACAAAACCAAAAAAGAAAACTACAGACTGATAACCTTGATGAACATAGATGTTAAAATCCTTAACAAAATACTAGCTAACAGAATCCAACAGCGCATAAAAAAGATAATTCACTATAATCAAGTTAGTTTCATACCAGGGATGCAGGGATGGTTTAACATATGCAAGTCAATAAATGTGATACATCACATAAACATAATTAAAAACAAATCACATGATCATCTCAATACACGCAGAAAAAGCATTTGACAAAATCCAGCATCGCTTTATGATTAAAACCCTCAGCAAAATCAGCATACAAGGGGCATACCTTAATGTAATAGAAGCCATCTATGACATACCCACAGCCAACATAATACTGAATGGGGAAAAGTTTAAAGTATTCCCTCTAAGAACGGGAACAAGACAAGGATACTCACTCTCACCACTGCTCTTCAATATAGTGCTGGAAGTCCTAGCAATCAGATATGGGTGCAAAAAGGTGTCTCAGAAGACTTTCCTCCTTATAATAAAAACTCTATCTACCACATCTCCTAGCCACCCAAATAAACACACATTGGCTCTCCCCAATCTCCAGCTTGCTGATTTGAGAATATTGGGACTTCTTAGCCTCCATAATTACATGAACCAATTCCTTATAACAAATCTCTTCTCATACCTAGAGGCACAATTGACACAAACACATTTTTTAAAAATAAGTCTCTTCATATAGATATATGTAGACACACACATACATACACACATCCCATTGGTTGCTGTTTCTCTGTAGGACCTGACTAATACAGATTAACTTCTTTGTTAGGTATCCCTTTATTAGCTGGGCAGCTTAAGGGAACATCATTGTATCTATCACAAATCTTTATGATTTCAGGTTGTTTCATTTTCCTTGTTTCCGTAGGTTTGAATGTTGAATGTTTTTAAACCCCTGACCCATACACTCAGCTGAAAATAAGAATGAAAAATTAGTTCACATTAGAACAATAATCAGGTGAGAGTAGGGGCGACGATGGTGAAACATGCCCAATTGAGAATGGTAAAGAAAGTTTAATGAGCATGGCTGAATTCACACTTTGTTGGGGTATCACCAAGAGGTCTATGTCCTTGTTGTGGAACTTTGGGATCTGAGAAGCAATTCCTCTGTGCCAGAAGCAGAACTGTGTTGTCATTATTCCTGGGCAGACAGGAAGATGAAAATTTCCTCCTCTCTTCTCAATTTTATTTTTATTTATTTAGAGACGGAGTTTCGCTCTTGTTGCCCAGGCTGGAGTGCAATGGCGCGATCTCGGCTCACCGCAACTTCTGCCTCCTGGATTCAAGCGATTCTCCTGCCTCAGCCTCCCAAGTAGCTGGGATTATAGGCATGCACCACCACGCCTGGCTCATTTTGTATTTTTAGTAGAGACGGGGTTTCTCCATGGTGGCTATACTGGTCTCGAACTCCGACCTCAGGTGATCCACCCGCCTCCGCCTCCCAAAGTGCTGGAATTACAGGCGTGAGCCACCGTGCCCAGGCTTATTTATTTTTTTGAGACCGAGTCTTGCTCTGCTGCCCAGGATAGAGTGCAGTGGCTCACTGCAACCTCCGCTTCCTGGGTTCAAGCGATTCTCGTGCCTCAGCCTCCTGAGTAGGTGGGATTACAGGCGCCTGCCATCATGGCAGGCTAATTTTTGTATTTTTAGTAGACATGGGGTTTCACCATGTTGAGACCAGGTCAGGTTGGTCTCAAACTCCTGACCTCAAGTGATCTGCCCGCCTCGGCCTCCCAAAGTGCTGGGATTACAGGCGTGAGCCACCGCGCCCAGCGTCTCCCAATTTGCAATTATGTGGAAGCACGAAATTATTTCTGGCCAATAGAAGTAAACAGAAGAGGCCAGGTGCAGTGGCTCACCCTTGTGATCCCAGCACTTTGGGAAGCTGAGGCGGGGGGATCACTGGAGCCCCAGGAGTTGGACACCAGCCTGGCCAAGGTGGCGAAACCTTGTCTCTACCAAAAATACAAAGATAATTAGCTGGGTATGGTGGCATGCACCTGTAATCCCAGCTACTCAGGAAGCTGAGGCAGGAGAATTGTTAGAAGCCGGGAGGAGAAGGTTGAAGTGAACCGAGATGGCGCAACTGCACTGCAGCCTGGGTGACAGAGTGAGACTCCTTATTTAAAAAAACAAACAAAAAAAAGTAAACAGGAGTAATATACACCACTTCTGGGTTCCAGGCCTGGTCTTTTTTTTTTTTATTTGGAGACAAGGTCTCGCTCTATGTCGCCCAGACTGGAGAGTAGTGGCGTAATCTTGGCTTACTAAAGCCCCCTTCTCCCAGGTTCAAGAGATTCTCATGCCTCAGCCTCCCAACTAGCTGGGATTACAGGCACATGCCACCACACCCTGCTAATTTCTGTATTTTTAGTAGAGACGGGGTTTCGCCACCTTGGCCAGGCTGGTCCCAAACTCCTGACTTCAAGTGATCCGCCCACCTCGGACTCCGAGGCCGAGGATTACACTTCCTCACTTCCATGTGAGGGGAGCACTAAGACCACTGCGGTCTGATACTATACAAGTATCAACTGTTTCCAGCCATCACTGTAGATATATAATTTTTCTGCTTTTTGATATTTAAGAGTATACAGCAGGGAATATTAAGACTATGCTTATTTTGCCTGTGAATAGTGTGATTTTCCAAAATTTCCAAATCATACTACAGGTTATTTTGAGACTTCAAATCCACTCCCATGCCCACTCCTTCCCCTATGTTGGCATACACTATTTTAGAAGCAGAACTTAAGTTTTAGAGGAGGCACTGGCAATTTGGAATATGAAAGAATGTGGCTGGTTTTACCTTGACTGTTCTTGAATGGCTATTCTTATTTGAGTGAGGCAAACCCAGCATGGGTAGGCGCCCTGGAAGTGGACAAAATAAACCTGTGCTTGTGTGAATTTCTATCTCCTCGTGCTGTTTCCTATATGTCTTCCTTGAGAAAAACTGAGGAAATTGACCGGACTTTTGTTTTGTTTTGTTTTTGCGACAGAGGCTTGCTCTGTCATCTAGGCTGGAGTGCAGTGGCACAATCTCGGCTCACTGCAGCCTTGACCTCTCAGGCTCCGGTGACCCTCCTGTCTCAGCCTCCTGAGTAGCTGAGACCACAGACACATGACACCATGCCCAGCTATTTTTTTTTATTTTATTTTTTTTTGTGGAGATAGGGTCTCCCTATGTCGCCCAGGCTGAGACTTTACAAAAAAAAAGAAAAATCTCTGGCCGGCTGCGGTGGCTCACGCCTGTATTCCCAGCACTTTGGGAGGCCAAGGCGGGCAGCTCACTTGAGGTCAGGAGTTCGAGACCAGCCTGGCCAACATCATGAAACCCTGTCTCTACTAAAAATACAAAAATTAACCAGGCATGGTGGCGTGCACTGGTAATCCCAGCCACTCGGGAGGTTGAGGCAGGAGAATGACTTGAACTGGGGAGGCGTGGAGATTGCAGTGAGCCATGATCATGCCACTGGACTCCGGCCTGGGCGAGACTCCATCTCAAAAAAAAAAAAAGAAAAAATATCTGGGGTCCCCGGCCTCATGCCCGCCTTGCTGCTCAGCCTGCTGGCTGGCCCCCAAAATGTTGCAGCTAAATGTGGTCTCTCCTTCGCCTGCCCCAAAGGATTCAAATGCTGTGGCGACAGCTGCTGCCAGGAGAACGAGTTCTTCCCTGGCCCCTTGAGGATCTTCGTCATCATCTTCCTGGTCATCCTGCCTCTCTTGTGCATCTGTGGCCTGGCTAAGCGCTTCTGTCCCAACTGCAGAGACCTGGACCCAGACGCCCTGAAGGATTGCCAGGGGCCCCGGGAACTGCCCTCCATCATCCCCCTAGAGAGGGTCAGAGCATCCCTCTCTACTCCCCCACCCCCCTACAGTGAGTGATTCTGAAGCCTACTCGGGGCCAGAGTCCCACAGAGCCACCCCCTCCCTACAGCTTCAGGCCTGAAAAATATACTGGGGATCAGAGGGCCATTGACAGCCCAGCCTTCTGAGTCACCTCCTGCCTGGAATCTTGCCATCAGCAACCTCCTCCCCAGTGCCTCCTGGATCAAGCTAGAGACTGCTGGCACCCCAGAAATGTCCTTGCCCATCCTGCCATGTCTCTGTTCATTCTTGGATTTAACTTATTGTTTTTTCTGCCTCTGTTCCCAACCCAGCTGCCTCTCTTGTCCTGAGGGTTAGGCTGGAGTGACAGTATCTGCCCACCCCCCAACCCAAGAAAGAGGCTGCTGGAAGGAAAATGCCAACCATTGGAGGTGCCCAAGAGCAGAACGGGCTACTGTGAGGGGTCGTAAGAGCCCCATTTCTGGAGGCATGCAAATCTTGACTGGACAGTCAGCTCTGAAATTTTATCAGGGCACTTCTATACCTGTGGGAGACTGGACTGGATGAGCTCTGAGCCAGCTTCCAATCCTACCTGAATAGAGAACTCACCGTACCCACCCCCAACACATGATAAACACACATCCTCACTGAAAAAAAAATCTCTGATCTATGTGAAATGTTTTATAAACTATAAAGCCATTAAAAACACTAGCTCTTCCACTTTCAATGAATTGACAGTTAAACCTATATAGAAAGTCACTTCATTCAGTTGCTTAAGTGTACATTTTGCAACTCTTCTTATCCTGAAGAGTATGCTAGAAAGATATATTGCTCAAGTTAGATGCTCTGTGGTTGCTTTAATGCTCATATGAAAAAAAATTAATGACTGATATGAGCATTTGGTTAACACTTAAGACTTGAAATGTTGCTGCCATGTTCTGTACCTGTGCTATTCAATATGGTAGCCACTAGCCACATGTGACTATTGAGCCTCTGACTTGTGGCTAGTTTGACTGAAGAATTGAATTTTAAATTTTATCTGATTTAAAATAACTTAAGTTTAAATAACCATGTAGATAACACAAATATAGAATGCTTCTGTAATATAAAAAGTGCTACTGGATAGCACTATTCTACAAAAATGCTCATAAATATTAGTTATTATTTAGAACTATGCTGTCTGATATGTAGCCGTTGGTTATATGTAGCCATTGAACACCTGAAATGTGGTTATTCTGAATTGAGAAATGCTGTCAGTATAAAATACATTAGATTTCAAAGGCATAGCAGGAAAAAATGTCTTAATAATTTTTATACTGATAATCATAGTAGGTAGAATAATGGCCCACTGAAGATCTCCATGTACACATCTTGAAAACCTGTGAATATGTTTCATATATTACATGGCGAAGGGGAATCAAGGCTGTAGATGGAATTAAGGTGGCTAATCAGCTGACCTTATAACAGTGAGAATATGCTGGATTATCTGAGTAGGCCCAATACAACCACAAGAGTCCTTAACAGTAGAAAAGAAGATGTGACTACAGAAAAAAGACATAGAGGCTGGGCACCATGGCTCACACCTGTAATCCTAGTACTTTGGGAAGCCGAGGTGGAAGGATCACTTTAGCCCAGATGTTTAAGACCCTGTCTCTCCAGAAAATTTTTTTTAATTAGCTGGGCATGGGGCTGGGTGCGGTGGCTCACACCTGTAACCCCAGCATTTTGGGAGGCCAAGGCGGGCGGATTGCAAGGTCAGGAGATCAAGACCATCCTGGCTAACACGGTGAAACCCCATCTCTACTAAAAATACAAAATTTAGCCTGGCGTAGTGGCAGTGTCTGTAGTCCCAGCTCCTCGGGAGGCTGAGGCAGCAGAATGGTGTGAACCCGGGAGGCAGAGCTTGCAGTAAGCCAAGATCGTGCCACTGCACTGCAGCCTGGGCGACAGAGCAAGACTCCGTCTCAAAAAAAAAAAAAAAAAAAAAATTAGCTGAGTATGGTGGTGCCCACCTGTAGTCCCAGCTTCTCAGCAGACTGAAGTGAGAGTATCACTTGAGCCCAGAAGGTTGAGGCTGCAGTGAGCCGTGATTGTGTCGCTGCACTCCAGCCTGGGTGACAGAGACAGACCCTGCCCCAAAAAAGAAAAAAGACACAGAGATGCAACATTATTGGCTTTGAAGATAGAAGAAGGGGGCCTCTAAGAAGCTGAAAAATACAAGGTAATGTATTCTCCCCTAGAACTTTAGAATAGAATGCAGTCCTGCTGACACTTTGGTTTTTGCCCAGTGAGACCTATATTGGACTTCTGACCTATATAAATATGAATGAATAAATGAATGGGCCATGCGTGGTGGCTCATGCCTGTAATCCCAGCACTTTGGGAGGCCCAGGCAGGTGGACCACTTGGATCACTTCAGACCAAAGAGTTTAAGACTAGCCTGGGCAACATGGTGAGATCTTGTCTCTACCAAAAAAAAAAAAGAAAACATTAGCCAGGCATGGTGGCGCGTGCCTATACTTGGGAGGCTTGAGATGGGAGGATCGCTTGAGCCTGGAAGATTGAGGCTGCAGTGAGCCATGATCATGCCATTGCACTCCGGCCTGGGCAACAGTGTGAGACCCTGTCTCCAAAATAACAAACTAAAACAAAAAAGCCCAAATGAATAAACAAATAAGTTTGTTTTAAGCTACTGTTAGTAGTAATTTGTTACAGCAGTAAAGAGACAATGAATAAAATAATATTAAATAATATCTCATATATAGTGACTTAAGTAAAATATAATGTTGAAGTTGATTTCACCTGTTTCTTTTTACTTTAAAAAATATGGGTACTAACTCATATGTTCATCACAGCACTACTCACAATAGCAAAGACATGGAATCAATCTAGGTATCCATCAAAGGTGAAGTGGATAAAGAAAATGTGGTACATATACACCATGGAATACTCACAGCCATAAAAAAGAGTGAAATTGCACCTAGCTCCTTAGGTGGAGCCATGGTTGATGGACAGTCAGCTTTTGCCAATGAGACCCTCAGTAAGGCTCCTGGCATGAATGCTATAGACCAAGGGATGGCAGCACTGAAGTTGGGTAGCACAGAAGTTGCAAGCAATGTTCCAAAAGTTGTAGGTTCTGCTGTTGGTAGCGGGTCCATTACTAGTAACATCATGCTTCCAATAGTTTGCCTCCAGCCACCATTGCTCTCCAAAACCAGCATCTTGGGCTGATATTGCTAGCAAGCCTGCAAAACAGCAACCTAAACCGAAGACCAAGAATGGCATGCAGGGTCAAGTCTTCCGCCACCCCCGATAAAGCATAACATGGATATTGGAACTTGGGATAACAAGGGTCCATTGCAAAAGCCCCCTTACAGGCTTTGGTTCAGAATATAGGTCAGCCAACCCAGGGGTCTCCTCAGCCTGCAGGTCAGCAGGCTAACAATAGCCCACCAGTGGCTCAGGCATCAGTAGGGCAACAGACACAGCCATTGCCTCCACCTCCACCACAGCCTGCCCAGCTTTCAGTCCAGCAACAGGCAGCTCAGCCAACCCGCTGGGTAGCACCTCGGAACCATGGCAGTGGGTTCGGTCATAATGGGATGGATGGTAACGGAGTAGGACAGTCTCAGGCTGGTTCTGGATCTACTCCTTCAGAACCCCACCCTGTGTTGGAGAAGCTTCGGTCCATTAATAACTATAACCCCAAAGATTTTGACTGGAATTTGAAACATGGCCGGGTTTTCATCATTAAGAGCTACTCTGAGGACGATATTCACCGTTTCACTAAGTATAATATTTGGTGCAGCACAGAACATGGTAACAAGAGACTGGATGCTGCTTATCGTTCCATGAACGGGAAAGGCTCCTTTTACTTACTTTTCAGTGTCAACAGCCGTGGACACTTCTGTGGCGCTGCAGAAATGAAATCTGCTGTGGACTACAACACATGTGCAGGTGTGTGGTCCCAGGACAAATGGAAGGGTCGTTTTGATGTCAGGTGGATTTTTGTGAAGGACATTCCCAATAGCCAACTGCGACACATTCGCCTAGAGAACAATGAGAATAAACCAGTGACCAACTCTAGGGACACTCAGGAAGTGCCTCTGGAAAAGGCTAAGCAGGTGTTGAAAATTATAGCCAGCTACAAGCACACCACTTCCATTTTTGATGACTTCTCACACTATGGGAAACGCCAAGAGGAAGAAGAAAGTGTTAAAAAGGAACGTCAAGGTCATGGGAAATAAAAGGCAGTTCTACACAGACTGCAGCAACGGTTGCATCTGCATATCCTAAGAGGAAAAAATGACCTTCAAGAGAATTAGGACTTTTTTCTTAATTTCACTGACTTCAGCGACGATTGCAGACTTGCAGTTTAAGTATTGGAATTTCACAAAAGACATAGGACTTAACTGGAAAATGAAAAAAGAAAAAAGAAAAAGAAAAAACTAAACAAAAAATCCCTCTAGGTAGTTTAGGTGAAAAATGTCCCTTTTATTTTGGCTTTGGTTGTGATTTCAGAGCATAATGCTTTGTTTTTTTGTCTTTTTACTATGTTTTTCAGATTTTTAAGTCCGTAAGTGCATACAGTTTTCTCTAATTTTTAAACCCTTTCCTCCTCCCATTTTGACATTTGCACTTGGAGAACACTTGAGTTGTGAAGGTTTTGGGCATCCACCCCAGAAAGTGGGAATTTGATTTTATCCTTCCGAACTGGAAGAACATTTTTATGAAGAATTTTTGTCTAGGAGAATATAACAGTGTTACCCAAGCTTGTGTCTTTAAGGGTGGTTCATTTTCTCTGATCTTTTGTTACTCAAAATAAAGTACTAGGAGTCCTAAGAAATGTTCTGTTCTTGTACATTCTACTGATTAAGTCAGGATTAATTTGATTTCAAAGCTAAGAACAGTGGTAAAAACTTGTTTACAGAAATGCATTTTGGAAGAGAAAAATACTGTAAAACGTGTAGTGAATGTTTCTTCAGTTTCTTGTTCAGCCAATGAGGAAAGGGCATTGCCTTTCTTTTTACCATTAATCACTTCTCAATAAATGTGAGATCCTGTTGAGCATTAAAAAAAAAAAAAGTGAAATCATGTCCTTTGTAGCAACATAGATGCGGCTGGAGGCCATTATCCTAAATGAATTAACACAGGAACAAAAAATCAAATACCGCATGTTCTCATATATAAGTAGGAGCCGCTACTTACAGGTACACATGAACATAAAGGTGGCAACAATAGGCACTGGGGACTGCTAGGGGGAGGAAAGAAGGAAGTGGGTGTATTAGCCCGTTCTCACGCTGCTGATAAAGACACACCCGAGAATGAGTAATTTATAAAGGAAAAAGGTTTAATTACCTCACAGTTCAGCACAGCTGGGAAGGCCTCAGGAAACTTACAATCATGGCAGAAGGGGAAGCAAACACATTCTTTTCATGTGGCAGTAGCAAGGGGAAGTGCCAAGCAAAAGAGTTTAAGCCCCTTGTAAAACCATCAGATCTCATGAGAACTCACTCACTGTCTTGAGGACAGCATGAGGGTAACCGCCCCCATGATTAAATTACCTCCTACTGGGTACCTCCATGACACGTGGGAATTATGGGAACTGCAGTTCAAGATGAAATTTGGGTGGACACAGCCCAACCATATCAGGGGGCAAGGGCTGAAAAACTACCTATTGGGTACTATGCTCACTACTTGGTTGATGAGATCATTCCTACCCCAAACCTCAGCATCACGCAATATACCCATGTGAGAAACCTGCACATGTTCCCCCACATCTAAAATAAAAGTTGAAGTTATTTTTTAAAAGAGCAGGGAAAAATTCCCCAGTGGTATGTTCCTAAGTTGTACAGCCAAAATTTATTATTTAAAAAATTACATGAAAAAAACCTGTATGCAAATATTTGTAGGGACTTTATCCATAATCACCGAAAACTGAAAATAACTCAAAAGTCTGTCAACTAGAGAATGGATGAACAAGCTGTTGTACATCCATACAAATGGACTACAGTTCAACAATAAAAAGGAAAAAACACACACAAAGTAAAATGTGACTACTAGAAAATTACATATGTGGCTCACTCTGTCTCTCTCTTTTTTTGTTGTTTTTGTTTTTTCTTTAGAGACGGGGTCTGGCTGTGTCACCCAGGATGGAGTGCAGTGGCACAATCGTAGCTCACTGCAGCCTCAATCTCCTAAGCTCAGGCAATCCTCCCACCTCAGCCTCTCAACACTCTCTATTTCTATCGGACAATGCTGACTTAGAAGTTTTTGGCTTGATCTTTTTGTGTTGGAGCAAAAGCAAAATTACTTTTTGAGAAGATTCTTGGGCTGTCTCCAAGTGCTCCTTTGGCTTACTTTCAAGGTGGAGTTGGGAAGTGACTTTCTATTTAGTCACTTGACCTCTTGAACTCCTTACCTTTCATAAGATAATATCAGTCTTACCTCTACTCTGCTAAGAGTTAAAAGTATATGATTCAGCACTTAACAGGCCATATAGAAAGTTACAGTCTACATATTGTCAGCGAACATGACCTCAGACTCACAGTTGTTTGTTCAGTACTTATCAATGTGAAAAAAATCACAGTTTAATGTTCATTTAAAGAAGTCATGGCCAGGTACAGCGGCTCATGCCTGTAATCCCAGTACTTTGGGAGGCCTAGGTGGGTGGATCAGTTGAGGTCAGGAGTTCAAGACCAGCCTGGCCAACATGGTGAAATACAAAAAATGCAAAAATAAAAAATAAAAATAAATAAATAAATAAATAAACAAATCCCAGCTACTTGGGAGGCTGAGGCAGAAGAATCGCTTGAACCTGGGAGGCAGAGGTTGCAGTGAGCTGAGATCGTGCCACTGCACTCCAGCCTGGGCACACCATGCAACTCCGTCTCAAAAACAAACAAACAAAAAAAACAAAAACAAAGTCATGAAAACTGCTGAAATTACAGAGGCAAGGATAAGCATTTCATGGCTTTGGCAGGCCTAGTTCAGAAATAATGGTAGATATTTGCATAAAGCCATACTATAGAGATTTTGTGGTAGAAGCATTTCCTCCTGGGCACACATATTTTTTAGCCTTTCTTACAGTTAGATTATAGCCACGTGACTGGGTTCTGTCTAGTGGGAGTTGGCAGAGGGAATGTACTTTCAGACCTGACCATAAAATTCCATGCGTGATTGTCTACACATCCTGTTTTGCTTCTGTGATGACCTCGGGGGCCACATGCTGAAGATGGCAAAGTCACAAAATGGAAGGACTCCAGATCCCTGAGTTACCAAAGGAAAGAAAGTCAACAAGGAAAGTTGCATGACTGACTTTGTGAGTGAGAAGTAAGCCATTGTTATTTTAAGTCACAGAGATTTTGTTGTTTGTTATCACAGCATATCTTAGCTTACACTAACTAATATATTTCTATTTAAAAATGACTTTTAGTGTGGTGCGGTGGCTCACGCCTGTAATCCCAGCACTTTGGGAGGCCGCGGTGGGCAGATCACTTGAGGTCAGGAGTTTGAGACCAGCCTGGGCAACATAGTGAAACCCCGTCTCTATTAAAAATACAAAAATTAGCCAGGTGTGGTGGTGCATACCTGTAATCCCAGCTACTCAGGAGGCCAAGGCAGGAGAACTGCATGAACCCAGGAGGTGGAGGTTGCAGTAAGCCGAGATTACACCACTGCACTGTAGCCTGGATGACAGAGCAAGACCCCATTTCAAAAAAAAAAAAAAAAAAAAAGACTTTTAGGGCTGGGCGCCTAAAATTACATGCCTGTAATCCCAGCTCTTTGGGAGACTGAGGCGGGTGTATTGCTTGAGCCCAGGAGTTCGAGACCAGCCTGGGCAACATGACAAAACCCTGTCTCTACTAAAAATACATAAAATTAGTGGGCTGTGGTGGTGCACGCCTGTAATCCCAGCTGCTTGGGAAGCTGAGGCACGATAATTGCTTGAACCCGGGAGATGGAGGTTGCAGTGGGCCGAGATCACACCACTGCACTCCAGCCTGGGGTACAAAGCAAGACTCGGTCTCAAATAAATAAATAAGACTTTTAGGCTGCATCTGTAATTCCAGCACTTTGGGAGGCTGAGGTGGGTGGATCTCTTGAATCCAGGAGTTTGAGGCCAGCCTGGGTAACATGGCGAAACCCTTTCTCTATCATAAAAATACAAAAATTAGCTGGGTGTGGTGGCACGTGTCTGTAGTCCCAACTACTCAGGAGGCTGAAGTGAGAGGATCACTTGGGCCCAGAAGGTGGAGGCTGCAATGAGCCAAGGTTGCAAAACTGTACTACAGCCTGGGCAACAAAGCCAGACTCTGTCTCAAAATAATAATAATAATAAAAGTGCAAGTAAATAAATAAATAAATAAATGACTTTTTAGGAGTTGTTTATTTCTGGAACTCATAGGTAAATTTATCTCCAATTACCTTTTTTTTTTTTTTTTTTTTTTTGAGATAGTGTCTCACTCTGTTGCCCAGGCATGGAATGCTGTAGCACAATCATGGCTCACCACAGCCTTGACCTCCCAGGCTCAAGTGATCCTCCCACCTCAGCCTCCAAGTATCTGAGACTACAGGCATGTGCCACCACACATGGTAATTTTTTATTTTTTGTAGGGATGGGGCCTTGCTATGTTGCCCAGGCTGATCTCAAACTCCTGGGCTCAAGCGATCTGGCCTGCCTCAGCCTCCCAAAGTGCTGGGATTACAGGCCTGAGCCACTGTCCAATTACTCATAATTGTTATAATTTGCAAAGTACATATGCCCATCATCCAACATGTAAACAGTTCTTGAAATATATCTAATGCAAAAATATGGAAAGAGTTCTTGTGTCCTAGGGAGCTGGTGTGATGCCTCCTAAATTCGTATGAGAGAGGATCAATCAATTTTGTTATAGTTCTGTGAAGTAGTAGTTTAGTACTCTACCTCAAACGGAATACTTACAAATTCCAAACAAACAAAAAGACGTCTCTTTTCCTGTTTCTATTTATAATTTCAGGGTCTTAGCATTTTCCCAAATAGAAAGTGCTTCTTCAACTGAGTTTTGATTATCTCTAACTGTGCTCCCAGATTCTTCTGGGTAGCCACATTGTTAAATCAGAGCATTTCTGGATATTTTGGAAGCTTGAAGAATAAAGGCAAATCTGTGTTGTTTTTGCTTTGTTTATTGTTTTCATTGTTTCGCATATTTATTCTTTAACCAATAAGAATTTTAATTATAAATCACAGCTGACTCTATTACTGCAGCTTTCCATAGTCTATACAGTATTTACACTATGACAAGTTGATGAGTCTATTCTTTAAAAATTATTTTGGAAATACATGAATACTACTACATATTCTGTGGTGAAAAAAAAAACACACCCAAATAAAACTCATCTTTATATTTTTATCACCTGACTATAGTGATATCAAATAACATTTGATCCGGAATCTTAGGTTCATACCAGTGCTACCAGTGCTTCACAAAGCCAAACTTATACTTTTTTGAAGGGGAAGGTGGGAATAAAGGCTGTGAAGAATGATAATCAAACAGAAGTCATCTCTACAGCAATGAATTAATTGCCCAAGACTTTAGAGGGATATCTTCATACTTTGTCTTGTCGAGCTGAGTTACTGAATCATGCACTTCACAGCTATATACTAGTGGCAATATCATGGTCTTCAGATATGATTTTTTTTTTTTTTGGAGACAGTCTTGCTCTGTCGCCCAGGCTGGAGTGCAGTGGCGCCATCTCGGCTCACTGAACCTCCGCCTTCCGGGTTAAAGCAATTTTCATGCTTCAGCCTCCCGTGTAGCTGGGACTGCAGGCATGCACCACCATGTCCAGCTAATTTTTTGTATTTTTAGTAGAGATGGGGTTTCACCATGTTGGCCAGGCTAGTCTCGAACTCCTGACCTCAGGTGATCTGCCCTCTTTGGTCTCCCAAAGTGCTGGGATTACAGGACAGTTGTGCTGTTTCTAATAATGCACATGCTTAAAAACATAAGAGGACTAGTCACAAGGGCTTTTAATCCTGAAAGGTACAAAATTTCTACCCTGTGGCCTTTGGGAATGAGATCTTGAGAAAAAAGTATTGGAAGTTATAATAGAATCAAGCCTAGGCATAATATGTAATGGTTATAACATGAATTTTGACTTCTCTGATTATTTGCAGGAAATTTTAAATCCTAGCCAATTTCCCTTGCTCCCAGGAATACCTTCGAGCTGGTCCTTCTTGTCATCAGTTTGCGTTTGCACAGAGAAATAAAAATTCATTTTAATATAAGTTTAAGAAATATGTTACTGGAAAAGTAATGAGTTATTTCTCAGGATTTCATCGTATGTTCCAAATCCAAATATAAATTAATCAATTATTTTTATTGTTAATGAGGTTAACTGAGAGTTAATATTGATGCTTTTCCAGTCATAGAAGACTGCTAAATGCAGAGGGAAAACTTGTGTAGAAGAAAAAAATTATTAGGAATAGTAAAGTTAATATAACAGTGGAGACCCTCTGGAGTCTCCTTCAGAGATATTAGAGTGAATATCAGTTTTGAAGTGAACAAGAACATAATTAACAAGCTTTTAAATTTATATGTAGGAAGAGAATTTGTCATTCTTAAACCGACTACAATAATCACAGTGTTCAGATAATTCCAGAAACTCCTGACATAGCGTGGCTTGTAAAGAGGAATTTCCAATCTCTCTTTCACCACATTGTAGGAGATGAAGAAGCAAAGCATAATCCCACAGGACCTGGGAAGAAATTATAATTTGTGGTGTACAGTCAACTGCTCAGATTGACTGGCCAGGATGACATCATGGCATGGATCTCAACTAGCAATCTTGCCCCATGGAAGTTTTGTAAGGCAGTAAAAATTGCCTTGGATCCTGATGATTTCATATAAAGTAAAATATTACTTGGTGGAGGAAACATATACTTAAGAAGGTTGTTTTGTGACATCTCGTAATGAAAAATGTAGGCTCATACACATAAATTGTAAATAGTGTTTGAAAATATTTTGAGTCTTGAGGAAACGTAAAATAAACTCTTAGGTAATAGTAATAAAAAATGCTTGAGGCATTTGTTATGTGATTGCCTTTTATGCAGCTATTGTGAGATGAAGTTGTGGTTACTCCTGAGTGTAAAAGGATGGGTGTATTTAGTAGTATAATCATAGAGGGTTTAGTGGAGTACATTTTTATTGGTGGCCAAAGCATTGGAAAGCACCTTCTCAAATGATTTTTTGTTATCATCAGTAGTATCTTGTTTTTTGTTTTTGTTTTTTTTTTGAGACAGAGTCTCGCTTTGTTGCCCAGGCTGCAGTGCAGTGGCACGATCTCAGCTCACTGCAAGCTCTGCCTCCTGGGTTCATGCCATTCTCCTGCCTCAGCCTCCCAAGTAGCTGGGACTACAGGTGCCCGCCACCATGCCCGGCAAATTTTTTGTATTTTTAGTACAGATGGGGTTTCACCATGTTAGCCAGGATGGTCTCGATCTCCTGACCTCGTGATCTGCCCGCCTCGGCCTCCCAAAGTGCTGGGATTACAGGCGTGAGCCACTGCGCCCCGGCCCATCAGTAGTATCTTGTTAATCAGTAAGAGTTTGATGAATTAAAATAATATCATACACTCAAGACAAAAAAGAATTAAAACTGAGAAATATTGTGTGCTGTTGCAACATAAGAAAGGAGATGATAAAGCCTATTACCTCATTTAAAAATGACGTCACGCTTATATTTGAGGTTAGTCAGAGGGTACATTTTGTTGTCGCTTTTAAAACTAGGTAGGCTTGTGTCTAGTGGGTCATTGAGTGTTATCCTCTAGACATAGGTTTAATGGAAGATATTAATAACCATGAGTGCTTGAATAAGAGCACCACCTGCTGAATCCACTCCATCTCCCTTCTCGTCTGCTCCGTGAAGCCACCTGGGGAGGTGAAGCCAGTATTCACAGTCCAGAGCCCCACTGTACCCTCCCACCTCATTCCGCCCTCACCAGAGGCTGCAGAGACTGAGGCTTCTGTTGTTCCTCCCTTCCTCACCTTCCTCTTCTCTCTTCTCTTCTCTTCCTCACGGTCTTCTCTTCCCTACCCATTGCCCCTCTCTGCCATGACTTTATTGGAGAAGCCTAGTTGGAGGACAGTTACGTAAAAGCAGACAGACAGTTACCTGGCAATGTATTAGGACCAGAATGAGTCATGGAAATTATTTTCATGAGAAATAACATTTTAAAAAGCAGTTACTTTGTTTTAAAATGTATTTTATCACATTTGAGGCTTCCAATAATTTGTTTTTCTTTTGCATTTTTTTGTACCCTCAATGTCAGATTCATGTGATTGATCTGATTCTTCACTAATGACAAAAAGCCACCAAGATACATCTATTTAAGCTTTCTCGCTTTTGAACTGGTGGAAAGGCTCAAAGGTAACCTTTATTGGAGCGTTATCTTGCAGAGATGAAGAAACAAATATTTGTTTATTTTGCTTTCAATGATCTTATATATTGTTTCTATTCTGCTAAAGGATTAATAAGCCTTATGAAGAGAATCAGCAAAGTAAGAATTCTCCACATAATTCAGATACGTTTTCAACTTAAATGTTAACTTTAAAATGACTTCGGGTTGGCCACGGTGGCTTGCGCCTGTAATCCCAGCACTTTGGGAGGCCGAGGCAGGTGGATCACTTGAGGTCAGGAGTTCAAGACCAGCCTGGCCAACATGGTGAAACTCCATCTCTACTAAAATAAAAATTATCCAGACATGGTGGCGTCTGCCTGTAGTCGTAGCTACTCAGGAGGCTGAGGCAGGAAAATTGCTTGAACCCGAGAGGAGGAGGTTGCAGTGAGCTGAGGTTGTGCCACTGTACTCCAGCCTGGGCTACAGAGTGAGACTCCACCTCCAAAAAATAATAATAATAATAATGACTTTGAACTGTTCTGTATGGTATAGTGGTAGTGGGTGCATGACTATGCATTTGTCAAAACCCATAGAACTGTATACTTATACTTACACCACAAAGAGTTAATTTTACCATGTGCAAATATAAGAAAATCAACTAGAATGGCAGGAGGACCCCAAGATGGAATGTACTTTGAAGCTACAAGAGGCTAAGTAGTTTGCCAAGACTTAGCATGAGTTCACTGGCAGAGGGGTTGTTTATTTCTATGTCCCAGGGAAGTCTGAAGAAGGGAGAGAGAGACAAAAAAAAAAAAAAAAAAAGAAGAAGGAAAATAATAGTATCAGATCAAGATTTTTTTAGGGTTTTTTTTTGAGAGAGTTTCACTCTGTCACTGTGGCTGGAGTGTAGTGATGCAAGCAGGGCTCACTGCAACCTCCACCTCCCAGACTCAAGCAATCCTCCCACCTCAGACTCCTGAGTAGCTGGGACTACAGGTAGGTGCCATCATGCCTAGCTAATTTTTATTTATTTTTTTATGGTTTTTTTTTTTTTTTTTTTTGTAGAGACAGGGTATTGCTGTGTTGCTTAGGCTGGTTTTGAACTCTGGGCTCAAGCATTCCTCCTGCCTCCCAACGTGCTGGGATTACAGGCATTAGCCACCGCGCCCGGCTTTCAAGGTGTTTTTATTTTGTACATCTTTGAAAGAAATGGATAAAATAAATAATCATAAAGAACTTATCTATTCATTTTCATGTAGAAATTTTATGCAATACATGCTTTTAAAAATATAATTATTGGCCTGGTGTGGTGGATCACACCTGTAATCCCAGCACTTTGGGAGGCCGAGGCAGGAGGATCACGAGGTCACAAGTTCGAGACCAGCCTGGCCAAGATGGTGAAACCCCGTCTCTACTAAAAAAAAACAAAAAAAAAACAAAAAAAATTAGCTGGGCATATTCTTGGGCGCCTGTAATCCCAGCTACTCGGGAGGCCGAGGCAGGAGAATCACTTGAACCTGGGAGGCGGGGGTTGCAGTGAGCTGCGATCATGCCACTGCACTCTAGCCTAAGTGACACAGCAAGACTCTGTCTCAAAAAAAAAAAAAGTACATATATATATATATAATTATTTGGGGGAGGCGTAAATATTAAATTACTGACTTTTTTGTGAGTAAATTAATTTTTTTCTTAAAGAAACTTTGGAGCACAAGGTATCTAGTACTGTGGGCACCAAAAAGGCAAGAGGGAGGAAAGGATACATAAATGAGAAAGGGATGGCTACAGGGAGTGAAGGAGGATGATTCGGGAGAGAATGGTGTAAGAGTATCTTAAATTGGCCCTTCTGAGTTCTTTTTTTTTTTTTTTTGAGATGGAGTTTCGCTTTTGTCATCCATGCTGGATTGTAATGGCATGATCTTGGCTCACTGCAACCTCCGCCTCCCAAGTTTAAGTGATTCTCCTGCCTCAGCCTCCTGAGTAGCTGGGATTACAGGCACGCACCACCATGCCCAACTAATTTTTGTATTTTTAGTAGACGGGGTTTCGCCATGTTGGCTAAGCTGGTATCCAACTCCTGTGCTCAAGTGATCCACCTGCCTTGGCCTCTCAAAGTGTTGGGATTACAGGCATGAGCCACTGCCCCCAGCCCATCTGAGTTCTTTATAGACATCTAGGCTATTGATGATTGGGAATTAGTAGGAATATTAAATATTTCTAAGCTGTTGCTCATTAACCTATTCATATACAGGAACCTGTAACATCCTTGAAGTACTTGGGAATCCAAAGACTTTTCTTAGCTTTGCATGCTGGATATTTGGACTTTTACTGCTACTGCTAATATCAATCCAGTGACAAAGATGAATATGGGAAAAGCTAGATCTGATTGAAAAAAATTAATCAAAAGATATAATTGAATTTTTTTTTGAAATGAGAGAGAGCAGTTGAGCTACCCAACTCAGTACAGAATTTCATTTAGTCATGAGGTATGACTTCTTGAAAAGGAATCACTTTATTTATTCATTCATGCATGTATTCATTCATTCAGTAAAAAATTATTGAGCGATATATTTATTAAGTAATTTTTTTTTTTGAGACAGAGTTTTGCTCTTGTTGCCCAGGCTAGAGTGCAGTGGTGCAATCTCAGCTCACTGCAACCTCCGCCTTCCAGTTTCAAGCAATTCTCCTGCCTCAGCCTCCCAAGCTGCTGGAATTACAGGTGCCCGCCACCACGCCCAGCTAATTTTTTTGTATTTTTAGTGGAGACGGGGTTTCACCATGTTGGTCAGGCTGGTCTCGAACTGCTGACCTCGTGATCCACCTGGCTTGGCCTCCCAAAGTGCTGGGATTACAGGCGTGAGCCACCATGCCCCACCCTATTTATTAAGTAATTTAACCTAAGAACCTAAGACACCTAAAGAATAAGTAGGAGTTACCAAAGCAAAAAAAAAAAAGTTATATGGTAAAAACACAAATCATATTTCTTCCTTAAAACTTCCTATGGCTTCCCATTGTACTTAGAATAAAACTCACACTCCACACTTCCACAGCAAAAAGTCCCTGCATGATTGGGTTCCTCCTGTCTGTGCCTCTTGCTTCATCCCCTATTACTCTTCACTTGCCTTGATGTTTCTTGAATATAAAGACCAAGTTCATTTCTACCTTAAGACAGAGTCGCCCATGCTGGAGTGCAAGTGGAGCAATCTCAGCTCACTGCAACCTCTGCCTCCCAGATTCAAGTGATTCTCCTGCCTCAGCCTCCTGAGTAGCTGGAATTATAGGCACACGCTCCATGCCCAGCTAATTTTTGTATTTTTTTTTTTTTTAAAGTAGAGACGAGGTTTCACCATGTTGGCCAGGCTCGTCTCAAACTCCTGATTTCAGGTAATCTACCCGCCTTGGCCTCCCAAAGTGCTGGGATTACAGGCGTGAGCCACTGCGCCCAGCCAAGGCCATTTTTTTCTGACATACTGTAATGCATTTGTATGCCTTCTTTATTTTTTCTTTAAATCTGGGGTAATGAAGCTTCAGACAATGAAGTATAACCTCCTCATTAATTCTTTCCTCCGCACAGTAATTCTGTCTCCCCACTCCTCCGTCTTAAGTCAAATGTCACTCCAGTGTTGCCTTCCAAGACAACCTTATCTAAGTAGACATTTTTCTCCATAATAACTTATCACTACCTGAAGTTATCTTGTTCATTTGTTTACTTGTTCTTGTCTGTCTCCCTTCATAAGCATGCAAGTTCTGTGAGAGCTGGAACTTTGTCCTGTTCATTCCTGTATCTCCAGTCCCTAGAAGAATGCCTGACACATCATAGGCATTCAACAAATAATACCTATCCTGGAAGGTGAGATTTGTATGCAAGATATTAAACTCACTTGTTCAAAGTTCGTGCTCAACAAACTTTAATTTTCCTTCCTGCCTATTGACGAGACTAATCAATTTGGTTCCCTGATCAGCAAAAATCACACACATATCTTGGATGTTAAGAATGCTGCATACTATTATTCTGAAACAACTTGTAAAGGAATAATGACAATGTGTGGGGGTATTCTCTTTTTGCTCTTCCTAATCCACTCTTCATTCTGCCATTCTGCTCGGTGTCCCTGGAACATAGACCTTTAGGACTGCTTCAGTGGGTTCCATTATTTGCCAGCATTTGGCTGGGTTTGGCAAGTGGGAGGCTCCATCCGGAGATCAGAAGGTGGGAGCAGGGTGAGGTTATCTTGACTGAGTTCCTTTACTGAAGACTTCAAGTTCCTGTTCAGCCGTCCTCTCCTAAGCTCTTTCCAGTCAGTGGTCACATTCCTGCCTGCCTGGGGATGTTACATCCTTTGTTGGTTTCCCTTAACCGTGTCCCCACCTTTGTAAATAGTCCTTTTATTAAATTCTCCTAAATCATTGAGGAGTGCTATCCCCTTAAAATTGAATGTCCATCTGTTTCCTGGTAAAATTCTTATTGATAGAGATACAATGGGAAAAAGTGGTAGAATTACAATGTGGTCTTCAACGACACAAAACAACAAACATAAGAAAAGCCATTGGTCGGGCGTGGTGGCTCATAACTGTAATCCCAGTGCTTTGGGAGGCCTAGGTGGGTGGATAACCTGAGGTCAGGAGGCCGAGACCAGCCTAGCCAACATGGCAAAACCCCGTCTCTACAAAAAAAATACAAAAATTAGCAAGACTCTGTCTCAAAATAAAAAAAAAAAAAAAAAAAAAAAAGGAAAGCCGTGGCGTGACTAGCACAGATGATGTGTCAAGTCAAAATGTGCATGTTCTGTCATCTCCTCTTTTTGTGCCTGTGAATCACCAGCTTCTGAGGTTAGGTCCTCTAGAAGCGGATGCTGAGATAGAGTTTGGGGTTCAAAGAATCAAACCTATGAAAGGAAGTGGCAGATAGCAGGATTGGGCAGAGTGGGAAGTCAAACTGCAATGCAGGCCCTGCAAAGACTCAGTCAACCCAACAGGAAGCTCTAGGTGAGAAATGCCCATCAGGTTGTCCCACATGAGGCTGAAATGACTCTGCCTTTGTACCCTCTTGTTTATTCACTAGATTCACTGGATCACCCAGGAAGGGGTGATCTTGGGTAAGGTCATATGCTAAATGATCCTGAAATGCAGGCTCTATTAGATTTTTTTGAAGAATATAAAAATCTTAGCTCTGAGAGAGCAGGCTTCCTACTGATCATTGTTTTTGGAAAACAAACAAACTTCCTTTACTTAGGACCTTGAAAGCAAAAGTCCTTCCTTCACTTTAGCTTGCTCAGGAGCTGGGTATTTGTCTCTGCGGGTGCTGGTATAGGTCTCTGCAGCTGAGGCAGGCCCTGACATAGCTGCCAGTGGAGGCTGTTTACTAACTGTACTCCCTGTAGGTGGGCAGAAAGTCCTATCTTGGCGAGCGGATGTGGAGGGCCATCTCCATCTCTTCCCCACAAGTCTAAAATCTTAATCTCTCCTGGGTCTTATCTCTCACTACACACACATCATACCATGGGAACTGTTTCCAAAGGCTCTATCCTCATCCATAGTAAAATCCCTCTAGATTAATCAGTTCTCCTTATCCCAATACCTTCTAATTAAATTTCTGTGTCTTATAAATTGCCAGAGTAACAGGCAGATGTTGGAGGAAATATGTTGCCACTTTAGGAAATCTGAGATACTAAGAGAGAAGACTGTACTATATATATAGTATCAGAAATAACATCACCAAGCGGTAGAAGGGCAGCATTCATGATTCTGTCTTTATATTCTCATGGAAAGGGTTGCTCTGTGATTCTATGTCTAGGTACTGAATATGTGTGGCTTTGAGGGTTCATTATTATTATTATTATTATTATTATTATTATTATTATTATTTTTGAGACGGACTCTCGCTCTGTCGCCCAGGCTGGAGTGCAGTGACAGTCATAACTCACTGCAGTTTTGAACCGCTGGATTCAAGAGATCCTCCTGCTTTAGCCTCCCAGGTAGCTAGGACTACAGCATGTGCCACTATATCTGGCTCATTTAATCTTTCTTTTTTTATAGAGATGTGATCTCCCTATGTTGCTCAGGCTGCCCAGGCTGGTCTCGAACTCCTGGGCTCAAGTGATTCTCCTGCTTTGGCCTCTCAAAGTGCTGGGGTTACAGGCATGAGCCGCCATGGCTGGCTGATGATTCATTCTTTGGCATTATGCAGTAAGTACTCTTACTTCCCATATGGTTTGTAAAGAATAGTATAGGCCTTCCAAATCAGTATTCCTGGCTGAGCTGTGTTACCATGACGCCTTCCTCAGTACTAACATTTAGCATTACATTTGATGAATTTGATATATTCTGCAAAATGCATCAGCAATTAGATAATATCTGGCTAAGTTAATATGACTATTTTTCATAGTGAAAGTCACACTTTAGTTTCTTTTAACCAAATGCTCTTGTCCCTTTCATGTGCCGTCTCCTCATCCAGTTTGTTAGAGATAGTTCATCAACATTGTGCTACCACATTTTCAGATATCTTGTTAAATTATAATTTAAATAATGATCTGAACATAAAATGAGATCATCTGAATGCATTAAGTAGCACGAGTGTGGGAGCATTTCTAATAGGAGCAAATCTCTCCAGACCGGCATCTTAGGCAAAAATTTTTCTTGACCGAAATCTCCCTCAGGCCAATGAATACCAAATTTAGATTTTGCTGGGCCCTTGCTGTTCTTAACTTAGAACATGATTAAGTCAATTACTTCTGAATTTATCCATAAATTCTTTATATTGTCTTTAATATTTAATACAAAAACAAAGAGAGTTAAACTACATTAATTACTAAATGTTCTTGATTTAATACTGGATTTGGTAATATAAAATATGCAAATAACCCTGAGCTAAATTTTGACGCTGAAGAGCTGATCCTTCTTTAAATGTCCTTAACAACACAGCTTGTAGATTTGCAAAGGTACTCAAGAAACTAACCTACATCTTTTCTAAAAAAATAGAGACAGGGTCTCACTCTGTCACGCAGGGTGGCATGCAGTGGTGTGACAATAGCTCACTCAGCCTCAAACTCCTGGGGTCAAGCAATCCTCCTGCCTCAGTCTCCCAAAGTGTTGGGATTACAGTTGTGAGGCACCTGGCCTAACCTACACCTTTTTGTGTATGTATGCATACAACTGTGCAGTGCTCTGTTGCAAGCCAAATTATCCTGAAATGCATGCTCTATCAGATTCTTTTGAAGGATATCAAAATCTTAGCTCTGAGAGAGCGGGCTTCCTACTGATCATTGTTTTTTGAAAACAAACCAACAAACAAACTTCCTTTACTTAGGATCTTGAAAGCAAAAGTCCTTCCTTCACTTTAGCTTGCTCGGGGGCTGGGTATTTGTCCTATTTGTGTCAGGCACTAGAGGGGAGTGTGACATCATACAAGTGCTGGGTTCTGACCTAAGAATCAGAAGACCAACTGTGTGCTCACTGATATGCCCAAATACAGTGAAAAAGTACAGCAAAGGAGGGCTTAGACAAATATTTTCCCAAGAATGAAATAGGACAACCATGGTTTCTGAAAATCGACTGAGACCTACAGTTTTACCCAAAAATTTCCAATGTGGGATTTTGATCCTTTTTGAGTGACGGTAACCTTCAAATGACTGGATTTTCATAGCTTTATTTTAGTATTTATTTATTTATTTTTTCATTATTGTTATTTTTTTGAGATGGACTCTCTCTCTGTTGCCCAGGCTGGAGTGCAGTGGCGCAATCTCAGCTCACTGTAACCTTTGCCTCCTGGGCTCAAGCGATTTTCCTACCTCAGCCTCCCAAGTAGCTGGGATTACAAGTGCCTGCCACAACACCTGGCTGATTTTTGTATTTTTAGTAGAGATGGGGTTTTACCATATTGGCCAGGCTGGTCTTGAACTCCTGACCTCAGGTGATCCTCCTGCCTTGGCTTTCCAAAGTGCTGGGATTACAGGTATGAGCCACCGGGCCCGGCTGATTTATTTTTTTATTTTTATTTTTTAATTTTATTTATTTATTTTTTTGAGACGGGGTCTCGCTCTGTCGCCCAGGCTAGAGTGCAGTGGCAAGATCTTGGCTCACTGCAAGCTCCGCCTCCCAGGTTCAGGCCATTCTCCTGCCTCAGCCTTCCGAGTAGCTGGGAATACAGGCGCCCGACACCACTCCTGGCTAATTTTTTGTATTTTTTAGTAGAGACGGGGTTTCACTGTGTTAGCCAGGATGGTCTCGATCTCCTGACTTCATGATCCACCCACCTCGGCCTTCCAAAGTGCTGGGATTACAGATGTGAGCCACCGCGCCCAGCTGATTTATTTTAAAATAATATACGGGCCAGGTGTGGTGACTCATGCTTGTAATCCCAGCACTTTGGGAGGCTGAAGCAGGAGGATTACTTGAGTCCAGGAGTTCAAGATCAGCCTGGCCAACACAGTGAGACCTCATCTCTACTAAAAATAAAATATTAGCCAGCTGTGTCCCGCATGCCTGTGGTTCAGCTACTCAGGAAGGGGAGGTGGAAGGATTGCTCAAGCCTGGGAGGCCCGCCTGGGCTAGAGTAAGACTCTGTCTCAAAAACAAAACAAAACTAAAAAAGACATATGCTTTCTTTTTTAAAAAAGAAAGCCAAACAATATAGGAAACTACAAAGAAGAAAATAAATACCAACGGAAATCACACTGTATACTTCTACCATGTGGGGGGGCACTTATTCAGATATCTCTCTTTCATTCTCTGTCCACTTAAAGAAATATGCATACAGTTTTTAAAGCATGGAGTAATACTCTACCTGCTGTTTCTGGAGTAGTATTGTTGTAGACAGAGTGACCTCTTTCAATGGCAGATGACTTGATTCTTGGTGGTAAAGCAAGTGGTTGGTTATAAGTATGGGGTCTCATTGTGCCTAGGTTAACATTTCTTTTCCACTCATATGTGCCATTGAGTAAGTGATTTAACCCATCTCTCTGTGCCTCAGTTTCCTTATACACAAAAGTGGGGACGATAATATTACCTACCTCAGAGAGTTGGTGTGAAGGTTATATCAGATCATATATTTAAGTACTTACTTAAGACAGTACCTGGAACATAGTAAGTACTTACTACATTTCAACTATTGTTCTTAACTAAATAAGTTTTAACTTCATAGTAACAATAAGGGGTTTTTAAATAGAAAAGTGGAATCTTTTTAAAAATACTTTTCACCATATTTCAAAGCCATTCTTTTAACATAAATTATTACTCTTTTTGCACACAGCTATATACGTTATCCACTGAAATTAGTATTTGCAGGTAACTACCCTTTTGCGGAGGCCTACTTAAAAACTATCCTGTTGAACACAAGGTACCTTTAAGTGAGACAGTTTTACATGGGCTTCCTTTATAACACATTAGTCCAACTAAAAATCCTTGTTAATTATTAAACCCTTAGGTATTACAGGAATACCTGACACTGCAGATTGAAAACAGACAGTGTTTGTCTCTCAAGTTAAACCAACAAGCCGATAGAAAAAGGTAGTTATCAAGAGATTTTTAAAACTTCAACCCTTTTTCTCTTATAGTTAGTGAAGAGAGTAGAATATCTCCAGTTTTGGCTGACATCTCTACAACCTGAACAATTGGCTTAAACTTCACTTGGGATTCCCGGTTGCTTGTTTTAGCATGGCAAAATTTGGCGTTCACAGAATCCTTCTTCTGGCTATTTCTCTGACAAAGTGTCTGGAGAGTACAAAACTGCTGGCAGACCTTAAAAAATGTGGTGACTTGGAATGTGAAGGTAAGTTTGCTTCCCCCGCTTCTTCTCCTCCTAAATTGAGGCTCTGCAATGACATAAAATCTTATTGTGGTCACGCATGATAAAAATGAGTATTGATACCATTGAGAAATATTTGGATTATGAAGTACAGCTTGGTATAAAAAAGAAATGTTGGAAGCAAAGCATTTTGTGGTAGTATTTAATACAAATATACAAATAGCAAAAATCAGTCTGCTATAGAAATATATCAGAAGTTAAAAAACTAGTCAGTCCTTTTACTATTTTTAAAGATTAATCTAGGAGTCTCTGAGCCTATTCTGGCTCAGAAGGCTGCCCATTAAAAAAAAAAGATAAATCTAATTGATTCATATAAAAAAAGACATCAGGCTAATTTGATAGGCCTTTATTTATGAAGGCCTTTTACTTTTTAGTTTCTGTTTCACACTCAGAACTTTCTGATTCTCATGACGTTCCTAAAAAGTGTTTTTATTTCAAACCATCATGATTTATTCTTCTAAACTTTACTAAATGTTAATCATTTCTGTGTTATTTATTATGTAAAAATACTGAAATCAGGACTAGAATATAAATTTTTTATTTATATCATTGAATATAAAGCTTTCTTTACTGTAAATGGAAATTAATTTCCATTCTATTGTTAAAGAACTTATTTCTGTTATTAGTTTTATGGTGCAAAATAAATTACATCCCAATATATTAGAGTTGCTTTAAATAAGTTATTTTTCCTTTTGTTTTTATTTTATAATAAATACATATTTTTTCTCTCTCAGCAGAATCAAAAATTGCTTTAAATAAATTCTACCTTTTTGGTTTTTTTTTTTTCTGAGATGGAGTCTTGCTCTGTCACCCAGGCTGGAGTGCAATGGCACGATCTCGGCTCACTGCAACTTCTGCCTCCCAGGTTCAAGCGATTCTCCTGTCTCAGCCTCCCAAGTTGCTGGGATTATAGGCGCACGCCACCACACCTGGTTAATTTTTTGTATTTTAGTAGAGATGGGATTTCACTGTGTTGCCCAGCCTGAGCTCAGGGAATCCACCTGCCTCAGCCTCCCAAAGTGCTAAGATTACAGGCATAAGCCACCATGCCCAGCTGTGAGAATTACTTCTAATTTGCAACATGAAAATGAAAAATGAAAAATGTTATTAGTATAAACATAAATAATTTATAAGTAATAATTATGAGTAAACATTCTTCCTTAACTTTTTGGACATATAATGTAATATATAGAGAAGTTTACTAGATGTTTTATTATCATAATAATCTTTTGCTGGGTGTGGTGGCTTGCACCTGTAATCCCAGCACTTTGAGAGACTGAGGTGGGAGGATCACTTGAGTCCAGAAGTTTGAGACCAGCCTGGGCAACATAGTGAGACCTCATCTCTACAAAAAATCAAAAAAGTTAGCTGGGCATGGTGGCACAAGCTATAGTCCCAGCTACTAGGGAGGCTGAGGTGGGAGGATGGCTTAAACTTGGGAGGTGGAGGCTGCAGTCAGCTATCATTATGCCACTGCACTGTAGCCTGGGCAACAGAACAAGACCCTGCCTCAAAAAAATATATATAAAGAAAAAAAAATTTTTCTTTCCCTCTTTATATTACAACTTCATTTTAGTTTCCTTAGGGCCAGATATAGAACATGAAAAGGGAACATTCAAATTTATAGAAATTTATAATGTTATTTTAACTTTAATTGCATGACAATAAAAATATCTTATTTTACATATGTTTGTATAATTATAATAGGTAATATGGTGTGTATATTCATGTGTTGAACTGCTGAATCTGGCATATGTGGCTGTGATTCGTTCATAGTTATTGAGGCCTACTACACGTTGGGTTGGGCGGGGGGCAGGTGCTATGCATGTAAGGGAAATCAGATGAGATGTAAGATAAGTTTCTTCCCCTTCAGAAAATTTAATTTTAGTGAAGGATGACAAGACAGGTTAAAATGAAACAGTAAATAGTGATGCAGCCTAGTAAGGATAATAGGCAATATTAAAGTTCAGAGAAAGGGCAATCGCAGTAGGCTGGAATAATCAGGCTGCTTCATAGAGGAAGCAGAACATGACTTAAGCATGAAGGGGGCAAAATGGTGTCTAGGTTGGGGAAAGGACAGAAAGAAAAGCTCAGAATAAGGAAGAGGATTTTGCAGTGAGAAGAACCTCAGGGCAAATTGGGCTCCACTAGGGCTATGTGACCAATTCTCTGAGCCTTCACTAAAGGCTCATTTATTAGACTGAGATGAAATTATTTACCTCATAGATCTGTTTTGAGGATTTAATAAAATAAAAATATGAGAGCACTTATCATAATGCCTAGAATATAGTAAGTGCCAGGAAGAAAACTGATTATCTTTTGTCCTTTCCTACAGACTAGAGAATGATAATGATATGTTCTAGGGACAATGGATAAACAAACTTGAGTGTAGCCAAGTCTGTGTGAAGGGATAGGAAGAGGTCCTTTCAAATAGAGAAAGGGGACCAGGTTATGGACAGCCTTGGATACCAGGCCCAGAGGCTTAGACTCGATTCTGCATGCAGTGGGAAGGCTATGTAGGTTTTTGAGGCCATAAATGATATAAAGAAATTAGCATTTGGAAACATATAGGATGGATTGAGGGACAGCAAGATGAAAGGAGGAGAAATATCATTTTAATTTAAAGTGTGTATTTTTCTTTACATGTTTTACATAGCTTTAATAAACAGAGTCTCAGCCATGAGAGATTATAGAGGACCTGACTGCCGATACCTGAACTTCACTAAGGGAGAAGAGATATCTGTTTATGTTAAACTTGCAGGAGAAAGGGAAGATTTGTGGGCAGGAAGTGTAAGTAACTACTTTTAAAAATTGAATGCAGAATAAATGACCAACTTGCACAAAGATTCCTTCCTTTTCTTTTCTTTTTTTTGGAAACAGGGCCTGGCTCTGTCGCCCAGGCTGGAATGCAGTGGTGTGATCACAGCTCACTACAACTTCCAGCTTCCAACTCCTGAGCTCAAGCCATCCTCCCACCTCAGCCTCCTGAGTAGCTGGGACTACAGGTGTGTGTCACCACGCCCGGCTAATTTTTGTATTCTTGGTAGAGACAGCATTTCACTCTGTTGCCCAGGCTGGTCACAAACCCCTGAGCTAAAGTAATCTGCCTGCTTCGGCCTCCCAAAGTGCCAGGATTACAGGTGTGAGCCACCGCACCCGCCCAAGGATACCTGCTTTTCATCTTTAAAGAAACGTTAAGAGTTTCAAAACACGGTGTATATATTAAGAACCCTTAATGTATTTAAACAAACAAAAATGATCATGTTCAGTGTTGGTTCCAATATTTCTATAAAAGAGGCTTTTTGGGAAGGCAGTATGGTTGGGATGGAGGGCTAAGAGAATGCCTTGAATTTATTTTTACATAGCATGCATTGTTTTTAAAATTATATTTTTATATTTATTTGGAGGGACTTCATATTATGGGATGGCTAGGCAACCCCAGTCATTTCTTGGTGCTGCCAATGGTCAAGGTTTTTGTTTGTTTGTTTTTTGAGACAAAGTCTCGCTCTTGTTGCCCAGGCTGGAGTGCAGTGGCGCGATCTCTGCTAACTGCAACCTCTGCCTCCCAGGTTCAAGCAACTCTCCTGCCTCAGCCTCCCGAATAGCTGGGATTACAGGCGTGTGCCACCATGCCCGGCTGCTTTTTGTATTTCTAGTAGAGATGGAGTTTCACCATGTTGGTCAGGCTGGTCTCAAACTCCTGACCTCAGGTGATCCACCCGCCTTGGCCTTCCAAAGAGCTGGGATTACAGGCGTGAGCCACTGCGCCCTGCCAATGGTCAAGTTTTAAAGAGACTGCAAAGTTTTAGTTAATCAGATTCAAAGACATGTGTTTCTGAGCAAATGAAGGGCTGAGTTGTTATTGAAGAGATCCCCAGAAAGGCTGGTAGCTAGGGAAGCTAGGTGTACAAGTTTTTTTTTTTTATTGAGACAGAGTCTCTCTGTCACCCAGACTGGAGTGCAGTGGCACGATTTCAGCTCACTGCAACCTCTACTTCCCGGGTTCAAGCTATTCTCGTGCCTCAGCCTCCCGAGTAGCTGGGATTACAGGTGTCTGCCACCACACCTGGCTAATTTTTGTATTTTTAGTAGTGACGGGGTTTCACCATGTTGGCCAGGCTGGTCTGGAACTCTTGACCTCAGGTGATCCACCTGCCTTGGCCTCCCAAAGGGCTGGGATTACAGGCGTGAGCCACTATGCCCGGCCCTAGGTGTATAAGTTTTTTATAGAAAAAAATAACAGCTTGGGCCAGGCTTGGTGGCTCATGCCTGTAATATCAGCACTTTGGGAAGCTAAAGTGGGCGGATCACTTGAGGCCAGGAGTTTGAGACCAGCTTGGACAACATGGCGAAACCTCATCTCTACTAAAAATATAAAAATTAGCCGGGTGTAGTAGTGCATGCCTGTAAAGCCAGTTACTTGAGAGGCTAAAGTGGGAGGATCGCTTGAGCCCAGAGGTAGAGGCTGCAGTGAACCATGATTGTACCACTGCACTCCAGCCTGGGTTACAAAGTGAGACCCTGTCTCAAAAAAAAAAAAAAAAAACCCAAAAAACAAAAAAACCTAGCTGATAGAGCTTTTTATTTGGCCCGAAGCTTTAGTATGCTGAAATTCCTAGAAGGTTAAATCATCTCTGAATATATAACATGGGAAAATTAATGATTAATACTTTCCATTGAAAAAAGGTTTATCTTTGATTGTATCATTATGGTTTATAATGAAAAGGTGCTATGATAAGTACTTTTACTCCCAAGCTGAACAAGCATGGTCGACTTGATACATGTATCACTTCCATATTACATATGCACCAGACCTCCTTTTTTGTATAGCCTCTGTGGTCACTGTTTGAAGGAGCATATTTTATTTAAAAATTCTGCTTTTCCCATCAGGGGCTATAGGACTGGACTTCTAATAGTCACTGGCCAGAATTGCTTGTCTGGCCTCTGCAGTTCCCAACTTTCCCTACTGCTTCTGGTGCCTTTAAAATGCCAGTCTAAGGCCAGGTGTGGTGGCTCATGCCTATAATCCCAGTGCTTTGGGAAGCTGAGGCAGGAGGAACACTTGAGACCAAGAGTTCGAGACTAGCCTGGGCAGCATAGCAAGAATACACACACACACACACACACAAATTAGTGGGGTGTTGTGGTACATGTTTGTAGTCCTAGCTACTTCAGAGGCTGAGGGAGGCAGAGGCAGGAGGACAGCTTGAGCCTGGAAGTTAGAGGTTACAGTGAGCTATGATTGCACTGCTGCACTCCAGCCTGGGCAACAGAGCAAGACTCTGTCTCTATTAAAAAACAAAAACAAAAACAAAAACAAAATCTATATCTTGAATTCATTGGAGGCATCCAATGCAGCCATACAAAAACTGACATCTTAGGTGTCATAAAAGGCAAAGAAAGCATTCTTTTTTATTTACTATACGTGAAAATAATGGTTCCACACAAAAGCAGTGTTTAATGTGTGCAGCCAGGGTGAAGTTTTAGGCACATTTAGTTTTGTGCATTTGATGTTTAGTTCATGCAGTTAGCTGTTTAAGGAACCACACTGTGGACCCACAGTCTGTCAGTTTCCAAATAGTTATGGCAACTGGAGAGCTGGACAAATCACAGTTGAGGTATAATGGTGCTGGATTAGAGGGCCAAAAGAAATATGTTCTTTAAAACTTTAACAGGGTTAGGAAATGCGCTGAGGGTGGATGGGTAAGCCTTCACCCTTGGGGCACAATCTGCCTGTGCTTGAACTGGGTGAAGAGGATCTCTGTTATCAAGGCAGCCCCAGAAAAGTAGAATGGAACCAAATCCTCCCTGAAGGACTTGTAGACCTTTACTATCATGATGAATCCATTTGTGGCCCTTCAGAGTTTAAACCGCCTGTCTGATTTTAACATCCTGAAAACATTGAATATGTCACTACTCCATCTAGCTTGGCTACCGCCGCCATTGCCTTGCCTTTTGATATCCCAGGTCTACTAGTGTAAATCTGCAGTTGACCTGGACAAGAAAGGTCGTTAAAGAACAGAAAAACGAATAAAATGAGTAAGTGGAACAGGTTTCCTTCTGAAGTTTGAAACAGTGACATTTTATGATTTGGCTCTTTGTTCCTTAAATAAATGCTCTTCTTTTGAATAACAAAAGAATATTATTTCACTCTTTTTTATATGGAAATTGATAGTCGAGTAATGTTTGCGATTCAGAGTAGATGAAAGCCAAGGACATGGGACAAAATTAGGTTCAATAATTATTATTGCTTTGATCATTCTTCCTCGATAATCTTTGTTCTTCATTTTGACAGAAAGGAAAGGAGTTTGGATATTTTCCCAGAGATGCAGTCCAGATTGAAGAGGTGTTCATATCTGAGGAAATTCAGATGTCAACGAAAGTGAGTAAACTCATTCTCAGTTGTTAATTGAATTTAAAATTTCTTGGTTAAAACAGTTTTCCCAGGTATCAGTGCCTATTGGTTATGTACCTTTTATAGTAAATGCATAAAATAGTTGGCCTGAGAACTTACTCTAGGAATAGCTTGAATATTTGAATAAAATTAAGTAAGACAAATTAGGTGACAGTAAAAGATTTTGCTTTCTGAACAATTAACAGACAGGCAGTAGAGTGTAATTGTTAAGAGCATGGATTCTGGAGATGGACTGAGTTTAAAGTCTGACTCAACCACTTACAAGCTATGTGGCCTGGTATGCCTCAATTTCCTTATCTGTAAAATGGGGGTGCTGAGTATAATATAGTGCTACCTTACATATATTGAAGAATAAATGAGTATATGTAAAGTACATAGAACAGCATTAAATGCTCAGTAAGTGTTATATATTATTACTAATGCTATTGTCTTACTAAGATAAAAGTTTATTTTCCACCACGCTCCTTAGTCTCATATCTGTACATCCTCTTTTGCTGTTGGAGTTTTTCATGAGCATGATAATGTTGGGCTTCAAGGGAATCAGGAGGTGGCTTTTCAATTAATAAACTTGGTTAGCTCATTTAATTCAGATTCTGGGTTAAGCCAATTTACCTTAAATAAGGTCAGCGAGAAGTGAGTCTATCTAGTTAAACAAACTGCCTATTTTCTGGCTCTTTCCCATCACAAACTCTGGGATTAGCTGTCTATTTACTGTATAATAATTGGTCCTGTCAGTTCTATCTCTAAAATATATCTGGAGTATATTGTCTTCTCTTCAATTCCATTTTCGCCCTAATTCAAGGCACCATCATCTCTTGGCTGGAAAGCAGTGGTACAATCAAACTGTACTACAGCCCAGAATTTCTGGGGCTCAAGCAATCCTCCCGCCTCTGCCTCACCAATGGCTGGGACTACAGGTGTGCCAACATGAGCAGCTTCATCTATTGATTAGAATACTAAGTAGCCTTCTAACTATACTTCTTGCCTATACTTTTGCCCTCTTTCAATCCATTCTCCAAACAGTAATGAATCTTGTAAAAACAAAAAATCTGATTATGTCATTCCTTTGGTTAAAGCCCTTTAGTGGCTTTTCACTGGACCTGGAATAAATCCCAGACTTCTTACCCTGGCTTCGCATTCCCACATGATCTGCTCCTGCCTCCTTTGCTGACCCTGTCTCTGGTGCCACTCTCCCCTCACTCACCATGATCCTGGCTAATCTGGACTTTTGACTGTTCTTAGAACATGCCAGGCTCTTTCCCAGCCTGGGGACCCAAACAGGCTATTTCTTCTGGTTGGAATGCTTTCCCCAAATACTTCACTTGGCTAGTTCCTTCTTATCCATTAGGCCTGAGATTAAACATCAGTGCCTCCTAGGAAACTTTTGGAAGCAAAGGATATGTTTTAATATCTGGATTGTGGTGATGGTAACACAAGTGTATACATTTGTTCAAAAGCATACATTCATTATATGCAGTTTATGTATACCAATTATACCTCAATAAAACTGAAATGAAAGTATGCTGAGTTTGAAAATTAAAAATAAAAACCAGTGCCTTGGAGAGGCCTTCCATGATGATTCTAAAGGAATTATTGCTTCTTAATCACAGCTTTCTGTTTATTTCCTTCATAGTACTTATTGCATTTTTTTTTTTTTTGAGATGGAGTTTCACCTCTTATTGCCCAGGCTGGAGTGCAATGGCATGATCTCTGCTCACTGCAACCTCCGCCTCCTGGGTTCAAGTGATTCTCCTGCCTCAGCCTTCCAAGTAGCTGGGATTACAGGCACCCACTGCCAAGCCTGGCTATTTTTTGTATTTTTAGTAGAGATGGGGTTTCACCATGTTGGTCAGGCTGGTCTTGAACTCCTGACCTCAAGTGATCCACTTGCCTCGGCCTCCCAAAGTGCTGGAATTACAGGTGTGAGCCACCACACCTGTCCTCATTTATTGCAATTTACAATTAGTTTTTTCTGTTGTTTACTGCAGAATCCCAGCACCTAGCACAGTGCCAGGCACAAAGTAGCACACAGATGCCTCAAATTCTTATGTCAAGTTCCCTGGGAAACAGATATTGAGATGAATCTTTGCATCCAAGAAGTTTGCTGGGTAGTACTCTTGGGAATAGCACCTGTGAAGAACAAAAGAAAAAGCGGGACTTGGCTGGGCATTGTGGCTCACATCTGTAATCCCAGCACTTTGGGAGGCTGAGATGGGCGGATCACTTGAGGTCAGGAGTTCAAGACCAGCCTGACCAACATGGTGAAACCCCGTCTCTACTAAAAATACAAAAATTAGCTGGGTGTGGTGGTGCACGCCTGTAATCCCAGCTACTTGGGAGGCTGAGGCAGGAGAATTGCTTGAACCCAGAAGGCGGAGGTTACAGTGAGCCAAGATTGCTCCACTGCACTCCAGCCTGGGTGACAGAGTGAAACTTTGTCTCAAAAAAAAAAAAAAAAGAAGACAAAGAAAAAAGAAGCATGACCAGGCAGACAGAGAAGTCAAATTGTGATGTAGTTGCAGTGAAGGTCTCAGTTGATTTCCTAAGGAGCTCTGGAGCTGCAATGGCCCTTTGGAGTTGTCTTTAATAGAGAGAGAGGCAAGACGATTTGGGCCTTTTATCCCCACATTTCTCATTGTATCTGGGGTACTGTAACTTTGGGCTGGGATATGGGAGTATTTACTAGAGACAGTTACTATTCTAAACACTTGACTCATTTAATCCTCACGACACCTCGGTAAAATAGGTACTGTCAGTTTCCCTGGAGGATTCAAGGAGGAAATTTCCCTCTGAAAGTCAGATGAAAAGTCAACTTGCAAAAGGAAGATTAATAAGTGAAAAGGCATACAAATTTATTTGATCACAATTTTACGTGACACACGAAACTTCAGAATGAAGAACCAGGCTGGGGGTGGTGGCTCATGCCTGTAATCCCAGCAGTTTGGGAGGCCAAGGCAGGTGGATCATCTGAGGTCAGGAGTTTGAGACCAGCCTGACCAATACGGTGAAACCACGTCTTTACTAAGAATACAAAAATTAGCCAGGTGTGGTGATGTGCGCCTGTTTTCCCAGCTACTTGGGAGGCTGAGACAGGAGAATTGCTTGAACCCGGGAGGCAGAGGTTGCAGTGAGTGGAGATCATGCCACTGCACTCCAGACTGGGCAACAGAACGAGACTCCATCTCAAAAAACAAACAGAAAAAAGAATGAAGACCCGAAGATACAGAGGAAACTGTCCATTTTTATGCTTAGCTTCAATAAAGTATGGATAGCCCTGTAGAGATATGACTGAACAAAAAGGGTATGATCTAATGCAGTAGACTGAGTGGGGGAACCCAGAAAAGCCTGTCTGTCTGGATTCTTCTTGGCTTTGCTGAGCATGCATTGCATCTTTCTGGCTATAGGGCAGGGCCTTCCCTGGAATGGGGGTCTTACGCCCTACAATCAAACAAGGTAGGTCAGATAATTTATAAATAGCTTTGCATAGAAAAGAGGAGGAAAAATTAGAGTAATAATTTTAGATTATATGGCTGGCTTTGGAGAAAAGGGGTTCTGGTTTCTATGACCTGCCTTGGGAAAGGGGGATTCTACTTTCTATGACTAGCCTCAGGGGAAAATGAGACTGAGAGGTGGAGAATAGGAGAAGGTCAGAAAATAATTTTGCTTCTGATGCCTTCATTTCAGGGGTATTTCTGAGCCCCAACATCCCCATCTTACAGATGAAGGAGATTGAGGCATAGAAAGATCATAAAATTCACCCAAGTTCACAGAGGTAGTAGATGGCAGGGTTGGGCATTGAAGCCAAAGGGTTTGACTCCAGAGTCTGTTCTTAATCATGTACTAGACTGCAGTGCCAAGTATATATTGTAAAATTGCAATTCTGAAGCTTATTCTTTAAAAAACCTAAACTTTATTCTCATTTCCTAATGGTAATATCCAAAGGCAGCACACATCGCTATTTCTAACATTCAGATTAAAAAAAAAGTCTTCATCATGTTTCTTCTTAATGATTTGGTGGTTCTGTGAGATGAGCAAGTAGATCCTCACTTCCATTGGCTGTATGCAATATCTCAATAAATAAAGTCAAATTGTTTTAGTGCAACTTTTTTTTTTTTTTAAACAGGTCTCACTCTGTCACCAAGGCTGGAGTGCAGTGGTGCAATTATAGTCCACGGGAGCCTCAACCTCCCAGGCTCAAGTGATCTTCCCACCTCAGCCTCCAGAGTAGCTGGGACTACAGCGCATGCCACTATGCCTGGCTAATTTTTGTATTTTTTTGTAGAGACAGGGGTTCTCCATGTTGCCCAGGCTGGGTATAAACTCCTGGGCTCAAGCAGTCTGCCCACCTCAGCCTCCCCAAGCACTGGGATTACAGGCATGGGCCGCCGCACCTAGCTAACCTTTTTTTTTTTTAAAGACAGGATCTTGCCTTGTTGCTTAGGCTGGAATGAAGTGGTGCAATCATGGCTCACTGCAGCTTGACCTCCTGGGCTCAAGCAGTCCTCCTGCCTTGGCCTCCCAAAGTGCTGGAATTACAGGCATAAGCCACTGTGTCCAGCGTTTTGGTGCAACTTTTAACAAGGTTTTCATGCTTTAGAGCAGAGGTGTCCAATCTTTTGGTTTCCCTGGGCCACCCTGGAAGAAGAAGAATTAATTGTCTTGTGCCACACATAAAATACACTAATATAGCTGATGAGCTAAAAAGAAATATTGCAAAAAAAAAATCCCATAGTATTTTTTAAAAGTTTATGAATTTTTGTTGGGCCACATTCAAAGCCATCCTGGGCTGCATGCAGCCTGTAAGCTGCAGGTTGGACAAGCTTGCTTTAGAGTCTCTGGTCTGTCTGAGCTATAACCATATGCTGTGAAATTCCCCTCTTAGTCAATGTTGTGCTGCTATAACAGAATACCAGAGACTGGATACCTTACAAAGAAAATAAATTTATTTCTCACAGTTCTGAAGGCTGAGAAGTCTTCTTGATGCAACATCTCATACTGGAAGGCAAGATGGGGAGAAAGCGAGAGAGAGAGAGCAAGACAGGCGCTGAACTGGTGGTCCTTTTATAAGGGAACCCACTCCTGTGATAACAAGCCCGCTCATGTAGTAATGGCATTAATCCCACCCATTCTGCCCTTATGGACTGATCACCTCTCACCAGGCCTCACCTGTCAACAATATTGCATTTGGGATTAAGTTTCCAATATATGGTTTTTGGGGACACAGTCAAACCATAGAACCCTACCTCAAATCAAGGCAAACACACATGTGTTCAGTCAGTGTGTTCTTAGGAGGTACAAGATTTTGTGGATATGCATGCCTTTTCATCAGATTTTGTTTGCAGAATACACTGAAAGCATTGATTGCCTCTGCTTCTCAAACATTTCAATTATTTTTAAAAATTTTTATTTATTTATTTATTTATTTATTTATTTTGAGACAGAGTCTCACTCTGTCACCCAAGCTGAAATGCATTGGTGCGATCTTGGCTCACTGCAACCTCTGCCTCCTGGGTTCAAGCAATTCTCCTGCCTCAGCCTCCTGAGTAGCTGGGACTACAGGCGCCCACCACCATGCCTGGCTAATTTTTGTATTTTTTAGTAGAGATGGGTTTCGCCATGTTGGCCAGGCTGGTCTCGAACTCCTAAGCTCAGGCAATCCACCCGCCTGAGCCTCCCTAAGTGCTGGGATTACAGGCGTGAGCCACCATACCTGGCCCCAAAATTCCAACTATTTAATAACAAATAAATCATAATGGGCCTGGGGCAGTGGCTCACATCTGTAATCCCAGTGCTTTGGAAAGCTGAGGCAGGATGAATGCTTGAGGCCAGAAGTTCAAGTTCAGCCTGGGCAACATAGCGAGACTCTATCTTCACAATTTTTAAAAATTAGCTGGGTATAGTAACAGCTACTTGGGAGGCTGAGGAGGGAGGATTGTTTGAATCCTGGAGTTCAAGCAAGCTGTGAGCTCTGCTCCAGCCTGGGAGCAGAGCAAGACCCTGTCTCTAAAAACAAACAAAGAAACAAAAAACCATAATGTAAAAGGTTTTTCATTTAGGTTTACATAATTAGCCTTGAAGTCAGTTGTGATACAAGTGTTTGAGTTTTTGCTCTGCTGTTGAGCTAGTCATGTGTCTTGGGAATATCACAATCATCCATTTTAAATGACTCAGGGAGAAACAAGGAGCTCTAGTACATTCATGTTAATCATATATATATTTTTTCCTTTTAGGAATCTGACTTTCTTTGTCTTCTTGGAGTAAGTTACACATTTGACAATGAAGATAGTGAATTAAACGGTGATTATGGTGAAAATATATATCCTTATGAAGAAGATAAAGATGAAAAATCTAGTATATATGAAAGTGATTTTCAGATAGAACCTGGATTTTATGCAACTTATGAAAGTACTTTGTTTGAAGACCAAGTTCCAGCATTAGAGGCTCCTGAAGATATCGGAAGTACCAGTGAATCAAAAGACTGGGAAGAAGTAGTTGTTGAAAGTATGGAACAGGATCGTATTCCAGAAGTGCATGTCCCACCATCTTCAGCTGTGTCTGGAGTCAAAGAATGGTTTGGATTGGGAGGAGAACAAGCTGAAGAGAAGGCTTTTGAATCAGTTATTGAACCTGTACAAGAAAGCTCATTTCGGAGTAGAAAAATAGCAGTGGAAGATGAGAATGACCTAGAGGAATTAAATAATGGTGAGCCTCAAACAGAACATCAGCAAGAATCTGAATCAGAAATTGATTCAGTGCCAAAGACACAGTCTGAACTAGCATCTGAGTCAGAGCACATTCCCAAACCTCAATCCACTGGTTGGTTTGGTGGAGGATTTACAAGTTATTTAGGTTTTGGAGATGAGGATACAGGGCTTGAATTAATAGCTGAAGAAAGCAATCCACCACTACAAGATTTTCCCAATTCCATATCATCTGATAAAGAAGCCACAGTTCCATGTACAGAAATATTAACAGAAAAAAAAGACACAATCACTAATGATAGCTTGAGTCTCAAGCCAAGTTGGTTTGATTTTGGTTTTGCTATACTAGGCTTTGCATATGCCAAGGAAGATAAAATTATGTTAGATGACAGGAAAAATGAAGAAGATGGTGGGGCAGATGAACATGAACATCCTCTAACAAGTGAATTAGACCCTGAAAAAGAACAAGAAATAGAAACGATAAAAATTATAGAAACAGAAGATCAAATAGACAAGAAACCAGTCTCAGAAAAAACAGACGAATCTGATACTATACCATATTTGAAAAAGTTCTTGTATAATTTTGACAACCCTTGGAACTTCCAGAACATTCCAAAGGAAACAGAATTGCCATTTCCCAAACAGATACTGGATCAAAATAATGTAATTGAAAATGAAGAAACTGGAGAATTTTCCATTGATAATTATCCCACAGATAATACAAAAGTTATGATATTCAAAAGTTCATACAGTCTGTCAGGTTGGTATGAAAATATTTACATTAGAATTTATTTTATTTTTAAACATAATTTATTTTTATAAGTGCAAATCAGATGAAAAAGTCCAGGAATCCACGTTTTTCAGAATACTTAGCTCTTTCATCAATTTCCAGTTTACTCTGGAATTTAGATCTTAATATTATAAAATAAAATCTCAACAGAAAAACAATGATTGGAGATCTAAAGATGCTCCAAGAAAATCTTAAAGTATTTTACAATAAATTTTAATTTTTATCAGAATATTGTATGTAAATAGTTTAAAATTTGAAATAGTGCTAAGGCATTTTTTTTTTTTGACAAAAGCAATTTCTGTTCTCTCCATCTACCTCCACTCCCACTGCTTTCCCAGAGACAGTAATTTTCTTTTTTTGTTTTTAAAGCAGTATCTTTTTAGTATTTAAGAGTTTTCTAAATAGAATCTTTATACTGTCCTGCTTTGATTATCCTATTTTAGATAATGTCTATTGATTTCCTATTCTGGTAGGTGTGGATTTTCTCATTCACATTCGCTTTTTAGCCCAATAACACCTTCCCAATACAACTATATTTGAACGATTTTCTTAGAAACCTAAGCTAAGGGAAACTTTTTTTTTTTTCCAGACAGGGTCTCACTTTATCGTCTAAGCTGGAGTGCAGTGGCATGATCTCAGGTCACCGCAGCCTCGACCTCCTGGGCTCATGCAATTCTCTCACCTTAGCCTCCCAAGTAGCTGGGACTATGGCCATGTGCCAACACAGCCGCTAATTTTTGTATTTTTTGTAGAGACGGGGTTTCACTATGTTGTCCATGGTGGTCTCGAACTCCTGAGCTCAAGCGATCTGCCCCACTCAGCCGCCCAAACTGCTAGGATTACAGGTGTGAGCCATCGTGCCTGGCCAGCTAAAGGAAAGTTTAATTAAATAGTTTTGATTATTAAATTAGATCTTATTCTAGGTCTGCAGTTTTGTTTTTCCTAAGAAGAACTAGGATAACAAGAGTTTTCTTTTGTTTTTGTTTTGAGACAAGGTTTCACTCTGTCACCTACACTGGAGTGCAGTGGTGCGATCACAGTTCACTGCAGTCTCAATCTCCAGGGCTCAATCTATCCCTCGACCTCAGCCTCCTGAGTAGCTGGGACTACAAGTCTGCACCATTACACCCAGCTAATTTATTTTTATATGTCGTGGAGATGGGGTCTCCTTATGTTGTCCAGGCTGGTCCCAACTCCTAGGCTCAAGGGATCCTCCCACTTCAGCCTCTCAAAGTGCTGGGAATACAGGCTCAAGGGATCCTCCCACTTCAGCCTCTCAAAGTGCTGGGAATACAGGCATGAGCTACCGTGCCCAGCTGATAACAAGGGTTTTCTTTAAGTTTCAAGGTAATAAGAAAACTCAAGCAAAAAAAAAAAGGGAAAAAGTTTTCAACTTTCTCCCTCAAGTCCCTGAATTCTGAGAGTTCAACAGTGGGCAACAGAATATAAGATAATACTTTCAGATCTAGATGTCCAGGTATCTAGCAACTTCTATGATTAAAAACATGTGGATGGTATTTTAAGTAGAAAACTTTATGACTTTCCGACATCTCCATCCTTATGACTCTATGATGGACAGAATATAAATGCAGCAAATATTGACCAATAATACAAAAACAAACCCTAGAATGACAGAAAACCTTTTACAGGAAGAGGGCAACAAACTCAGAAGGAAACACATTTCCATTAGAACCAGGTGATTTTTTTGAATTTCCAGAACTATACGTAATACCTTAACATTCCCTAAAATGTGAGCTCTCTACTCAACATCCTCAACCAACATATAGATATTTAGATTCTAACCCTTTTCCAAATGAGAAAGGTGTAGGCGTGATGCTTTTTATGACTAAAAAGCTTAGAGACCTTTTTAGGTTGTTAAAGGCTAATTAAAAGGTAAATTCTCTTGTTCTAAACTTGTTAGATCCTAAAGGAATATTTATGAAAAGGCAGATCACAGTAATTAGAAGGAAGACAGACTACAACCAAACAATATTAGATCCAGAAATCCAGATGATTCCAAAGATTGATATATAAAAATATTTTAGAGCACAATCATAGAAACTCAAGGAATACAAAAGGATTTCACAAAAAAATCACTTTCGTACATTTTATTTAGCTGGGAGTGTTGGTGTGATCCTATAGTCCCAGCTACTTGGGAGGCTGAGGTGGGAAATCACTTGAGCCTAGGAGTTCGAGGCCGGCCTGGGCAACACAGTGACACTTTTTCTCTAAAGAAAATATTGGCGGGGTGTGGTGGCTCATGCCTGTAATCCTAGCACGTTGAGAGGCCGAGGCAGGCAGATTACTTGAAGTCAGGAGTTTGAGACCAGCCTAGCCAACATGATGAAACCCTGTCTCTACTAAAAATAGAAAAATTAGCTGGGCATGGTGGTGTGCCCCTGTAATCCCAGCTACTTGGGAGGCTGAGGCATGAGAATCACTGGACCCCGGGAGGCGGAGGTTGCAGCGAGCTGAAATTGCGCCACTGCACTCCAGCCTGGGCAATAGAGTGAGACTCAGTCTCAAAAAAAAATATGCATATATATATATATATATATATATTTAAAATTTATCATTTTATATAGAGATACTGGAAGAATTTCTAAAATTGGTAAATAGTTAAATGACAATAGGATGTTCCTGCAATTTTAACTAGTTTTGAGGAACTTTTATGAAAATATTCAGAAATTATTTTAAATTTCAGAAAAAAAGACGTCATTTATTAACAAAGTGGGCTATTCCAAAACACTACAATATTAAATAAGAATTGAATGAAAAGCAACACGAGATCATGCAAAAATTTGTTTTTAAAAAAGCATCCTAAAAGAGAGATTTCTATAAAGCCACAGGCCCTATATTCTGGATATTAGAGAAAGAGTTAAACAGCCAATCTTTTCTGAAGATTCCAACAACTCTTTCAGGGAATAACAAATGAAAACTTGCTGTAATTATAGTGCATAAGCAAGATGAATCACTGATCTTGAATCTCTGTGAAAGGCTCAGACTTGAGATAACCACATTTATAGAAAACTAACATATTGATTTAGGAATTTACAAAACGGGTAAACTAGGGAACGGTTATTTATATTACAATGTGCATAACGATTTTACAAAAGGATTCCAATTGTGCATACTTAAATAATGAGTCTCCCCAGTACAGTTAAATATTAAAAATTATTATTTTGACTTAAAATTCTGCTAATAAGCAATGATAAAAGCATATCTGTATTTAATATAAATCTTAAAGCTTAGGTTTAAATGTGTAAATAATATCTAAAAATATAATTAAATATGAAAATAGTATAGGGAATATTCATTTTTCTTATATATTTATTTCAAATGCAGTTTAAAACAGTATTTTAAAATAATCAATATAGCTACATATAAATTTGAGTATAATTATTGAATAATCCTTTTTTTCTTATAGCATAAAACATTATTGTAGATCACTACTTGAGTCCTGTATGTACAATAATCCCTTTGAATACAGACTCCTGATTTGTATGCTCTTGTTAAGTATTATCATCCACAGGTGCTATTACTAAATTACTGGTATGTGTTTGCTCAATTGGGACTTTCATCTTTTAAACAATGATAAATAAATGAAACTGTCAAAGTGCTATGTTAAGACTCACAAGCTCAAAGAGCAAAATTAGACATTGAACAATTCACTTACTACTCTTTATTATTGTTTTTCAGGACCACACTGATACTTTTTTTAAGATATTACACCTTCTGTTTAACAAATGCATACATAGCAGGAATGAAATCTGAAGGGAATCTATGTGCTGCCTTATTCTTAGTCATATATACTATATATGTACATATATAGTACAACAGAATTGTTGACAGTTATGTTAGTTTTAGGGTTTTTTAAAAGTAATTTTTAGGACAAAAAGGCACGTTAGAGAATAGAATTATATATAGCTTTTGTAATTCTTCCTTGGCTGAGGAATAAAGAAAAGGCTATGTAGTAGGCTGAATAAAAGCCCCCTAAAAGATGTCTATATCTTAACCCCCAGACCCTGAGAATATGTTACTTTACATGGTGGAAAGGACCTTGCAGATGTGATTAGGGATCTTGAAATGGAGAGATTATCCTTGTGTGTCTAATATAATTACAAGGCTACTTATAAGAGGAAGGCAGGGGTATCAGAGTAAGACAGAGATTAGAAGATGCTACACTGCTGGCTTTGAAAATGGAGGATGGGGCCATGAGTCAAGGAATGCAGGAGGCCTCCAGAAAGCAGAAAAAGCAAGGAAATAGATTCTGCCCTAGAGCCTCCTGAAGGAATGCAGCCTTGACAACTTTAACACCTTGGTTTTAGAATTTCTGACTTCCAGAACTCTAAGAGGATACATTTGCATTGTTTAAACCACTAAGTTTTGGTAATTTATCTTACTAGCAATAGGAACTAATACAGGATACAATTTATGTTTTAGTGTGTCCTTTCTTTAACGAAGTATCATAATGACCTACAAAAGTTCAGAAAAATGACCTGCCTAGAAAACAAAAGGGGAGCCCTCAACAAAGCAAGTATTTTGGAAAAACACATTTCTTTTTATTTATTTGTAGATATGGTCTCTAACATAGAGTTACCTACGAGAATTCACGAAGAAGTATATTTTGAACCCTCATCTTCTAAAGATAGTGATGAAAATTCGAAACCATCAGTAGACACCGAAGGGCCTGCTCTGGTGGAGATAGACAGATCTGTGGAAAATACCCTGCTAAATAGTCAGATGGTTTCAACTGATAACTCTTTGTCTTCTCAAAATTATATTTCTCAGAAAGGTAAGAAACAGGTTATTTATTCTCTAATGCATCAATTAAGGAAGAAATTAGAATCAGAAGTTATATAATATCATGCTAACATATTTTTATTTATAAATCAACAGAAGATGCTTCTGAGTTTCAGATTCTGAAATACTTATTCCAAATTGATGTTTATGATTTCATGAATTCTGCATTTTCACCAATTGTAATTCTTACAGAAAGGGTAAGTTTGCCTTTTAAACCTTTTGCAATAATTTTACCTATTTTGCTAAATATAAGAGTGGCTACAAAATATGTTTGAATGAATCCTCCCTGTTTAATGTTTATATAATGTTTCTCTTTCCATGACATCTTACCTGTAAGATTTCTCTTTATATGAATGTTTTGTCAAATGGATATTGATTTTTAAAAACATTTCCCTAAGTTTTGTTGATGTTGATCTTGAGCGGTGTTTGCTTTTTACTCCACCCTCCCCATTTTTCAAATTAGGGAAAGTTAGGTACTAAATAAGTTAACTCAGGAATAATAGGAACTAGAGCTGGGTGTGGTGGTGTGTGCCTGGAGTTCCCACTACTTAGGAGGCTGAGGCAGGAGGATCCTTTTACTGAATGTAACAAGGAGAATAAAAGGGAAGAGTGAGCCCAAGGGTTTGAGACCAGTCTGGGCAACATAGCTAGACCTTATCTCTTAAAAAAGAAAAAAAAAAACCTAAACTAAAAAAAACTGAAAATGAAAAGCAACTTGTTTGTATTCAATTGAGAGTTGTAACCTCAAAATGGTATAATGTTGGAGTACAAAAGCAACTAATATATCAAAATTTAACCAAGCTGTAACTGAAATTCCAAATTCTATTTTCACTTGTAAATTTTACTATTAAATGAGATATTGCAAAAGGACTAGCTGTAGTACTTGGCATATAAGAGATCTTTTACAAATGTTCCTTTTCTCATCTACTGCTGTGATAGAAATAATTGAGGAAGCACTTTTATCTTCTTATTTATGTTCTAAGCTGAAATTTAATAGTGGTTGTCTTCAAGGAGCTCACTCTAGTTGGAGGACACAGATAAAAAAGTAATAATTTTAATATAGTGCTATAATAGTCACAGGGTGCTACTGATATGCAGGAGTAGCTGCCTAGTAGATTGATTGGGAGTGTTAGGTAGAGAGGGTGGGGAGAAGGAGCCTGGGAGAATGTCCCAGAGAAGATCATATTTGAGCTGATTTTGAAGGAAGAGTAGGAGTTAGCCAGACAAAGAAAGGATAGGCATTCTAGGTTGAGAAGAGCACTTTTAAAGTAGTGAAGTGGGAGAGAATATGGCACTTTTGGAGCACAATAAGCAATTGAGTTTGATTGAACATAGGCTGAAGTTGAAGAAGTACAGAGGGGTCAAATAATAGGGAGTTCAACTCTATCTTGTAGATGATGGGGCACTATTGAATTTTAAGCAGGGAGTAAAATGAAAAAGTTTGATTTATAAAGTCTATCAATGCTGTCAAATAAAGATTAAAGGGGTAAAGACCAGAGGCAGGGAGTCCAGTCAAGAAGCTGTTGCATTAGTTCTGAAAATGAGGAAATAGCGAAAATCCAAATCAGGGTATACTAACTCAAATGAAATGAGTGAAGTGTGGGTAAAGGTGAGAACTGTAGCCAACTAGAGATTGTATGCGCTGTCTAAAGGATAAAGGTACTACTTGCCTTCAGCCTAGTTTCCCAGATACTCTGATTTTCAAGAAAAGCTGGAAATCTGGATTTTTGTGTGTGAAATCTCACAATTTTTAATACTGGCAAATATTCAGAGTAAAATAAAACACCATGCAGTTCAGAAAAAGTATTCTGTGAGTGGGATTTGGCCCACTAACCACATTTTTTAGCCTCTGGTCTAACATCCGATGGTGGCAGTCGAAATGATTGGAAGGACAAATTGGATAGATCTTTTGTAGACAGAATCGTTGGATTTAATGACTGACTGAATGCAGCATGGAGAATTATAAGGAAAAGTGAGGATACCAGGTTTCCAGCTCAGGGACCTGATAACTTATGAGGTTTCTAGCTTGGGGGACCTGTTAGATGGTGGTGCCATTGAGTCTTTGTGAAAACTGGGCTTAATAGCATACATCATTTTGCTTTCAGAGGCCTCTTCCTCACTTAATTTTTTTTTGCTTGATTCAAGAGAGTTGACATTACATGATAAATAAGCTTAGAGAAATCATTAATTTATTCTGTATGATTTGGTGTTGAAGATGTTGATTATAAAACGTTCATTAGGCTGGGCATGGTGGCTCAGGCCTACAGGCCTGAGTGTAATCCCAGCACTTTGGGAGGCCAAAGTGGGCCGATCAGTTGAGGTCAAGAGTTCAAGGCCAACCTGGCCAACATGGTGAAACCTCGTCTCTACAAAAAATACAAAAATTAGCTGGGCGTGGTGGCGCGCATCTATAATCCCAGCTACTTGAGAGGCTGAGACACAAGAATTGCTTGAACCTGGGAAGCGGAGGTTGCAGTGAGCCAAGATCATGCCACTGCACTCCAGCCTGGGCCATAGAGTAAGACTCTGTCTCAAACAAACAAACAAAACAAAAACAGAAAAAGTTAGAAATCTGTCCCAGGTTAGGAGAAAAGAAAAACTAACAATAATGATAATTACAAAATAGTCCATAATAAAACTTTCAACTCCCCATGGAATTAATTCTACTTTTTGGTATGTCTTGCTGACCTCTTAATCCCCTCCTCCACAAATTATATGAATGAAGTTAAATAATTGAACAGATAATTTGCTGATCAACACATGATACTCACTTCTATATAAAGTGCTTATTTAATCAAGTCTATACTAAATATGCTTATTTTTGTGGACTCAGTAAACATAGTCAAATACATTTTACTTGGACAATTTTGGATGAAATTATTTAGACATGAAAATATTGAATTTAAATTTATGTTAATTATCTTGTGATCTTGGAAAGTCACTTATTGTCTGGGAAGGAGTTCCAGTTTGAAAATTCCAATAACAGAAGCTGAGATGAGATCACAGGCTGCTGGTCAAAACTGGCTTTGTATTGTCTAAGAAAATTATGAATCAGTTGTCAACATTTAAAAGGTGAGCTCATATTAAAATCTGAATTTCTGGGTTCTCTTGAAAAAGTAGAAGACTGTGATACATAGTTGCCAATTTTTCTGGAGCAAAAAGAAACTCAAGTTGGTTAGTGCTTGCTTACATAGACATGGACTCTCCATTTTCCTACATTTATGTCAACTGCTTGGTCTCTACAGGGCTTTAAGTTCATAATCTTCAGGCTAAATATTCTGAGAGTTCCTGCTAGATCTAGGATTCTAACAATGTGAATGTATCTATTAAGCACCCATAGTATAAATTTGAATAGCTGTAGTAAATGGAAAATTTGAGCAATTTTCCAGTTACATTTAGGTGAAAGGTTTCCTTTTCTTCTTGTCTAAATATTTTAGGTAATTCTTCCAATTCATTGTAGTTTCAGGTAGATTTTGTGCAGAACATACTTGCTTTGTAATGTTCAAGTACTAGGGATCAACACTACATTTTTCTTTTGAAAATTAAAATGATATTTCTTAAGTGATTCCATCACATCAAAAGCAATGGAAAATTAAAGGAGGCAGCTTTTTAAAAAAAAATAACAAAGAAATTATGAGAAAGCAAAAGGTTTTGGAAAAAAATGATTTTTAATTTTTAAGATTCCAAAAATGTGAAGAAATTGGAATCAGCACTACTGAAAACTGAATAAGTGTTTTGCAAGTTCAAATATAGAAACTATCTAAAAAAGAAAAATAAACATAAATAGGAATTATGAGTAAAAAAAGAAAATATAGAACAAGCCAAGAGACTTATGCCAAGAATAGAATTTCCAGAAGGAGAGAAGGTAAATGAAGAGAAGGAAGCAACAATTCAAGAAATTTTAGAAAGAAAACTTATCTGAGCTTTAACGGTAATCAAGTTGGTTTTGAGTGAGATTCTTAATCCTGAGTTCTAGTTTGATTGCACTGTGGTCTGAGAGACTGTTACGATTTCCATTCTTTTGCATTTGCTGAGGTGTGTTTCACTTCTAATTAAGTGTTATGTGGTACTGAGAAAAATATTCTGTTGATTTGGGTTAGAGAGTTCTGTAGATGTCTATTAGGTCGGCTTGGTCCAGAGCTGAGTTGAAGTCCTGAATAACCTTGTTAATTTTCTGTCTCGTTGATCTGTCATAATATTGACAGTGGGGCATCAAAGTCTCCCAGTATTATTGTGTGGGAGTCTAAGTCTCGTTGTAGGTCTCTAAGAACTTGCTTTATGAATCTGAGTGCTCCTGTATCGGGTGCATATATATTTAGGATAGTTAGCTCTTCATGTTGCATTTATCCCTTTACCATTATGTAATGCCCTTTTCTTTTTTTTGATCTTTGTTGGTTTCAAGACTGTTTTATCAGAGACTAGGATTGCAACCCTCCTTTTTTTTTGCTTTCCATTTGCTTGGTAAATCTTCCTCCATCCCTTTGTTTTGAGCCTATGTGTGTCTTTGCACGTGAGATGGGTCTCCTGAATACAGCACACTGATGGGTCTTGACTCTTTATCCAATTTGCCAGTCTCTGTCTTTTAATTGGGGTATTTAGCCCATTTACATTTAAGGTTAATATTGTTATGTGTGAATTTGATCCTGTTGTCATGATGCTAGCTGGTTATTTTGCATATTAGTTGATGCAGTTTCTTCATAGTGTCATTAGTCTTTATATTTTGGTGTGTTTTTGCAGTGGCTGGTACCAGTTTTTCCTTTCCATATTTAGTGCTTCTTTCAGGAGCCCTTGTAAGGCAGGCCTGTTGGTGACAAAATCCCTCAGCATTTGCTTGTCTGTAAAGGACTTTATTTCTCCTTCACTTTTGAAGCTTAGTTTGGCTGGATATGAAATTCTGGGTTGAAAATTGTTTTCTTTAAGAATGTTGAATATTGGCCCCCACTCTCTTCTGGCTTATAGGATTTCTGCAGAGAGATCTGCTGTTAGTCTGATGGGCTTCCCTTTGTAGGTAACCTGACCTTTCCCTCTGGCTGTCCTTAACATTTTTTCCTTCATTTCAACCTTGGTGAATCTAATGATTATGTGTCTTGGGGTTGCTCTTCTTGAGGAATATGCTAGTGGTGTTCTCTGTATTTCTTGAATTTAAATGTTGGCCTGCCTTGCTAGGTTGGGGAAGTTCTCCTGGATAATATCTGGAAGTGTGTTTTCCAACTTGGTTCCATTCTCTCCATTACTTTCAGGTACACCAACCAATCATAGATTTGGTATTTTCAAATAGTCCCATATTTCTTGGAGGTGTTGTTTGTTCCTTTTCATACTTTTTTCTCTAATCTTGTCTTCACGCCTTATTTTAGTAAGTTAATCTTCAGTCTCTGATATCCTTTCTTCCTCTTGATTGATTTAGCTATTGATATTTGTGTATGCTTCACGAAGTTCTTATGCTGTGTTTTTCAGCTCCATCAGGTCATTTGTTCCTCTCTAAAATAGTTATTTTAGTTAGCAGTTCCTGTAACCTTTTATCAAGGTTCTTGGCTTCCTTGCACTGGGTTAGAACATGCTCCTTTAGCTCAGAGGAGTTTGTTATTACCCACCTTCTGAAGCCTACTTCTGTCAATTCATCAATCTCATTCTCTGTTCAGTTTTGTGCCCTTGCTGGAGAGGACTTGCAATCATTTGGAGGAGAAGAGGCATTCTGGTTTTTGGAATTTTCAGCGTTTTTGTGCTGGTTTTTCCTTATCTTCATGGATTTATCTACTTCTGATCTTTGAGGCTGGTGACCTTTGGATGGGGTTTTTGTGTGGGGGTCCTTTATGTTGATGTTGATCTTGCTTTGTTTGTTAGTTTTCCTTCTAACAGTCAGGCCCCTCTTCTGCAGGTCTGCTGCAGTTTGCTGGAGGTCCACTCCAGACCCTGTTCGACTGGATATCACCAGTGGAGGCTGCACAACAGCAAAGACTGCTGTCTGCTCCTTCCTTTGGACACTTCATCAAGGGGCACCGGCCTGATGCCTGCCGGAGCTCTCCTGTATGAGGTGTCTGTTGACCCCTGTTGGGAGGTCTCTCCCAGTCAGGAGGCGCGGGGGTCAGGAACTTACTTGAGGAAGAAGTCTGCCCCTTAGCAGAGCTGGTGCGCTGTGCTGATAGAATCCCTCTTGTTAGGATCAGTTGCTCTCTTTAGAGCCGGCAGGCAGGAACGATTAAATCCACAGAAGCTCTGCCCACAGCCGCCCCTTCCCCCAGGTGCTCTGTCCCAGGGAAATGGGGGTTTTGTCTGTAAGCCCCTAACTGGGGCTCTTACCTTTCCTTCAGAGATGCCCTGACCAGTGAGGAGGAATCTAGAGAAGCAGTTCCACCCAGTCCAGACCGCCCAGCCAAGGAGGCAGATTTTGGACAGCTACTAGTATACTGACTCTCCTGATTCAACAATGGAAAGAGAAGGAGAGTATCTCTTTCAAATCTCCGCAAGGAGCCTTGGCAAGAGTAATCTGAAAATTTAATGGATGTCTTTTGAAAATTTATTTCCCGTTAGCACTTTTCTTTTCTCTCTCTCTCTTTCTCTTTTTTTTCTATTTTTTGAGACAGGGTCTTGCTCTGTCACCCAGGGTGGAGTACAGTGGCCCTATCACAGCTCACTGCAGCCTCAGCCTGCTGGGCTGAAGCAATCTTCCCACCTCAGGCACCTGAGTAGCTGGGATTACAGGCATGTGCCACCATGCCTGGCTAGGTTTTTTTTTTTTTTTTTTTTTTTTAAATACTTTAAGTTCTAGGGTACATGTGCACAACATGCAGTTTTGTTACATGTGTATACATGTGCCGTGTTGGTTTGCTGCACCATTAACTCATCATTTACATTAGGTATCTCTCCTAATGCTATCCCTCTCCTATCCCCCCGCCAACATGACAGGCCCCGGTGTGTGATGTTCCCCACTCTGTGTCCAAGCGTTCTCATTGTTCAATTCCCACCTATGAGTGAGAACATGCGGTGTTTGGTTTTCTGTCCTTGCAATAGTTTGCTCAGAATGATGGTTTCCAGCTTCATCCATGTCCCTGCAAAGGACATGAACTCACCCTTTTTTATGGCTGCATAGTATTCCATAGTGTATATGTGCCACATTTTCTTAATCCAGTCTGTCATTGATGGACATTTGGGTTGGTTCCAAGTCTGCTATTGTGAATAGTGCCGCAGTAAACATACGTGTGCATGTGTCATTATAGTAGCTTGATTTATAATCCTTTGGGTATATACCCAGTAATGGGATCCCTGGGTCAAATGGTATTTCTAGCTTTAGATCCTTGAGGAATCGCCACACTGTCTTCCACAGTGGTTGAACTAGTTTACAGTCCCACCAACAGTGTAAAAGCATTCCTATTTCCCCACATCCTCTCCAGCACCTGTTGTTTCCTGACTTTTTAATGATCACCATTTCAACTGGTGTGAGATGGTATCTCATTGTGGTTTTGATTTGCATTTCTCTGATGGCCAGTGACGATGAGCATTTTTTCATGTGGCTGTTGGCTGCATAAATGTCTTCTTTTGAAAAGTGTCTGTTCATATCCTTTGCCCACTTTTTGATGAAATGGTTTGATTTTTTCTTGTAAATTTTATTAAGTTCTTTGCAGATTCTGGAAATTAGACCTTTGTCAGATGGGTAGATTGCAAAAATTTTCTCCCATTCTTTAGGTTGCCTGTTCACTCTGATGGTAGTTTCTTTTTCTGTGCAGAAGCTCTTTAGTTTAATTAGATCTCATTTGTCAATTTTGGCTTTTGTTGCCATTGCTTTTGGTGTTTTATTCATGAAGTCCTTGTCCATGCCTATGTCCTGAATGGTATTGCCTAGGTTTTCTTCTAGGGTTTTTATGGTTTTAGGTCTATCATTTAAATCTTTAATCCATCTTGAGTTAATTTTTGTATAAGGTGTAAGGAAGGGATCCAGTTTCAGCTTTCTACATATTGCTAGCCAGTTTTCCCAGCACCATTTATTAAATAGGGGATCCTTTCCCCGTTTCTTGTTTTTTTTTCTTTTTTTAAATTATACTTTAAGTTCTGGGGTACATGTGCACAACATGCAGGTTTGTTGCATATGTATACATGTGCCATGTTGGTGTGCTGCACCCATTAACTTGTCATTTACATTAGGTATATCTCCTAGTGCTTTTCCCTCCCCCTCCCCTCACCCCACGACAGGCTCTGGTGTGTGATGTTCCCCTTCCTGTGTCCATGTGTTCTCATTGTTCAATTCCCACCTATGAGTGAGAATATGCGGTGTTTGGTTTTTTGTTCTTGCGATAGTTTGCTCAAAATGATGGTTTCCAGCTTCATCCATGTCCCTACAAAGGACATGAACTCATCCTTTTTTATGGCTGCATAGTATTCCATGGTGTATATGTGCCACATTTTCTTAATCCAGTCTATCATTGTTGGACATTTGGGTTGGTTCCAAGTCTTTGCTAATGTGAATAGTGCTGCAATAAACATACGTGTGCAGGTGCCTTTATAGCAGCATGATTTATAATCCTTTGGGTATATACCCAGTAATAGGATGGCTGGGTCAAATGCTATTTCTACTTCTAGATCCTTGAGGAATCGCCAGACTGTCTTCCACAATGGTTGTACTAGTTTACAGTCCCACCAACAGTGTAAAAGCATTCCTATTTCTCCACATCCTCTCCAGCACCTGTTGTTTCCTGACTTTTTAATGATCACCATTTTAACTGGTGTGAGATAGTATCTCATTGTGGTTTTGATTTGCATTTCTCTGATGGCCAGTGATGATGAGCATTTTTTCATGTGTCTGTTGGCTGCATAAATGTCTTCTTTTGAGAAGTGTCTGTTCATATCCTTCACCCACGTGTTGATGGGGTTGTTTATTTTTTTCTTGTACATTTGTTTGAGTTCTTTGTAGACTCTGGATATTAGCCCTTTGTCAGATGAGTAGATTGCAAAAATTTTGTCCCATTCTGTAGGTTGCCTGTTCACTCTGATGGTAGTTTCTTTTGCTGTGCAGAAGCTCTTTAGTTTAATTAGATCCCATTTGTTAATTTTGGCTTTTGTTGCCATTGCTTTTGTTGTTTTAGACATGAAGTCCTTGCCCATGCCTATGTCCTGAATGGGATTGCCTAGGTTTTCTTCTAGGGTTTTTACGGTTTTAGGTCTAATTTTTAAGTCTTTAATCCATCTTGAATTAATTTTTGTATAAGGTGTAAGGAAGGGATCCAGTTTCAGCTTTCTACATATGGCTAGCCAGTTAGCTTTCTACATATGGCTAGCAGTTTTCCCAGCACCATTTATTAAATAGGTTATCCTTTCCCCATTTCTTGTTTTTGTCAGGTTTGTCAAAGATCGGATGGTTGTAGATGTGTAGTGTTATTTCTGAGGCCTGTGTTCTGTTCCATTGGTCTATATCTCTGTTTTGGTACCAGTACCATGCTGTTTTGGTTACTGTAGCTTTGTAGTATAGTTTGAAGTCAGGTAGCATGATGCCTCCAGCTTTGTTCTTTTTGCTTAGGACTGTCTTGGCAATGTGGGCTCTTTTTGGTTCCATATGAACTTTAAAGTAGTTTTTTCCAATTCTGTGAAGGAAGTCATTGATAGCTTGATGGGGATGGCATTGAATCTATAAATTACCTTGGGCAGTATGGCCATTTTCACAATATTGATTCTTCCTATCCATGAGCATGGAATGTTCTTCCATTTGTTTGTGTCCTCTTTTATTTCAATGAGCAGTGGTTTGTAGTTCTCCTTGAAGAGGTCCTTCACATCCCTTGTAAATTGGATTCCTAGGTATTTTATTCTCTTTGAAGCAATTGTGAATGGGAGTTCACTCATGATTTGGCTCTCTGTTTGTCTGTTATTGGTGTATAAGAATGCTTGTGATTTTTGCACATTGATTTTGTATCCTGAGACTTTGCTGAAGTTGCTTATCAGCTTAAGGAGATTTTGGGCTGAGATGATGGGGTTTTCTAAATATACAATCATGTCACCTGCAAACAGGGGCAATTTGACTCCCTCTTTTCCTAACTGAATACCCTTTATTTCCTTCTCTTGCCTGATTGCCCTAGCCAGAACTTCGAACACTGTGTTGAATAGGAGTGGTGAGAGAGGGCATCCCTGTCTTGTGCCAGTTTTCAAAGGGAATGCTTCCAGTTTTTGCCCATTCAGTATGATATTGGCTGTGGGTTTGTCATAAATAGCTCTTATTATTTTGAGATATGTTCCATCAATACCTAGTTTATTGAGAGTTTTTAGCATGAAGGGCTGTTGAATTTTGTCGAAGGCCTTTTCTGCATGTATTGAGATAATCATGTGGTTTTTGTCTTTGTTTCTGTTTATGTGATGGATTACATTTATTGATTTGTGTATGTTGAACCAGCCTTGCATCCCAGGGATAAAGCCAACTTGATCTTGATGGATTGTTCTTTTTTTTTTTTTTCTAAATTTTTTGTAGAGACGAGAGCTCACTATCTTGCCCAGGCCAGTCTGGAGCTCCTGAGCTCAAGGGAATCCTTCTGCCTTAGTCTCCCAGAGTGCTAGGATTACAGGCTTGAGCCATCATGCCCAGCATCTTTCTTTTCTTTTCTTTCTTCTTTTCCTTTCCTTTCCTTTCCTTTCCTCTTATTTTCTCTTTTCCTTTATTTTCCTTCCTTCCTCTCTCTCTCTCTCTTTTTTTTTTTTTTCTGAGACAGAGTTTCACTCAGTCACCGAGGCTGGAGTGCAGTGGTGTGATCTCAGCTCACTGCAATCTCGGCCTCCTGGGTTCAAATGATTTTCCTGCCTTAGCTTCCCAAGTAGCTGGGATTACAGGTGCACACTACCATGCCCAGCTAATTTTTTGTATTTTTTAGTAGAGACGGGGTTTCACCATGTTGGCCAGGCTGGTCTCGAACTCCTGACCTCGAGTGATTCGCCCGCCTTGGCCTCCCAAAGTGCTGGGATTATAGGTGTGAGCCAACCACGCCCAGCCCTTCCTTTCTTTCTTATTTCCATGTTTATTTTGGATTCAAGGGGTACATGTACAGGTTTGTTACAAGGGTTGATTTCGTGATGCTGAGATTTGGGCTTCTATTGATTCTGTCATCCAGATAGTGAACATAATATTCAGTGGGAAGTTTTTCAGTCCTTGACCTGCTCCCTTCCTCATTTTTGAGTCCCTAGTGTTTATTTTTCTCATCTTTATGTCTGTACGTACCCAAGATTTAGCTGCCACTTATAAGTGAGAACATGTGATATTTGGTTTTCAGTTTCTACGTTAATTCGCTTAGGATAATGGCCTCCATCTGCATCCACGTTGCTGCAAAGAATGTGACTTCATTTTTTATGGCTGCATAGTATTCCATCGTGTATATGTACCACATTTTCTTTATCCAATGCACCGTTGATGGGCACCTAGGGTGAGTCCATGTCTTTGCTATTGTGAATAGTGCTGCAATGAACATGAGAGTGCACGTGTCTTTTGTTAGAACAATTTACTTTCTTTGGGTATATACCCAGTAATGACATTGCTGGGTCGAATGGTGGTTCTATTTTTAACACTACTTTTTTTTCTATTTTACAATTGAGGAGCCTCTTTGAGTTCTAATGTTTATATATTCTTAAGTAGAATGCTTCATTTATTCACAGAATATACAATGGAAATTATCCAGCTATTGTTCAACAGGTAGTTCCTGATTCAATATGTTCTGAGAACAACTCTTACATCACTAGTACAGAGATTAAAGATGTGGCTCCACAATTTTGATTTTCTTCCAAAAGAGTAAATCTTAAAGTCTGTGACACTGCCTGTTTAATTAAAAGGGAGTAACTAGTACTTACAGCTTTGCAATGGAGCCCTTCATAAGGGAAATCAGTGTCTAGGTTGTGAACAAAGTTTACTGGTTAGCATGTTTCCGATGTTCTTGGATGTTTTCTAGTATCTATCACAAACACTAACAGCATTTGTTCTAACATCTGCTTTAAAACAGGTACTATATAAGACCAAAAAATTCCCATGTCTACTTATGGAGGACAGTCTTTGAATATCTTTTAAATGATAGAGATCATGTACTCTATATGAATAGGCTATAGAATAAAACATTTTAGTTTTTATCAGTTATCAAATTCAGGATTTTTCTTTTCAATTATAGATTGTAAGAGGGTAGTAATATGTACATTTTAAAAAACATATATAGGTGCATATGTATGTGTGTGAGTATATATATATATATATACTTAACAACGAGTGAGGTCCATGAAATTGGGTTATGGGTTGGTAGTCACAACTCCACCTGTAGCACCCCTTTACCACACAAATGTCAAAACGGGATCACAGTGTGGAAACAGAAGAGTGCAGGATATATTAGAATCTGAAATCTTTCTCAAGGATATGAGGTGCCTGGTAGAACTTTATTTACATGTTAGGAAATTTTAACATGAGCTTTTCAAGAAATGGAATTGAAAAGTCCAGAGGAAGAGGTGAGTTTATAACTATTAAGCATACTGAAACAAATGAGGTTTGGAATTTTGCACTAAGTTTGTTAAGCTTTACTGTGTTTTTGCTATGGGGGGAACTTGGATTTTTCTTTTTTTTTCATTTTATCCTCTGTCCTTAATATTTTTAATATTTGGAGTGGTAATTACTGAAAATTGGAGAGGGACATAGAGTGACTTAGGGAGGGCAAAGGGAGGTTTTTTTTTTGTTTTTGTTTTTTGAAAGTTCTAAAACCTGAAAATTATTCTGGAGTCTTCCGAAAATGTTCAGACACATTTAAGAATTTTTATTGAGTAATACAATGTTCTAATTGAGGCATACACGTTGTTCTAGGAGTCTGTGAAATTCTAAAGATAAAAGTTTGATTATGCTTGTTTTGACTTTAATGAACTATTCACATAATTTTAATACACAGTGTCTAACACGTATGAAAGTTGTGTAATACCTTATACCTTAACAATGGAGAATTACTAAGCAATTTTGGCTACTCTGATATTAGCATTTCCTGAAACTCCTCAGGCTGATGTGGCAAAGGAGAAATAGCAATCTTGAGTTCTGAAAAGCTAGGCCGCATTTTGGTCCTGAAAAATCACTTGCTGTGAACTTGGGCCAGTTTTTGATTTTTTAAATGGCATAACAGTTCGTTGCTACAAGAGGTTACATCAGGAAAATTTCCTAAGGATTTAAGATTTTGTTCATCTATTGAGTTCTTTTGGGTGATTTGTTTAGGAGGAAGTATCTGCTCCTTTTTGAGTTGCTTCACCAAAGTACTTGAGTGAGAAGGCAGAATATAATGAGAATGATCATGCTGGCAAGGAAGACATATATATGAGATGGGTTATCCTTTACACCTACGTCAGCTAAAACCGTCTCCTACGAACAAATCCAGCACTTGGCACTTTATTCGACGGTCCTAAAAATAGAGTCCTAAATTTAGAAGGCAAGGTGCTACTTTTAGCTCCTCTTCTCGGAGGAAAACAGCACGCACCGCGCCAGGCCAAGGTCCACGGGGATTTGATTTAGCATTTGGGTAACTGGCCGCTAATGGAACTGAAGACAGCTGGGCCTAACAAGTGCCCAGGTGACTCAGGTAAGCGAGGAAACCAGATCGAGGTTCTCTTGCGTGGGACAGGTTAAACTCTGACCAAACCACAGCTGAGCCGGGACGCCTTCCTGTCTAAAGTCCAAAGTCCGGACGTGGTTGGCAGGGCGCACCGGCGCGTGCCCCGCAGGCCATTTTTCTGACTGGAATGACGGCGGCGGCTGGCTTCTCGGGGCTGCCGGGGTCTCCCGGGGTACGCCGCCGTCAGGACTTCTGCAGGGCGCAGACAGCAGGCTCCAGCGAGGCTGCGGAAGGAAAGCCTTGGGTGTCGGGGCTGGGCCTGGCGTCGGCCCCTGGGTCGGGGGGGTGGGGGTTGCGCCGAGACGCCTCTAGGAGAAGTCTCGCCGCCGCCGCCACCGCGGCCGCCCGAGGCGGGTGCCCTTGGGACATAGCCCTGGTCTTTGGGGTTGTGCGGCTCACACGACAGCGCGGAGTATGAGGCCGAATCTCATCCTCTAGTCCCAAGCCTCTCCACTACCAGGGCTGGGTGGCTTCGCCAGGTAGAGCGCCGGCCCCTTTAAGAGCAAACGACCCGGACACGTCTGCGAAGCTTGCGCGAAGAAGGGGAAGTTTGCGGCTGTCCGCGCCTCCCCGCCTTCTCGCGGCTGCCCGGCCGAAACCAAACCGAGGGGTGGGGTGGCGAGGACAGGGTACGTCGCAGGCTTGTGCGGGTCGGGCTCGGACCTGCGCTGCCTCGGGATGTAAAGTATAACAAGAGGGTCGGGATGGGCAGCGTAGGCCTGTGAGGCCTGCGGGTGCCCCTGTCCCCCAGCTCCCCCCGCAGCCGGCTCCGCAGTGGTCCACTCCGGTTGCCGGGTGCGGATTCGGGTTCCGGACCGAAGGCTGTGTGTTCTCCGCCGTTTATTGTGGCCCCGACAGGCCGGGGTTACTGTGGCGACCACGAGAGCAGCTTTGGCGCTATGGAGGAGCCCGGGGTTACCCCTCAACCGTATTTGGGGCTGCTCCTGGAGGAGCTACGCAGGGTGAGCCCAGGCGCGATGAGTGTTACGTGGCCCAGGGGTCGCGGGAGCCGCCGGGGGAAGGAAGCAGTAGACCGGCTTTGGGGTCTAAGCCGCCGTGGTCAGAGGTCCCGAAGCCAGTCCTCGTCTGCTGCCCGGCTCCCGCCCGTGTTCGAGGCAGTAGTTAGGCTCGTAGGGCGCTTGAGTGGTTTTTGTGTGATGGAGGAGGACCTGGGGCTCTGGGAAGGTGAAGAAAGCACTTGCTTAGCTGGACTTTGCAAAGATGTAAATGTTTCCCGATTCCTAAAACTAATTAGCCTTTCCGCTATGTTGTTTATTTTGAGCAGAGACACGTGGTTCCTTCGACTGTGAGAAACTTGAGGACTGTTCCTTTAAATTAGTTACATTTACTGATGTAACTTCTCGTTGAACCTTGAAAGAACACCTGAGGTTGGGCGGGGAGTTGAAATTTTGATTCTGCATTTTTTTTTTTTTTGGTAAAGAATGAATGCCCTTTTGAGATGCTCTACCATGAGTGAGATTGTTCTTCGCTTCTGTCTTGTTAATGTACAGTCTAGAGATAGTAAACTCCCAGTGTTCAAATTTTGTTTTTTATTTTTCAGGTCTAGTTTATAATCAAGTTGTAGAGATTTTTCTCCTTAAGTGTTTCTAGGTATCTTTGTTGACATGTGTAGGGGCATTTATGTCGCCGTGTTTTTAAAAACTGGATTAAATCTTTAAAAAGACCACTTAATTATTGAGGCAGTTACGATTATGTTTTCTTGTTAGGTGAATTAAAGGTAGTGTTGCCATGGTGTTTATGAGTTCATAGTTTGTCTAATGCATACGCATATATATGTATTTAATATGAAAAGAGCACCTTTATGGAGATTCTAAATGGACTAAGACTTAGTTTTGGCCACTAGCATCATGTTGTCTGTTAAGAGAGAGAAGACAAAAAAAAAAATAGTACAAAGTAGAAACTGATGAAGTGCTTACCTAAGCATACACACACAGTGCAGGGAACTAGGAGCTGTATTACTTAGAGTGTAAAGTGGGCTTAGGGAGTGATGGGCAATGATGCTTGCCGGAGATGTAAGTAGGTTCCAAGTGCTGTAGGTGTTGGAGAGCTCTTGAAGGCTTTTCCGTGGTTAGACTTGTGGTTTAAAATTTAAGCTCTTCTTGATAGTAGCATGTAGATTAGATGTTAGGGAAACAAAACTTGAAATAGGGATTAAGGGAGAGGTGACAGTAGTAAGGATAGGAAAGAGGGTACTGTGTGGAGAAATAGCCTCTAAGAGCTAAAATATGTTTGACTTTATTGATTGCATGTGAAGGGTGAGAGAGAAGGAATCTAGAAGGACTCCCAGGTTTCTGGCTGTGGTAACTTATTCATGGAGGTAGGGTTTTTAGAAAGAGAAGCATATTTCCCTTTCTTCACTAAAAACAATAATAATCAAGATTTAGTTTTTATAGGACTGCCAGTGTACATGGAGAAATGCAGAAATACATGGAGAAATGCAGCCAGATTTTGCAGTTTTCTCTAGTCTGGTGCGTTGTATCTTCACCTGCACAGTTTTTTTTTTTTTTTTTTTTTTTTTGCTAAATGCGAGTACCCTGGCCTGGGGGCTAGGATGGCACAACATTGTTCCGCTTTAAATTTTTTTTTTATTTTTAAAAATTATTTTGTATTGAGATATATTCACACAACATAAAATTCATCCTTTTATAATGTCCATTTCAGTGCTTTTTTTGTTAAATTCACTATGTTATGCAACTGTCAGCACAGTTCCTCAACATTTTTATTACCCCAGAAAATAAACTCTACTGATTAGCAGTCTTAATTCCCACCCCTCATCCCTTGACAACCACTAATCTATTTTCTGTCTCTATGAACATGTCTATTCTGCATGTGTCATGTAGTCATGCTATATGTGGCCTTTTGTCTGGCTTCTTTTACTTAGCATGTTTTCAAGGCTTATCCATGTTGTAGCATGTAACAGAGCTTCATTTCTTTTTTCTTTCTTTTTTTTTTTTTGAGACAGGGTCTCATCCCTGTCACCCAGGGGGGAGTGCAGTGGCTTGATCTCAGCTCACTGCAGCTTAGACCTCTCTGGCTCAGGTGATCCTCCCACCTCAGCCTCCTGAATAGGTGGGACCACAGCACATGCCACCAGGCCTGGCTAATTTTTTTGTATTTTTTGTAGAGACAGGGTTTCTCCATGTTACCCAGGCTGGTCTTGAGCTCCTAGGCTCAAGTGATCTGCCCACCTAGGCCTCCAAAAATGCTGGGATTACAGGCGTGAGCCACTTCGCCTGGCCCTTCATTTCTTTTTATGGTGAAAAAATATTCCGTTGTGTGACTATATCACATTTATGTCATAGTTGATGGACATATGGATTATTAATACTTTTTGGCTATTATGAATAATGCTGCTTTGTGTATAAGTTTTTATATATGTTTTTAGTTCTCCTGGGTAAGTACCTGGGTGGAATCGCTGAGTCATATTTACCATATGTTTAACTTTTTGAGAACTGCCAAATTGTTTTCCAGAGGTCACACCATTTTACATCCCCACCAGCAGTTTATGAGGGTTTCAGTTTTCTGCATTCTCTCCAACGCTTGTGATTTTCTGTTTTCTTTTGTTTTTAATTGCCACCCTTGTGGGTGTACAGGTGAGTGGTATTTCACTCTGTTGTGGTTTTTTTTTTTTTTTTTTTGAGACTGAGTCTTGCTCTGTCACCCAGGCTGGAGTGCAGTGGCATGATCTCGGCTCACTGCAGCCTCCACCTCCCAGGTTCAAGTGATTCTCCTGCCTCAGCCTCCTGTGTAGCTGGGACTATAGGCACTAACCACCACACCTGGCTGATTTTTGTATTTTTAGTAGAGACAGGTTTCACCATGTTGGCCAGGATGATCTCGATCTCCTGACCTTGTGATCCACCCGCCTCGGCCTCCCAAAGTGCAGGGATTACAGGTGTGAGTCCCCCCACCCGGCTTTACTCTGTTTTTTGTTGTTGTTGTTGTTTGTTTGTTTTGTTTTTTAAGAGATGGGGTCTTGCTTTGTTGCCCAGGCTGGAGCGTAGTGGCGTGATCATAGCCCACTGCTGCCTTAAATTCCTGGCCTCAAGGGATCCTCCTGCCTCAGCCTTCCAGAGTGCTGGTGTTACAGATGTGAGCCACCACACCAGGCCTTGTGGTTGTTTTGATTTGTATTTTCCTAGTAACTAATGATGTTGAGCATGTGCTTATTGTTTATATCTTCTTTGGGGAAATGTCTATTGATTTCCTTTTGCTCATTTAAAAAATGGGTGGTCTTTTTATTGTTGAGTTATAAGCATTCTTTATACATTTAGGGTGCTAAATGCTTACCAGATAAATGATTTAGAAAGATTTTCTCTCATTCTGTGCATTTTCTTTTCACCTTCTTGGTGTGTCCTTTGAAGCGTAAGCGTTCTAAATTTTGATTAAGTCTAATTTATCTTTTCTTCCTTTGGTTGCTTGTGCTTTTGGTATCATAGCTAAGAAACCGTTGCTTAAGACAAGGTTACAAACATTTACAGTTATGCTTCCTTCTAAGAGTTTTAGCTCTTACGGGAAGTTCTTCGATCCACTTTGAGTGATTTTGTTTCCATATATGTTATGAAGAATGGGTCTAGATTCATTCCTTGGCATGTGGATATTTATTGGCTTATTCTAGTATGATTTGTTTGAAAGAACTGTTTTTTTCTCATTGATTTGTCTTAATACTGTTGAAAATAATTTACCATAAATTTAAGGGTTTATTTCTGGACTCTGATTTCTATTTCATTGGTCTGTGTCTGTCCCTATGCCATTACTACATTATCTTTAAAACATTTTTTTACCCAATGTCTTGATTATTGTTTCTTTGTAGTAAGATACAGTAGGGAAGTATGAGTCCCCCAGCGTTGTTTTTGTTTATCCACGTTCTTTTTCTTTATCAATATTGTTTTGGCTATGTGGAGTCCCTTGCATTTCTATATAAATTTTAGGAATTCAGTTTTAGGAATTTAGGATTCAGTTTGTCCATTTCTGCAAAAAAGGCAGTTGGAATTTTAATAGGGGTTGCATTGAGTCTGTTGATCAGTTTAGGGAGTATTGCTCTCTTAATAATATTAAGTCTTCCAAGCTGGGTGCAGTGGTTCATGCTTGTAATCCCAGCACTTTGGGAGACCAAGGTGAGCAGATCATTTGAGCCCAGGACTTCAAGACCAGCCCGGGCAACTTGGTGAAACTGTTGTGGTCTTTCTGCTCCTTAGCTCAGCTAGGTCCAAGTTCTTGTCTCACAACCAAGAAGAATTAGGCATGCGGACCCCAGAGAGTGAGTGGAATAGAATTTATTAAGTGAAAGGAAAGCTCTCAGCAAAGAGGGAATGCAGGGGGTGGTTCCCCTACCAGAAGGCAGGAAAGTCCCCCTGTGTGGCTGGGTCTGCGGCCTTTTGTGGACTCAGAATGGGGAGTGCATGCTGATTGGTTTGTGAGTATGCAAAAAAGGTTAAAGCAAAGACACCACTTAGAGGTGGGCGTGACAATGTAGACAACTAATTAGGAGGCCGGGTGCGGTGGCTCATGCCTGTAATCCCAGCACTTTGGGAGGCTGATGGGGGTGGATCACGAGGTCAGGAGTTTGAGACCAGCCTGGCCAACATGGTGAAACCCTTCTCTACTAAAGATACAAAAAATTAGCTGAGCATGGTGGTGTGCGTCTGTAATCCCAGCTACTCAGGAGGCTGAGGCAGGAGAATCGCTTGAACCCGGGAGGCGGAGGTTGCCGTGAGCTGAGATTGCGCCATTGCACTCCATCCTGGGTGACAGGGCGAGACTCCATCCCAAAAAAAAGAAAAAGAAAACTTATTAGTAAAGGGTAGGTATATGTAAAATAGGTGAAAGATGGGGATCAATCAGAGGAAAGTGGGCCAAACAAGAAGGCAAGTTCTCAATCTGGTCCAAGGATTTAACTTGTGGCTTGGCTTTCAGGCTTTAAACTGTCTTTGGCTTGAAGTTGGGGTTTCACTAGGGACCCGCCCCTATCTGCCTGGGCATTTGGCTGCCTCCTGCCACTCTCAAAATCCTGTCTTTAAAAGAAATACAAAAATTAGTTGGGCAAGGTGGCATGTGCCTGTAGTCCTGCTGCTTGAGGCTGAGGTGGGAGGATCATCTGAGCCTGGGGAGGGCAAGGCTGCAGTGAGCCAAGATCGCACCACTGCACTCCAGCCTGGGTGACAGACTCAGTCCCTGTTTCAAACAAAGAAGTCTTCCAGCCCATGGACGTGGATTGGCTTTACATTTATTTAAGTCTTCCTTCGTTGCTTTCCACAATATTTTGTAGTTTCAGTGTGCACTTCTTTTGTTAAATGTATTCCTAATAATCTTATTCTTTTTGATGCTATTATAGATGGAAATGTTTTCTTTATTTCATTTTCAGGTTGCTCATTGCTGTTGTATAGAAATTCAACTGATTTTTCTATGTTGATTTTGTATTCTGCAACTTTGCTGAACTTAATAGCTCTGATAGTTTTTCTATAGGTTCTTTAGGATTTTCTCTGTGTATAGAATAGCATTATGTCATCTTCAAACAGTTTTTCTTCTTCCTTTCCAGTCTGGATGCCTTTTATTTATTTTTCTTTCCTAATTGCTCTGGCTAGAACCTCCATTACAATGTTGAATACATGTTGATAGAGCGGACATTATTGTTCCTGATCTTAGGAGAAAAGCTTTTTTTTTTTTTTTTTCCTCATCTTTAAGTATGATGTTAACTGTAGGTTTTGCATAGATGTTTCTTGTCAGGTTGAGGAAATTCCCTCAAATCGTACTTTGTTGAGTGTGTTTTGTTTTTTTTGTTGTTTGTTTGGGACAGGGCCTCACTCTGTTGCCCAGGCTGGAGTGCAGTGGCATGATCATGATTCACTGCCGTCTCGACTTCCTGGGCACAGGTGATTCTCCCACCTCGGCCTTCTGAGTAGCTGGGACCACAGGCATGTGCCATCATGCTTGGCTAATTTTTGTTGAATGTTTTGACTATGAAACGGTGCTAGATATAGTCAAATGCTTTTTCTGTGTCTATTGAGATGATCATGCGTTTTTTTTTTCTCTTCATTTTCTTAATATGGTTCATAAGATTATTGTATGTTAAACCAACCTTGCATTTCTGGGATAAATCCCACTTGGTCATGGTACATAATCCTTTTTATATGTTGCTGGATTTGGTTTGTCAATATTTTTTTGAGGATTTTTGCATCTGGAGTCATAAGATATATTGGTGTGTGATTTTCTTTTCTTGTGTGATGTATTTGTCTGGCTTTTAGGGTAAATACCAGCCTCATAGAATAAGTTAGGAAGTATTTCTTCCTCCTCTATGTTTGGGAAGAGTTTGAGAGTGATTGGTGTTAATGTTTTATCTTGGAGAGGTGTACCTTCATGGAACTTTGTGTTATAGTCAAGTATTCACAGGGTCTGCATGTTGACATTCTTTTTGTTATTAGTATATATCATGTTTGAAGTTAGATGAAAAACAATTTTAGTTTATTCTTAGTATATTTTGTCAACCTGATTAATTGATTTTTTTTAAAGCTACTTGATCTTGAACTCCTTTAGTACTCATGTTTTGGAAATGGAATAGATTTTAAGTGTTCTGTGATTAATCACTACCGTACTTTATGGAGGGTTACTCTTGGAGGGGTTACCCATCACCCTTTAAATTTCAGTTTATCAGATTACATGTAATTCTGTATTATATTTGTTGATATTTGAGAAATTTGGTTGTTCTTTCTATGTTTTTGTGAGATAGGGTGTTATGTTGTAGATAAAATTTAAGGGTGAAAAATCTCCTTGAGAAAGCCAGAATAATTTAGACCAGAGCAATGAATTTGAGATGAATCCTTTAGAACTCAGTTTCTTTTTTTCTTTTTTTCTTTTTTTTTTTTTTTGAGATGGAGTCTCACTCTGTCACCCAGGCTGGAGTGCAGTGGCGTGTTCTTGGCTCACTGTAGCCTCCTCCCGGGTTCAGGCAATTCTTGTATCTCAGCCTCCCAAGTAGCTGGGATTACAGGCTTACGCCACCATGCCCAGCTAATTTTTGTATTTTTGGTAGAGATGGGGTTTCACCACGTTGGCCAGACTGGTCTCAAACTCCTGACCTCAAGTGATCTGCCCACCTTGGCCTCCCAAAGTGCTGGGATTACAGGCCTGAGCCACCGTGCGTGGCCAAGACTCAGATTCTTTGCTTTTCTCCAGTCTGCCAGATCTAACCAGCTCAAGGCTTTATTTTATTTTATTTTTTTAAAGTTTTTTTTTTTTGTAATCCCAGCACTTTGGGAGGCCAAGGCAGGTGGATCACCTGAGGTCAGGAGTTTGAGACCAGTCTGGCCAACATGGTGAAACCCTGTCTCTACTAAAAATATAAAAACTAGCCGGGCATGGTGGTGGGCACCTGTAATCCCAGCTACTCGGGAGGCTGAGGCAGGAGAATTGCTTGAACCCAGGAGACGGAGGTTGCAGTAAGCCTACACGGTGCCGCTGTACTCCAGCCTCGGCAACAGAGTGAGACTCCGTCTCAAAAAAAAAAAAAAATTTTTTTTTTTTTTAAATTATTCCTTAATTTCCATGTTTCCTTAATCCTTTGTGTGTGTGTGTGTGTGTGTGTGTGTCAGAGTCCAGTTTTGTTTTGTCACCCAGGCTTGAGTGTAGTGGTGCGATCTGCAGCCTTTGCCTCCCAGGTTCAAGTGATTGTCCCACCTCAGCCTTTCTAGTAGCTGGAACTACAGGTGCCTGCCACCATGCCTGGCTAATTTTTGTATTTTTAGTAGAGACAGGGTTTTGCCACGTTGGCCAGGCTGGTCTCAAACTCCTGGCCTCATGTGATCCGCCTACGTTGGCTTCCCAAAGTGCTGGCATGAGCCACTGCGCCCGGCCCTAGCTCAATGCTTTAAACTAGAATTTACCATGTCCTTTTAGAAGAGAAGAGCTGATAAAATGTGATTGAATCTAAGAAATATTATTGTACTAAAGGTAATTACGTGTTTGATCTGAGAGATGCTTTTGGAATTGCCTTTTAAAGTAGAGTGTCATAGGTCATATTGATTACACAATTTTTGAGTTAGTGTGCGTCTTATGTGTTGAATACATTAGCTAAAAGTAAGATGCTTGGAAAATGTGTAAACTGTGAAGAAAACTTTTCTTCCTGGTATTGTGTATTGAATGCCTTTTTTCCCCCAATAGCAAAAATAATTTTTTTTTATCATTAATTGCTTGTAATGATATTAGATTTCTGCGAACTGGTACCTAGGGTAATGTAGGGAGAGGCAGAAGCAGAGATCAGGGTAAAGGGATATTTTTTAGAAGTATAATCAGGTTTGTTTGGTACAGGTTATGAAGTATAGATAGTACCTTGGAAGGAGTACATATTTGGATTAGAGTTATAAAAGATTTTGGAGAGGAAAATAACTATTAAACACTGTTCTTATAGGCAGAAAGGGCCTAAAAGGAAGATTTGCTGTAGAGGTTTTGGGTTAAAGCCTGAAAAGAATCAAACCCCATCATACTTCAGATTGTTCTTAAAATGGCATTTTTCTTTTTTCCCCTTACCTTTCCCCTTTTCTTTTTGATCAAGTAATATCTTGGGCCTGGTAACAAAGAGCAGAATAACCCCATTAGGTAAGGATGAGTAATGAGCTGACCCAGAGAAAGGTGAAATATAGAAGCAACAGCAAAAGCCTTAGGCTGTGTTGTGCTGAAGGTCTGCTGTGGGGAGAAGTAATGTGGAAAGGCCATGGTCAGAAGATCAGGGTCTTTGGAGGAGATAATATAAATAATTACCCTTTTTTGAGCACCTGTCTGGCATGTTCAAACAGCATTATTCTCATTACACTTAAGAGAAGGGACGCACAGAGGTAGGGTGGGGAGATTCAAACTCCAAACCCAAATCTCTATCAGTGGTGTTCAAAACTTGTTTTTATTTTTTGAGACAGGTCTTACTTTGTTGCCCAGGCTGGCTTTGAATCAAACTTTTTATTTTTAAAGCTGCAAATTGATTTTTTCTTCCTGTAGGGAAATTGTATATTGGGGAACTGATTATACTTTACAGATAAAACCTGAACTGGTTGAAATCAGGGTAAGAGTACCTGAACCCTAGGTCACTCAGTTTCTTTCTTTGGCCTTCTCTTATTCTCATCCTTGGAAACTTTAAGTCACCTCTGTAGAACTCCAGTTTGAAGATAATTGCATTTCACCATACTGCTGTTCTTTACTTGGCGATAGTGATTGAAAGTTGACAAAAAAATGTACTCTGATACTTTCTGTTTGGTGTTAGTCTGGCAGCCCATTTTGTGTTGACCACATAAACTTGTACCTATGTTTGTAATCAATATTTTTACCAAAAGTACATTTTTAAGAACTTACTTTTCTTTATCTTGAAGGTTGTGGCAGCACTGCCTGAAGGTATGAGACCAGATTCTAATCTTTATGGTTTTCCATGGGAATTGGTGATATGTGCAGCTGTTGTTGGATTTTTTGCTGTTCTCTTTTTTTTGTGGAGAAGTTTTAGATCGGTAAGTAACCAGTGCTATACTAAGAGAATGTTCATTTTGTCACTGGGCTGAACAAATAATATGAGAAACATATTTGTTATTTTAAGTAAACAAGTTAGAAACTACATAGGGATTCAGAGGTTTTTGTTTTTTGTTTTTTGTTTTTTTTAAAAGAGATGAGGGTCAGGAATGAGAGTCAGGCCCAGTGCTGTGGCTCCCACCTCTAATCCCAGCACTTTGGGAGGCCAAGGCAGAAAGATCACTTGAGCTTAGGGGTTTGTGACCAGCCTGGGCAACACGGTGAGACCCCATCACTACAAAAAATACAAAAATTAGCTGGACATGAGGACACCCGTCTGTGGTCCTGGCTACTCAGGAGGCTGAGGTGGGAGGATTGCCTGATCCTGGGAAGTCGATGCTGCAGTGAGCCATGGTTGTGACACTGTACTCCAGCCTGGGTGACAGAGAGAGACCCTGTCTCAAAAATAAAGAGATGAGGGTCTTGTGTTGCTCAGGCTGGTCTCAAACTCCTGGGCTCAAGTGATCCTCCTGCCTCGGCCTCCCAAAGTCTTGGGATTACAGGTTTGAGCCACCATGCTCAACTGGAATCTTTTAATGTAAGATCTTTTATATATATATATATGTGTGTATATATATATATATATATATATGTGTGTATATATATATATATATATATATGTGTGTATATATATATATATATATATATATATATATATTTATATTTAAAGAGATGGGGTCTCACTATGTTGCCTAGGTTGTAGTGCAGTTGCTATTCACAGATGCAATTATAGTGCGCCTACAGCCTACAGCCTCAAACTCCTGGGCTTAAGCAATCCTTTCTCAGCCTTTTGAGTAGTTGGGACTACACAGGTCCATGTCACTCTGCCCAGCTTCATCTTTTTTTTAATTCTGGGAAATTTTATTTGAGACAGGATTTCACTCCTGTCACCCGGGCTGGAGCGCAGTGGCATGATCTCGGCTCACTGCAATCTCTGCTTCCTGTGCTGAAGCAATTCTCCTGCCTCAGCCTCCTGAGTAGCTGGGACTACAGGCGTGCACTACCATGCCTGGCTAATTTTTGTATTTTTTTGTAGAGACGGGTTTCACTGTGTTGCTCAGAACTCCTGGCCTCAAGTGATCTGCCTGCCTTGGTCTCCCAAAGTTCTGGGATTATAGGCATTAATCACCACGCCTGGCCTAATTTTGGGAAATTTTTAATGCATTTTTGGGACTGCTATTTTTCAGATGTTGCCCCTTTTACTTCTGACTTCCCTATCTCTTAACTTCTATTTTTCAATTTCTTTATGGTTTTCTATACCTTTTGAGAGTTCCTTAATCTGAGGAACTGAAATCTATTCTTCATCTACACTCATTGTAGAGTATCTTGTCTTTTAAAGGTTTTCCCTTTTATCTCTATCCATATTCTGTAGATGATTGAAGTCCTCATTTCTTTTCTACTTGTTTGTGTTACCTCAGCCCTAAGGCTGATCCTTTTACAAATGAATTCCCGCCTGCTTCATTATTTGAGAGAGAGGTTAAGGAAGAAAAAGGTTTGGTTTACTGTTTCTTTAGTCAGTTCAGATCTATGGCCCTATGGTAACATTTCTCAGGCTGTTTTATTTTGGATATTGGCATCAAGGGATATGATAATAGGGGCTTCTTGAAATTATTTTTTTAGGGTCAAATTTGTTTGGGGAGCAATGGGTTAAATGAAATTAAACAAGTATCTTTAGAGTAAAGTTATTTCAGAGTCTTTAATATGCTAATTCACAATGTGAATCTTCAATAGGGAGTCTTTAATAAGTAGTATTTAGGCTGGGCATGGTGGTTCATGCCTGTAATCCCAGCACTTTGGGGGACCCAGGCAGGTGGATCACCTGAGGTCAGGAGTTCCAGACCAGCCTGGCCAACATGGTGAAACCCGGTCTCTACTAAAAATATGAAAATTGGCTAGGCATGGTGGTGGGCACCTGTAATCCCAGCTACTCAGGAGGCTGAGGCAGAGGAATTGCTTGAACCCAGGAGGTGGAGGTTGCAGTGAGCTGAGATCGCGTCATTGCACTCCAGCCTGGGAGACAGAGCAAGACTCTGTCTCAAAAAAAAAAAAAAAAAAGCATTTATTTTCTCATTGGAAACAGAATACTTTTGGCTTGTATTTATACAAAGGCAATAAGAAACCTGTATTTCTAAGTTGGCAGTAGACGTTAAATGAATTGATTTACTTGAGAGCGTATTTGTTTTAATGTAATTTTTGTTAAAAATTTGTTTCAGGTTAGGAGTCGGCTTTATGTGGGTAAGTTCTTTTTTCTGCTTTGACTCTCATTGTTGTGTTGTAAAAACTTATAATAATTTACTCATGGTAATATTGACTTGACTTTTTTAGGACGAGAGAAAAAGCTTGCTCTAATGCTTTCTGGACTAATTGAAGAAAAAAGTAAACTACTTGAAAAATTTAGCCTTGTTCAAAAAGAGGTAAGATATTTTTGAAAATAATATTCATGTTAGAGTCAGAGAACTTTATACTTCTCACTGTAGGTACTTCTGTGTAAATTTAAGATTATGAATGCTTTGTTTGCAGAGTATGAGAGTTCTCTTTGCTCTTCATATTCAACACTTAACCAGTCTTACTAATTTTAACCATTGTAGTAGGTGTACAATGGTGTCTCCTTGTGCTTTCCTTTTGAGTTTTCCTGACTGATGAGGTCGAGCACACAAACACATCCTCTGCATGTGCACATTTCTGGTATCTGTTCGTGTATCCAAATGTTCTCTTTTCGTAAAGACACCAGTCAGATTGGATTAGGGCCCACCCTAACAACCTTATTTTATTTTGACCACCTCCAAAGGCCTTGTCTCCAAATACAGTCACATTCTGAGGTACTGGGGTTGGAGCTTCAACATGTGAATTTGTGGGGACACAATTCAGTCCATAATAGTCTTTGATCCATTTGAAATCAGATCTGTGATGGTGCAGTTGAGGGTGTGTGTGTGTGTGTGTGAAGATTCATTTTTTTTCCTGGGCGTGTCGAGTTAATGCCATTTATTGGAAGGACCATCTTTTCTCTGTTGTTCTGTAGTGTCATCTTCTTAAGTCACTGAATATATGTGAGTCTGTTTCTGTTAAATCTTCTATTTTGTTGGGCTTTTTGTTTGTTTTTTGCCAATAACATGCTTTTTATAGCCTGTAGTTTTATAACAAGCCTTAGTATCTGGTATGGTTAATTTACAGTTCTTGGCTATTGTGAATAAAGTTACTGTGAACATTCTTCTACAAGTTTTTTTTTTGTGGGCATGTATTTTCATTTCTCTTCATAAGTAGTAGTGGAATTGGTAAGTCATTAGGGCATTAGGGCAGGTATAGTTTAACTGTGTAAGATAAGAAACCGGCTGGGCACGGTGGCTCATGCTTGTAATCCCAGCACTTTGGGAGGCTGAGGCGGGCAAATCACGAGGTCAGGAGATCGAGACTATCCTGGCTAACATGGTGAAACCCCGTCCCTACTAAAAATACAAAAAAATTAGCCAAGTGTGGTGGTGGGTACCTGTAGTCCCAGCTACTCGGGAGGCTGAGGCAGGAGAATGGCGTGAACCAGGAGACGGAGCTTGCAGTGAGCCGAGATTGTGCCACTGCACTCCAGCCTGGGCAACAGAGTGAGACTCCTTCTCAAAACAAACAAACAAACAAACAAACAAAAAAACCCTACTGGCTGTTTTTATCATTTTTTCTTGGTTTTGGCTCTCAGCAGTGTTACTATGATTTGTCTAGGTGTGGTTTTTTTCTATTTGTCCTTATTGGGGTTTATGATGCTTCTAGAATCTGTGGCTTAATGTCTTTTATTAGTTTAGTTTTTTTTTTTTTTTTTTTTTTTTTGAGACAGCGTCTCTCTCTCTCTCTTGTCTAGGCTGCAGTACAGTGGTGTGATCTTGGCTCACTTCAATCTCCACTTCCTGGACTCAGGTGATCCTCCCACCTCAGCCTCCTGAGTAGCTGGGATTACAGGCATGCGCCACCATGTCCAGCTAATTTTTTAAAATTTCTTGTAGAGATGGGGTTTTGCCATGTTGTCCAGGCTGGTCTCGAACTCCTGGGTTCAAGCAATCCTCCCGTCTTGGCTTCCCAAAGTGCTAGGATTACAGCTGTGAGCCACCGTGCTCTACCTTTTATTAGTTTTGAAACACTCTTGATTGTTACTTTTCCACATATTGTTTTTGCCCTTTTTTGTTCTTTCTTTCTGGGACTATAAAAATGGGTATTTTAACTTTTTATTATATCTCATCTGTCTCTTACGTTCTTTTCCAGGGTTTCCATCTTTTTGTTTGCCCACACTTCAGTCTAGACATAATCTTCTTTAACTTCCATGTTGCCAATAGTTTTCACTTATGCCTATAATCATCTTTTAAACCATCCATTGAGATCTTAATTTCATCTCTTGCCTTTTTCAGTTCTGCAGTTTTATTGTGGCTCTTTTTGTAGTTCTTTTTCTCTGGTACAATTCTATTTTTTAATTCCATTTACACATTATGCTCTCTTATTTTTGTTTTGTTTTGTTTTGGTTTTTTTTTTTTTTTGGAGACGGAGTTTCCCCTGTTGCCCAGGCTGGAGTGGAGTGCAGTAGCGCGACCTCGGCTCACTGCAACCTCTGCCTCCCAGGTTCAAGTGATTCTCCTGCCTCAGCCTCCCAAGTAGCTGGGACTACAGGCACACGCTGCCACGCCTGGCTAATTTTTTGTATTTTAGTAGGGATGGGTTTCACTGTGTTGCTCAGGCTGGTCTCAAACTCCTGAGCTCAGGCAATCCACCTGCCTTGGCCTCCCAAAGTGCTAGGATTACAGGTGTGAGCCACCATGCCTGGCCTATGCTCTCTTATTTTATTTATTTATGTGTTATTTTTATTTTCTGATTTTCAGAATATATGCTGCCGACAAATATGCTTTCTTATTTTAATGACTACTGCATTATCCAGTAGTCTATTTCTGGTGCTCATTTTTTCTCTTGTTTCTCAGTCAAGTCTTGTCCGCTTGAATGCCAGGTTATTTTATATGAAGTGTCAGTGATAATATAATAAAAATTGTAAAGATAATTTTGAAGCTGTGGGTGCTGTCGTCTCTCTTCAGTGAGGATTTACTGTTGCTTTTCATAGGCAGCTAGGCTAGGGACATTGGAAATTTCAGATAACTTTATGTATTTGACTTTCTTTTATGTAAAATAAGTTTTATTGTGTATATTTAAGGTATAGAAATTTCAGATAACTTTGATTTTGTTTTTTGTAAAATAAGTTTTATTGTATATATTTAAGGTATAAACATGATGAGATACGTGTATAGTAAATGGTTACTATAGTGAAACAAATTAACGTATTCTTTCTCTCTCATAGTTACCCATTCCCTGCCCACCCCTCCAGGGCAGCTATAATGTACTCATATAACAAAAATCATGAATGCAGTACACTATTATTAACTATGGATCTCATGTTGTACATGAGATCTTTTAACTTGTTCATCCCATATATTTTCTTTTCTTTTATTGAGACAGGGTCTCATTCTGTCACACAGGCTGGGGTGCAGTGGCATGATCTTGGCTCATTGCAGCCTCTATCTCCTGGGCTCAAGTAATCCTCCCACCTCAGACTCCTGAGTAACTGCGGCTACAGGCACATGATACATGCTTGCCTGATTTTTAAATTTTTTGTAGAGATGGGGTCTCCCTATGTTGCCAAGGATGGTCTCAAACTCCCTGGCTCAGGTGATCCTCTCGCCTCAGCCTCCCAAATTGTTGGGATTACAGGCATGAGCCACCATACCCGGCCATATTTTCTGACCTACATGTTTCTTCCCTCCTACCCAACACTGCTAACCACTGTTTTGTTCTCTATCTCTATATATTTGACCTTTACAAAAATTCCGCATATAAGTGAGATCATGCAATATTTTTCTTTCTATATCTGGCTTATTTTACTTAGCAAAATGTCTTCTAGGTCCGTCCATGTTGTAGCAAATGGCAGGATCTCCACCTTTTTATGGCTGAGTAATATTCCATTGTAAATATATACCACAGTTTCTTTATTCGTTTGTTCATTGATAGATACCTAGGTTGTCTCCATACTGGCTACTGTGAATAATGCTGCAGTGAACATGGGCATGCAGCTGTGTGTAGAAGGTGCCAATTTCATTTTTTTCGGATAAATATCTGGAAGAAGGTTTGCTGGATATAGTAGCTCTATTTTAAATTTCTTTAGGAGTCTCCATACTACTTTCTGTAGTGACTGTACCCATCTACATCCCTGCCAGTAGTGTACAGTAAGCCCTCAATGTCCTTGATAGATGGTTGAAAATTGACTTTAAGTGAAACAGTGTATACTGAATTCAGTTTTTTTTTCTCATCAATGTTATAATGAAACAATGTTGAAGAAAACAATGTTATTCAAAGGACAAAGGACCTGCTCTATGCCTTTCTCTTTTCTTGTCTAGAAAAAGGGTTCCCTTTTTTTTGTAACTTTTAAGTTCAGGGGTACAAGTGCACATTTGTTACATAGGTAAACTTGCGTCCTGGGGGTTTGTTGTAGAGGGTTCCCTTTTCTCCACACCTTCACAAATACTTGTCATCTCTCTTGTCTTTTTGATAATAGCTATTCTAACAGATACAAGGTAGTATCTCATTGTGTTTTTGATTTGCATATCCTTGATGATTGGTGATATTGAACACCATTTCATATACCTGTTGGCCATTTTTATGTCATCTTCAGAGAAATATCTATTTAAGTCCTTTGCCTGTTTTTAAATCAGGTTGTATGTTTGCTTGCTGTTGAGTTGTATGAGGTCTTTTAAAATATTGAATATTAACCCCTTATCTGATATATTTTTTCTCAATCTGTAGGTTGCCTTTTTATTGTGTTTACTTGTGTATATTTTTATTTTTTTTACCTTGCAGCTTCACCTCAAAGGAACTTTCATTTTATTGTTTCTTTTGCTTTGCAAAAGCTTTTTAGTTTGATGTAGTCCTGTTCACTTACTTTTTGCTTTTGTAGCCTAAGTTGTTGATGTGATAGTCAATAAATTATTGCCAAGGCCAGTGTCAGGGAGCTTTTTCCCTGTGTTTTCTTCTAGGAGTTTTGTAGTTTCAGGTTTTATGTTTAGGTCTTTTATCCACTTTGAGTTGATTTCTATGTGTTGTATAAAGTTAAGAGTTCAGTTTCATTCTTTTGCGTGTGAAATCCAGTTTTCTCACTACCATTTATTGATGAGACTATTCTTTCTGCATTGTATATTCTTGGTGCCCTATTGAAAATTTGACCATATTTATTTGGATTTATTTCTGGGCTCTCTATTCTGTTCCACTGGTCTGTGTATTTGTTTTTATACTAGTACCACGTTGTTTTCGTGACTACAGCTTTGGAATATAATTTAAAATGAGTTAGTCTGATGCTGCCAACTCTATTTTTCTCAGAATTGCTTTGACTATTTGGGATCTTTTGCTATTCCATATTAAATTTAGATTAAAAAAATTTCTGTGAAGAATGCCATTGAGATTTTGGCTGCGTTTCCATTTCTTTGTGTGCTCCTCAATTTCTTTCATCAATGTTTTATACTTTTCAGTGTGCAGATCTTTCACCTCCTTGGTTGAATTTGTTCCTAGGTATTTTATTTTTTTTGATGCTATGTAAATAGGATTGTTTTCTTTTTTTTTCTTTTTTTTATTTTTTTTTTATTGATCATTCTTGGGTGTTTCTCGCAGAGGGGGATTTGGCAGGGTCATAGGACAATAGTGGAGGGAAGGTCAGCAGATAAACAAGTGAACAAAGGTCTCTGGTTTTCCTAGGCAGAGGACCCTGCGGTCTTCCGCAGTGTTTGTGTCCCTGGGTACTTGAGATTAGGGAGTGGTGATGACTCTTAACGAGCATGCTGCCTTCAAGCATCTGTTTAGCAAAGCACATCTTGCACCGCCCTTAATCCATTGTTAACCCTGAGTGGACACAGCACATGTTTCAGAGAGCACAGGGTTGGGGGTAAGGTCATAGATCAACAGCATCCCAAGGCAGAAGAATTTTTCTTAGTACAGAACAAAATGAAGTCTCCCATGTCTACTTCTTTCTACACATACACAGCAACAATCTGATTTCTCTATCTTTTCCCCACCTTTCCCCCTTTTCTATTCCACAAAACCGCCATCGTCATCCTGGCCCGTTCTCAATGAGCTGTTGGGTACACCTCCCAGACGGGGTGGTGGCTGGGCAGAAGGGCTCCTCACTTCCCAGAAGGGGCAGCCGGGCAGAGGCGCCCCCCCACCTCCCGGACGGGGCGGCGGCCGGGCGGGGGCTGCCCCCCACCTCCCTCCCGGAAGGGGCGGCTGGCCGGGCGGGGGCTGACCCCCCCACCTTCCTCCCGGACGGGGCGGCTGGCCGGGCGGGGGCTGACCCCCCACCTCCCTCCCGGACGGGGCGGCTGGCCGGGCGGGGGCTGACCCCCCACCTCCCTCCCGGACGGGATGGCTGGCCGGGCGGGGGCTGACCCCCCGACCTCCCTCCCGGACGGGGCGGCTGGCCGGGCGGGGGCTGCCCCCCACCTCCCTCCCGGATGGGGTGGCTGGCCGGGCTGGGGCTGACCCCCCACCTCCCTCCCGGTCGGGGTGGCTGCCGGGCGGAGACGCTCCTCACTTCCCAGACGGGGCAGCTGCCGGGCGGAGGGGCTCCTCACTTCTCAGACGGGGCGGCTGCCGGGCGGAGGGGCTCCTCACTTCTCAGATGGGGCGGCCGGGCAGAGACGCTCCTCACCTCCCAGACGGGGTCGCGGCCGGGCAGAGGTGCTCCCCACATCTCAGACGATGGGCGGCCGGGCAGAGATGCTCCTCACTTCCTAGACGGGATGGCGGCCGGGAAGAGGCGCTCCTCACTTCCCAGACTGGGCAGCCGGGCAGAGGGGCTCCTCACATCCTAGACGATGGGCGGCCAGGCAGAGACGCTCTTCACTTCCCAGACGGGGTGGCGGCTGGGCAGAGGCTGCAATCTCAGCACTTTGGGAGGCCAAGGCAGGTGGCTGGGAGGTGGAGGTTGTAGCTAGCCGAGATCACACCACTGCACTCCAGCCTGGGCAACGTTGAGCACTGAGTGAACGAGACTCCATCTGCAATCCCGGCACCTCGGGAGGCCGAGGCTGGCAGATCACTCTTGGTTAGGAGCTGGAGACCAGCCCGGCCAACACAGTGAAACCCCGTCTCCACCAGAAAAATATGAAAACCAGTCAGGTGTGGTGGCGCGCGCCTGCAATTGCAGGCACTCGGCAGGCTGAGGCAGGAGAATCAGGCAGGGAGGTTGCAGTGAGCGGAGATGGCAGCAGTACAGTCCAGCTTTGGCTCGGCATCAGAGGGAGACTGTGGAGAGGGGAGAGGGGAGAGGGAGAGGGAGATTGTTTTCTAGATTTCGTTTTTGGCTAGGTCGTTATTTGTGTATAGAAATGACATAGTTTTGTTTTGATATTATATCCTGCATCTTTACTGAATTCAGTTATTATATCTGTATTTTTGATGACATCTTTTGGGTTTTCTACATATAGGATCATGTCATCTGCGAACAGATAATTTTACTTCTCTGATTTGGATATCTTTTCTTTCCTTATCCTTCTCTTCCTTCCTTCTTACTTTTTTTTTTTTTTTGAGACAGGCTCTCACTCTGTTGCCCAGGCTGGATTGCAGCAGTGCAATCTCAGCTCACTGCAACCTCTGCCTCCCGGGTTCAAGTGATTCTCCCACCTCAGCCTCCCAAATTGCTGGGATTACAGATGTGCACTACTGTGCCTGGCTATTTTTCTGTGTGTGTGTGTGTGTGTGTGTGTGTGTGTGTATTTTTTGGTAGAGACAGGGTTTCACCATGTTGGACAGGCTGGTCTCGAACTTCTGACCTCAAGTGATCTGCCCACCTTGGCCTCCCAAAGTGCTGGCATTACAGGCGTGAGCTACCATGCCAGGCCTTTTATTTCTTTTTCTTGTCTAATTGCTTTGATAGTACTTCCAGTACTATTTTGTTTTTGTTTTTTGAGACAAGGTCTCACTCTGTTGCCCAGGCTGGAGTGCAGTGGCATGGTCATGGCTCACTGCAGCCTCAGCCTCCCGGGTTCAGGTGTTTCTCCCACCTTAGCCTCCCAAGTAGCTGGGACTACAGGCGTGCACCACCACGCCCAGTTAATTTTTTGTATTTTTTTTGTAGAGATGGTGTTTGGCCAAGTTGCCCAAGCTGGTCTCGAACTTGGGCTCAAGTGATCCGCTTATCTCAGCCTCCCAAAGTGCTGGGATTACAGGTGTGAGCCACCGCACCCAGCCCTTCCAGTACTGTTTTGAATAGAAGTGGTGGTTGTGGGCATCCTTGCTTTGTACCAGATCTTAATGGAAAAGGTTTCAGTTTCTCCCCACTGATGATGATATTTGCTGTAAGTTTTTCATAAATGGCTTTTGTTATGTTGAGGAACTTTCTTTTTATTTTTTTTCATTATTTTAAAAATTTTATTATTTATTATTTATTTATTTTTTTGAGATGAAGTCTTGCTCTTTCACTAGGCTGGAATGCAGTGGCGTGATCTCGGCTCACTGCAACTCTGCCTCCTGGGTTCAAGCAATTCTCCTGCGTCAGCCTCCTGAGTAGCTGGGACTACAGTCATGCGCCACCATGGCTGGCTAATTTTTTGTATTTTGGTAGAGACGGGGTTTCACCATGTTGGCCAGGATGGTCTTGATCTCCTGACCTCATGATCTGCCCGCCTCGGCCTCCCAAAGTGCTGGGATTACAGGCATGAGCCACTATTTAGTTTTTTGAGACAAGGTCTCGCTTTGTTGCCCAGGATGGAGTGCAGTGGCATGCTCATGGCTCACTGCAGCCTCAACCTCCTGGGGTCATGTGATTCTCCCACCTTAGCCTCCCTAGAGTAGCTGGGACTACAGGTGTGTGCCACCAAGCCTGGCTAATTTGTCTATCTTTGGTAGAGATGTGGTTTTGCCATGTTGCACAGGCTGGTCTCGAACTCCTCGGACTTCCCAAAGTGTTGGGATTACAGGCGTGAGCCACCACACCTGGCCAGAACTTTACTTCTATACTTAAACTGTTAAGGGTTTTTATCAAGAGATGATGTTGGGCTGGACGTGAGGGTGTGTGCCTATAGTCCCACCTACTTGGGAGCATGAGGTGGGAGGATGGCTTGAGCCCAGGAATTCAAGTCCAACCTGGGCAACATAGGAGAACCTATCTCTCAAAAGAAAAAAAAAATGGATGTTCAACTTTGTTGAATGTTTTTTCTGTGTCAATTGGTATGATCATGTGGTTTTTGTCTTTCAGTCTGTGAATGTGATGTATCACATTAATTGATTTGAGCGTGTATATATTATACATATATATATATATATATATATATATATATATATATATATATATTTTTTTTTTTTTTTTTGAGACGGAGTCTGGCGCTGTCACCCGGGCTGGAGTGGAATGGTGTGATCTCAGCACACTGCAACCTCCGCCTCCCGGGTTCAAGCGATTCTCCTGCCTCAGCCACCTGAGTATCTAGGACTACAGGTGCCTGGCTAATTTTTGTATTTTTAGTAGAGTCAGGGTTTCACCATGTTGGCTAGGATGGTCTGGAACTCCTGACCCTGTGATCTGTCCGCCTCGGCCTCCCAAAGTGCTGGGATTACATGCGTGAGCCACTGTGCCGGCCAATTTGCATATATTAAACCGGCTTTGCATGCCAGGGATAAATACCACTTGATCCCAATGCATAATCTTTTTGATGCATTGTTAATTTCAATTTGCTGATATTTTATTTAGGATTTTTGCATCAGTGTTCATCAGAGATATTGACCTGTAGGTTTGTTTGTTTGTTTATTTATTTATTTTTTGTGGTTTCTTGGTCTGGCTTAGGTATCAAGGTGATGCTGGACTCATAAAATGTGTTAGGAAATATTCCCTCCTGTTGTTTTTCTTGGAAGAGTTTAAGAAGTCTTGGTAATAATTCTACTTTGAAAATTTGGTAAAATTCAGCCGTGAAGCCATCTCTTCCTGGGCTTTTCTTTGTTGGGAGGTCAGATTACTTTAATAACAGATTGAGATATTTGGAAGCTGGGCCTCAGTTCAGAGGATTAGTCTGTTTTTGGTTTCGACTTTGTTGTAAGGTAGGCAGGTTTTCTTTTTTTTTTTTTGAGACAGTCTTGCTATGTCACTCAGGCTGGAGTGCATGATCTCGACTCACTGCAACTTCCGCCTCATGGGCTCAAGTGATTCTTGTGCCTCAGCCTCTCGAATAGCTGGGATTACGAGTACACGTCACCACGCTCGGCTAATTTTTGTATTTTTAGTAGAGACAGAGTTTCACCATGTTGGCTAGGCTGTTCTTGAACTCCTGACCTCATGATCCCTGTGATCTGGCCTCCTAAAGTGCTAGGATTACAGGTGTGAGCCACTGCGCCCATCCAAGGTACCAGTTTTGGTTGGTAAGGACATTAATTTCCTTTTGCTGCTGTAACAAATTAGTGCAACCTAGTGGTGTAAAACAACACACATTTATTCTCTTAAAATTTTGAAGGTCAGAAGTCTAGAACTGATCTTTTAAAAAATATTTTGTTGTAGAGATGGGATCTCACTATGTTGCCCAGGCTGGCCTTGAACTCTTGGCCTCAAGTGATCCTCCCACGTTGGCCTCCCAAAATGCTGGGATTACAGACATGAGCTACCATGCCCAGCCTTAAAACCAATCTTGGGGGCAAAAGTTAAGATAGCAGCAAGTTTGTTTCCTTATGCATGTTCTAGGAGAGAATCTGTGTCTTGTGTCTTATATGGAGTCTACCAACATTTCTTGGCTCATAACTATGTCACCCCAGTTTCTGCTTCTATCTTATATCATTCTTTTCTAAGTTTGGTCGTCTTGCCTCCTCCTTTTAAGGACCCTTGGCATTATATTGGGCCCACCAAAATAATTCTGGATGCTTTTTCCGTCTTAAGATCCTTTATCACACCTGGACATTCTGGGGAGCAGAACATAGACATCTTTGGACAGGTCATTGTTTAGCCAAGCACAGGGTTCATCTGACTTGGCAGGTCCTGAACTCCAAGTGTTTTTTCTCAGCTTCTGATTCTCCTGAAATCTCTGCTTAGTTTCTTAGCCCATCAGCCTCTTCTTCTAGGGGGAATAGAAATGTCAAATACTAGACTTGCCTTTCTGGGGATTCCCACTTCTCTCACAAATTCTCACTGTTTTGATAGCTCTCTGAGGCTTTCAGACAGATATATATTTTTTTTTTTGGTATTTTTTGTCAAGCTTTTCTTGTTCTTGCCAGAAAGGTGGATCCAGAACAACGTAGTCTTCAATTTGATCACTTTTTTTGAATAATTGAAGTGCATTTTGCCAAATCTTATAGCATTATATGTTTTATTGTTCATTTTTTGATGGTTGTTCCCTACCTTTTAAAGATTTTTATATTCCCCACCTGCTTTATTTGTTGTATGGTATGGATTAAAAGTGAAAAGTTTTGATGGTCAGTTGCTATATATTTCTCTTTAATGAATAGGCTTAAAGAAGAGGTTTACTTGTTTGGGGCATAATTAGACAGCTTACGTAAAAATACGCTCTTTGAGTAAATCTTTGGATAATCTTTAGTACAATCTTACCATTAGAATTTTTACTTCATTTTTAGTAAAAGATGCTAATATGAGTTATAGTCCTATGTTCTCTGAGAAGCAGACTTTACTCTTAGAGGTGAAGTTCTGGCATTTGTTGCCAGAGCTAGTGGTTTGTGATGTGTTAGCTGCTCTGGCATTGTTTGTTGTAGTGGTCAGATTTAAAAAACTTAAAGCTAAGTAAATCCAAGTAAATTTAATGTATTATGTGGAAATGGATTCTGTCTGCTTCTTAGGCATCTATCCAGATAAGATTTAGAATACAATTGGTAGAGTTTTTACTTGTGATGTTGCTTTGTTTCAGTATGAAGGCTATGAAGTAGAGTCATCTTTAAAGGATGCCAGCTTTGAGAAGGAGGCAACAGAAGCACAAAGTTTGGAGGTAGAAAATCAAATGGTATAATTTTAAAAGCTGGGGAAAAAAATACTAAGTAACAAAAACTTTAAAAATGTATCTTCTGAAAACTATTTGAAAAAAATGTGAAAGAGCATCTCTGGATGTTAAAACTTAAATAAGAAAATTAATATAGGAAATGGGACAATAGGAGGTAGCATAAAATATTATAAAAATTTAAAAATTTGAGCTTTTATTGCTAACTTGTTTTGAGTCAGGCATGTTTATGTTCAAGGAATCAGGAGCTGTATAGAAACTTCGTTCTATTATTCCTGGGAAATGTATTAAGGTGATCGTTCCTTTTTTGACTCAGTTTGCTCTAGAAAGGAGAAATAAGATTCATTTTTACAAACTTAGGAATAGTTGGCAACAATAACTTTGTAAATTATGACAGTATTTGCTTTATTTTCATCCTGAGGATATTAAGAGCTAACTAGAATTAGGCCAGAGGTTTACGTTATAAGTAATGGTGTATGTTGGTAAATGTTTGACAACTTTTTTTTTAAAAAGCAGCCTTATTTGTAGCATTTGCTGAGTTCTGTAGTATGAATACTTCCACCATGGCCAGTTTCAAGCTACCAACATGATGTCACTGAATGAGGAGTCTTGGAAGATAATGCTTAAAGTAGGCTTTCCTGAGCCAAGTGTGATTTGGTTAATTTTAAGGAAGGAAAGTATGGTAATTTGTAATTTAGCTAAACTAAGACAGATTAGGGTAAGTGATGGGAGTGCCTTACTACTGTTTAGATGTGGACGTGTTGTAAAAAGCACAGAAGTGACAAAGGATAGCAGAGGACACCTGCGTCTGCAGATACTAAAACAGAAAACAGTAGACCTTGTACCTTTGATAAGCGTCTAGTACAGTGTGGCAGTTCTCAATCACTGCTCTCCGTAATCATCAGAAACTCTATGTGTTATGATTCAGAATTTTCTAGTAGAGTCCAAAGGAAGTTATAAATTGGATTCCAAATAAGTTTCTTAATGTTTTCTTCATTTGTTGCCTATTACTATCTTCAAGAACTTGTTGAAATTATATTTTATTTGCTAACCCTCTGTCTTAACTACCCTTCCATTAGTAATTTATGTTTGATAAAAAAATTTTAGAAGGCATTTGACATGCTAACAGAAGAGCAAAAAGTAGGTAGCAAAGACATTTACTCAAGCTTGGTAATACTGAGGATAAAATATTACACATCAATTTATTTTCAAGGTAATGAATTATTATAGGAGTAAAATTAGCTGAATTTTTAGCTGCATTCAACATTTTGGAAATTTTTCTTCAATTTCAGTAATTTTTTAGCATAGTATTTTCAGTAATAGTAATCATAATTGAATTCAAACTATAATGTGATGCAATTTAAAAAAATATGATAGCTGAATCTGTAGATAAAATCAAACCAGTAGAGTAATTTTCATTCGGGTCAGGGAATTCCTAGAATGAAATATTCAAATTTGGGGTAATATGTATAAACAAGTTTTTAAATCACTGTAATGTAGTATGTATTTTTTTTGCTTTTATTTTGGCCTGCATTAAAATCTTTGAATCTTTTGGTTTATTTTTCTTTAACAAGTTTGTTGAAGGATCACAAATATCAGAGGTATGTTTATTATAGTATTTAAAATCCATTTGGAATAATCCAATAACTAATCATTTTAAATTAAAAAGGTCATAGAAAATAGGTCTTAATTCAATATGGAATATTATCATGAAGCAGCCTTGATTTTTTTTTAGTTGATTTTTTATGTCATGCCTTTAATTGTATTAAATTGGCTTTATTTCTCATTTTTTTCTTTATAGTGCTTTTAAGCAGAGGTTGGCAAACTGTGCCTAATGGGCTCTCCACTTTTTTTTGTAAAAAATTGTTTTGGAACACAGCCATGCTCATTTATGTAGGTATTGCTTTTGTTTCTCACTGCAGTGGCATAGTTGAGTAATTGCAACAAAGACTGCATGGCCTACGAGCCTAAAATATTTATTCTCTGGCTCTTTACAGAACTTTGCTGACCACTGCTACAATTGCTGTTATTTTGATATTATAAAAATGAGCAAATGTATAAATGAAAGTTATTTAACTTATAGTACATATTTTTTATTATGCTCGTCTGATTTCCCTAATGAAAAATTCTTATATCTGTTTAATAAAGTTGGCTTTCTCTCTTAGGCAACCTGTGAAAAGCTGAACAGGTCCAATTCTGAACTTGAGGATGAAATACTCTGTCTAGAAAAAGAGTTAAAAGAAGAGAAATCCAAACATTCTGAACAAGATGAATTGGTAAGGCTTTTTTATTTGAGGAGAATATAAGAAAAAGAAAGTTACTGAGCTTTAAAAAATTAATATGATACTGGTTAAAGTATTACATTATTGTAAAAAATGTAAAGAATACAGGTGGTTGTAGAGAGCAAAATTTTCTAGATCCATTCTTTTCACTTCCCCCAGATGTTACTGTGTTAAATTTCTTGCATATTTTTATAGAAATTTTCTATATGCACTATGGAAGTAGCTCATGTAAATAAAAACTGAATAATCATGTCCATAGTGTATATTTGTAATTACTTAACATGTATATTAACATTAAAACTTTTTCTTTTGAAAAAACCTGTCTTAATGAAAATCTTGATGTATGTGAGATTATTTAGTAAAACATGTTAGTGGACTTATCTTGAGCCTATATAACTTAAATGTTATGAAATATTAAAGTTATGAGATACTATTGTTACGTAATGTTCATATAAAATCCCTTTTAGCATATGGCTAAATAAACTGAGAAGGTTTCTTAATTTGAGCTTCACTTATGGAGCTAAAGTGTTAGGTTAACAGTATATCTAATAAACATGGCATTTTGGAAACTAGAGTTTAGTAAATATTAATTGCCTGATACTGTGTTTCTAGATGGCGGATATTTCAAAAAGGATACAGTCTCTAGAAGATGAGTCAAAATCCCTCAAATCACAAGTAGCTGAAGTAAGTTGAATTAGTCTAGTAGGTCTGTTGCTTTTGGAAATAATTTTAGTTTAATTTTTTAAAATTAAGAAATAAGACACAATAGTAGGATTTGAGATATAGGGGATCCCAGATATGTATTTTTTTTTTTTTAACAATACCTAAATGAATTAGCATGGCTGTGTTGCCCAGGCTGGAGTATAGCAGCACGATCTTGGCTCACTGCAACCTCCACCTCCTGGGTTCAAGCAGTTCTCCTGCCTTAGCCTCCTGAATAGCTGGGATTACAGGCATGTGCCACCACACCCGGCTAAGTTTTGTATTTTTAGTAGAGGCAGGGTTTCACCATGATGGCCAGGCTGGTCTTGAACTCCTGAGCTCAAGTGATCGGCCCACCTCGGCCTCCCAAAGTGCTGGGATTACAGGCATGAGCCACCACACCCAGCTTGTATTTTTTTTTTTTTTACGTGAAGTGCTTCAGAAAAGTTCATCTTTTCAGTGGACAAGTGTTTATTGAGCTATTACTATATATTGAGGACTGGTTGCTTGACACTTAACATTAATAGACAAAAAAGTCCCCAGGAAGTTTAAATTTTAGTAGGGGAGGCAGAATAAATAGTTATCAAAATTTGCTGCACAGTACATAGAAAGTTACAAGAGGTTTGTCCAAGGTCACATCGTAGCAAGTTAGTGGGAAAGGCAGGACTAGACCTGGATTCTAGACAAGCCTTTTTTCTGCTACACCATGCTGCCTCTGCTGTTAATATTGGCATGGTTTTGCCTTTGTTTAATTCTGTGTTCTAGGGAGTATGTGTAAAGATGAGCTATGTATTAAATTAATTGTTACAAACTTGACATTTTTTGTTTCACTTAGGCCAAAATGACCTTCAAGATATTTCAAATGAATGAAGAACGACTGAAGATAGCAATAAAAGATGCTTTGAATGAAAATTCTCAACTTCAGGAAAGCCAGAAACAGGTTTGTGCTCCGTAGGGACTCTTCAACTTGTGAATATGTAATTATAGATGTTCTTGTCATCCTCATGACTGACCCATGCTAGGGACAAGTATAGGCTTTTCCTTGAGAGCATGAGAGCAGGACAGTCTCCCATACATATTTCAGTGTCTGTCTCTTTTGTATAGTATACAAAAGTGTATACTTTTGGCACCCTCTACCCCAGGGCAGGGAAAGTAAGCCAGGGCATTTAGCATTTTGGTAATCATAACCAACTTCTTAAAGCCATGCCGAAGGGGTACAGAGAATATGAGTGAGGATTATTGAAGTTATAGATCTGGGGTCTAAAGATAGAAACAATTCTGGTGGCAGATCACATAAGGATGTGACATTTGCCCTCTTTCTCCCCCACATACATAGATACTCCCACGTATATTTCTTCTTCTCCTTTGCCAATGTAATTGTAACTTTTCAGTGGGAAAATTTTTCAGTGATTAAATTATTATAATTATCCAAATATTACTCACACCAGAGCCACATGGTTTGTTCTTTTTTTTTTATTTTTTAATTTTTTAGACGGAGTCTCACTCTGTTGCCAGGCTGGAGTGCAGTGGCGTGATCTCGGCTCACTGCGACCTCTGCCTCCCAGGTTCAAGCAATTTTTCTGCCTCAGCCTCCCGAGTAGCTGGGACTACAGGCGCGCGCCTCCACGCCCAGCTAATTTTTGTATTTTTAGTAGAGATAGGGTTTCACCATATTGGCCAGGATGGTCTCAATCTCTTGACCTCGTGATCCGCCTGCCTCGGCCTCCTAAAGTGTTGGGATTACAGGCGTGAGCCACTGCACCTGGCCTCATGGTTTGTTATTACATATTCTGTCTTATTCAATATTTTCCTTAGGGTTAATAATTGTTTTGTTTCTTGTATACTTATCCGGTTCATCTGTATGCTGTCTTCTAGAGATACAGATATCTTATTCATGCCTTCAAATGCTTTGTTTAATCTGTTAATTGCATTTTTTTTTTCTTGAAGCAGTTTTTTCTTTGGCCTCCCTTGGTTTCATAAGAACTTATTCTGTAGGTGTGTGTTCTGTTCTGTGTCCTAAGATTTCACTTCACCCCCATCCTAAAGGTTCCTCTTGTCTTTCTCCTGTGTTAGATCTTTTATTTTCCATATCTGAGCCCTTTTGCGGTTAATTCTTTTGGTTAATTTTCTGAGGAAGAGGTATAGGAGATAATTTTTTTAGAACTTACATGCCTGGAAATGTCTTGTTTCTCATACTTGTTGATATTTTGGTTGAATATATTCTGGGTTGGCATTTTTTTTTTCCTCAAAATTTTGACACTGTCACTCCATTGTCTTGACTTTCCAATATTGCTTTTAAGAAGTCAGAAGCTATTCAGATAATTGGTCATTTTTGGAAATCTGCTTTTTTCCTCCTGGAAGCTTTTAATATCTTTTTATTGTTTCCCCTTCTCTGAAATTACAGATCATTACACATCTCTTGACCTCGTGATCCACCCGCCTCGGCCTCCCAAAGTGCTAGGATTACAGGTGTGAGCCACCGCGCCTGGCCACGGGCGGGGTTTTCTTTTCTTTTCTTTTTTTTTTTTTTTAATTTTTATTTTTATTATTTTTTTTTTATTATACTCTAAGTTTTAGGGTACATGTGCACATTGTGCAGGTTAGTTACATATGTATACATGTGCCATGCTGGTGCGCTGCACCCACTAATGTGTCATCTAGCATTAGGTATATCTTTTCTTTTTGTTGTTTTTTTTTTGTTTTTGAGATGGAGTCTTGCCTTGTTGATCAGGCTGGAGTTCAATGGCCTGATCTTGGCTCACTGCAACCTCCACCTCCCGCGTTCAAGTGATTCTCGTGCCTCAGCCTCCCGAGTAGCTGGGATTATAGGTGTCTGCCACCACGCCCGGCTAATTTTTTGTATTTTTAATAGAGACGGAGTTTCACCATGTTGGCCAGGCTGGTCTTGAACTCCTGACCTGAGGTGATCCACTCACCTCGGCCTCCCAAAGTGCTGAGATTACAAGCGCGAGCCACCACGCCCGGCTATTGGTGGGCTTTTCTATAGGATATATATTTTTTTTGTGACAGAGTCTCACTTTGTCACCCAGTCTGGAGTTCATGGCGCTATCTCAGCTCACTATAACCTCTGCTGCCCGGGTTCAAGTGATTCTCCTGCCTCAGCCTCCCGAGTAGCTGGGATTGCAGGCATGTACCACCATCTGACTAATTTTTATGTTTTTAGTAGAGATGGGGTTTCATCATGTTGGCCAGGTTGGTCTTGAACTCTTGACCTCAAGTGATCTGCTTGCCTCGGCCTCCCAAAGTGCTGGGATTACACGCATGAGCCACCACGCCTGGCCAGGTTAGGGTATTTCTAATTGGAGGATTCTCAGTTGTTGGTATCTGAAGAGCATTTCCACAGGGATGAGTCCTCCACATTTCCCATTTGGGAGGTGTAAGCCTGTTTGCCAACAGTCTTGCAACTTAGGTAAAGAATGCTGGTGTCTGACTGTTCAGTAGTCAGTTTCCTCTTAATACTTTTATGTTTTCAGTATGTTACTTCCACCTTCACCTGGATAGATGTCCCAGAGTCTCAGGTTCCACCTCTCCAAAGAATGACCCTGTAGGGTTTTGCGTGTGTGTGTGTGTGTGTGTGTGTGTGTGTGTTTGTGTGTGTGAAAGAGACAGAGATAGAGAATGAATGAGAGAGAATGAGAATAAGAATGTGTATATATTTATGTCATGGGAGGCTTTCCAACTGCTTTTTATACAGACTTTTGGCCAGTCCTCCTTTTTTCCAGTCCTGCTTATACCCCTGGTATTTGTGCCTTCAAATCATGAGGCTTTCTAGGGTATATCAAATCAGCCTACTTTTGGGTGTTCCTACCTTCAGGCTTAGATTTAAGTTCTCTCTAGTTGGTTGAGTCTTTTTATCACACTTCCATTTCTTTCCATTTTCTACTTCTACAATTATTTTTTGTCTCATCTCCTATTTTCTTTTTTCCTTGTGGGTTTATGCCTTTGAAAAAAAAATCTGTTTTCTGCCATTTTAATAGATTTGAGTAGAAAGTGGTGGTAAACCCTGTGTTAAATTTGCCATGTTATGATCAAAAGTGGCCTTTTCCACCTTGGAAAATATTTCACCTAGATCAGTCTTACTCTTTACAACTGTTTTCATCTAACTCCCTTGTAATAATCCAAATTCTTGAAACAAACTGTATTCACTGATGCCATGTTCTAATGCACTCCTTCTCTAATGTTTTAATACTGTATACTGTGTACTTAAGTCTCTTTACTAACTCATGAGAGATGACCTAATCACCAAATGTGAATTTTTTCTTGGATTCTCATTTGTTTTTACCTGTATCATCTGATTCTGTTTTATATATATATATATATATATATATATATAAAGATTAGTTTTTCATGTGTTCGGAATACGCTAATGAAGCCTTAGTTTTGCGGAGAAATCCAATAATTACTGTTTGGTAGAACAGAGTTTTTTTTTTTTTTTTTTTTTTTTGTGAGCAACATGGCTGTTTATTTCACCTGGGTGCGCAGGCGGGCTGAGTCCGAAAAGAGTCAGCCAGAACAGAGTTTTAAAGACTAAATAAATTTAGACTTTTTCATATATATGAGCCATTTCTTTTGTGAATTGCCTGCTCAGTCTTCTTTTTTCTTTGCCTATTTTTTCTTATTGACATCTAAGAGCTCTTTGCTTGCTAAGGTTATTAACCTTTTGCTACAAATATTATGAGAATTCCTTTCTTGGTGGGGTGCAGTGGGTAACACCTGTAATCTCAGTGATTTGGAAGGTCCAGGTGGGAGGATCACTTGAGGCCAGGAGTTCAAGATCAGTCTGGGCGACATAGTAAGACCTTGACTCTACAAAAAATAAAAATAAAAAAATTAGCAGAGTATGTGACATGTGCTTGTAGTCTAGTTGCTTGGGAGGGTGAGGTGAGAGAATATCTTGAGCCCAGTAGTTTGAGATTGTGGTCCAGCTTGGATGACAGAATGAGACCCTCCCTGCCTCTAAAAAAAAAAAAAAAAAAAAAAAAAAAAAGAAATAATTCCTTTCTAGTTATTTATCTTTAAATGTCATTTGTGTTATATTTGATTTGTGAAGCTTTTAAGCTTTATGTAGTCAAGTCTACCTTTTATAATGATCTTTACTTTTTGTCATGTTCAGAAAGGCTTTCCTTTCCTGTAAAAGTATATATAGTAGAATACTGTTGTGGAGAATCTGATCTGTTCTAGATTAATGGTATTTCTTTTTTTTTTTTTTTTTTTTTGAGACGGAGTCTCGCTCTGTTGCCAGGCTGGAGTGCAGTGGTGCAATCTTGGCTCACTGCAACCTCTGCCTCCTGGGTTCAAGCGATTCTCCTGCCTCAACTTCCTGAGTAGCTGGGACTACAGGCGCGTGCCACCATGCCAAGCTAATTTTTGTGTTTTAGTAGAGACGAGGTTTCACCATGTTGGCCAGGATGGTGGTATTTCTAAAGGTTAGTTATTTTAAGTACAAAATTGCACAATGATTTAAAAAATAAATTTTAATGCAAGTAAGGTATGATATTTTATATGGGATATAAGGAATGGTAAGAAATGATCAAATCTAAGATATGTATATCTCAGGAAACCTTTATTTGATATAAATATATGATATAAACTAGTTGAAGAATGTGTGTGTTATTTTACACTACCCCATTTTGAAAGTTCTTTGAAAATAGGAGCCATGTTTTTCTTTTTTAAGTAGCTACATAATGCCTTCTTGGTATCTTTTAATGATTCACTTGTGTGATGAGTTGCATTTTTAAAATTTTCATTTTCAGCTTTTGCAAGAAGCTGAAGTATGGAAAGAACAAGTGAGTGAACTTAATAAACAGAAAGTAACATTTGAAGACTCCAAAGTACATGCAGAACAAGTTCTAAATGATAAAGAAAGTCACATCAAGGTAAATGGCTCTACTGGTTTTAGTGATCAAGTTGGCTAGAATTTTACACTAACTCTGAAATTTGAAAGCTAGTTTTTAGCAACTTTTATTTTCACAACATATTTTCATAACATATTTGGCCAGATTTTCAAATGTTTCTTGAAGACTTACAGATTTGTCATATGTACATACACATACACACACACATACTTATATGAATATTCTGTGTGTCCTTTTTTCTTCTCTGTATTTTAGCCTAGGTATTTAATAAAGAAATAAAAATAATGGTTTCTACCATTTCTCTTCAGGATGCTATCTGCTCCTGTTAGGAGGTTGGAAGAGTTTGAGAAATTGGATGTATAGTTATATATATTAATTGAATATCTTTAATGTAACTGGTGTATGTACTTTGATGGAGAGGAATACTTTTAAAAAATAAATTTAATTGAAACTTGACTCCAGTCATAAGAATAAAAGGATTTTTTGATTTTTTAGATTTTTAAGATTTTTAAAAATCTTAATGCTGATAAATACAGATACTCAAGTGTATCAAATAATGATATGTAAAACTAACGTTCTATAATTTACACAGTGATGTGGATGTTGTCATATTGAAAGTGATGCTCTCACTCATAGGTGGGAGTTGAACAATGAGGACACTTGGACACAGGAAGAGGAACATCACACACCGGGACCTGTTGTGGGGTGGGGGGAGGGGGGAGGGATAGCATTAGGAGATATACCTAATGTAAATGACGAGTTAATGGGTACAGCACACCAACATGGCACAGGTATACATATGTAACAAACCTGCACATTGTGCACGTGTATCCCAGAACTTAAAATATAATAAAAAATAGTATAAAGAAAGTGATACATTTATGCCAGTTATGTTGCTACTAAGAATATTTTCAAAATTCCAGCTTTCTGAGTTTTATTCAGAATTTGGCATATATATATATACACACACATATATACATATATACACATACATATACACATATATACACATATATACATATATACACATATATACATATATACACATATATACACACATATATACATATACATACACACACACACACACACACACACACACACACACACACGAGATGGACTTTCAATCTTGTCACCTAGGCTGGAGTGCAATGGCACCATCTCGGCTCATTGCAACCTCTGCCTCGTGGGTTCAAGTGATTCTGCTGCCTCAGCCTCCTGAGTAGCTGGGACTACAGGCATGTGCCACTATGCCTGGCTAATTTTTTTTGTATTTTTAGTAAAGACGCGGTTTCACCATTTTGGCCAGGCTAGTCTTGGAACTCCTGACCTCAGGTGATCCGCCCACCTTAGCCTCCCAAAGTTTTGGGATTACAGGCGTGAGCCACCGCATCTGGCTGTGGCATATTGTTTTATTTATTTTTTCTAAACTTCCTCTACTAAAGGCTTTGGGATTCTTTTAAAGATAACAAGAATGAGATGCTAACCTCAAGCTCTGCTCAAAGGTATAGGCCATGTTATTTGTGCCTGGAACTCTGAAGAGAGGGAGGAGATCGAAGGGTGAAAATTGTAGATCAGTGCATTATTTTTAGGTGGGTCCCTCCAGAGGAATACATGACACGTCATTTGATTATCTGTAGTGTTAGAAAATATTTCTTTAATCAACAAAATTCAAAAAGTACTTTTGGAAAACCTCTAATGTTCCATTCAAATTCTCTTTTATAAATGTCTTTATCTCAGCTAATTGTTTCCTTGAATAAATCAACTAAAAATCTACGATCTTTTTATACATTATGTATCTCACTGCAGATGTGTTTGGTGTCACACAGAATTTACTCTCATGTTAATTAGGGCACTGTTATTTGTGGCATGTGAGAAATGTCATATAAAAAATATTTTACTACTTTTTAGTTGCATAATATTAATATGTACTATATTTGATTTGGGAATAACTAGTTTTGGCTTTTACTTGCAGAGTTTAATAGTCAATAAATGTTACCATTTCTCAAGACTACAATATCTTAATAAGAGGTGGAAAATAAGAGCTCTTGTGTTGTTATTTATGTGGACTGATTTTTAAACTATAACTGTACATTCACAAGTTGTAAAGCTGTTAGCATAAGGCATTACCCTCTCTATTTTTCCCCTTTGTTCAATGTCAAGACTCTGACTGAACGCTTGTTAAAGATGAAAGATTGGGCTGCTATGCTTGGAGAAGACATAACGGATGATGATAACTTGGAATTAGAAATGAACAGTGAATCGGAAAATGGTGCTTACTTAGGTATTAAGTCATGACTCATCTCCTTTTGCTAAAATGGTGACTAGCTCTTCTATTTCCTTTTCGTTCCCTGTGTGCACCATGTTCTTTATATGCTTTTACTTTGGCACATTCTGTCTGTCTGTGACACACTGTCCTTTCTCACCATCCCTTATAGTTTTTAGCTTCAGCTGGAGCACTGCCTTTTCAGTAAGTCTTTCTCCAGCTGCTCAGACACACTTACAGCCTCCTCCCTTTTTTTTGTGTATTATACATATCTTTATTATAGCCATTTTCAAAATTACATCATAATCATTTCAATGCCTGTTTTTCCCTGTACTGTAAGCTAATCAAATGGATGAATGACTAGTTTGAAGAACAAGTGTTCTATAAATACTTCAGGATACTTCTTTTGCTTTTGTCAGAGGTTCAGATGGTTACAGTACTTTTAATGTTAGCCATTCAAATTATTATTGCCATTGATGGTTGTGCTCTGAAGTTGGCAAAAGTGGCCAAATTTAGTTTCACTATAGCCCCTTAATGTATTCTCACACCAATTCCTTTGACCTAAAAAAAACCTTTTTATTTTGAAATATGGCATCATAGGAAGTTCTAAAACTAGTACAGAGGTCCCATGTACCCCTCTCTCATTTTACCCCAGTGGCAGTTCTTCAGACTTTTATGTCATTTTTCTGTTCTCTTCCCCAGCCCCTGCATAATTAACAAATTTATTATGGAGGAAAAAGTGTGATTAAAAATTTTTTTCGTGACAACATTAATATGTTGGAAAAAATTACATCCCTAAAATAAGTATATAAAGTTCTGTTTGTACTTTTTCATTTCTACTTTATTATATATAAAATAATCCTTTCTCTATTTGAGAAAACTCATGCTTGTTTAATGTTATTTTAACTTGGGTTATAATTTTACTCATATTTTGGATGCTGTAAGAATCCAAGAATAGTTAATGATTGTGGTCTATATTTAGATGAATATAGAATCCTTGTTATAACTCTGTTCTTGGAGTTAGAGCTGAAGAACCTTGTTAAATGGTATGACACTTCAGTGCTTTTATTGTTTAGCTTCCTGGGAGCAGGTCCAAGGCCATTCTGCTTTATACCAAATTCTTTATTGTAGCAAGAAGAGGGATTATAAGTTTCTGGTTTAGTGAACTGATAAAATCATTTTGATGTCTATTGTCGTATTGTACTATTTTCCCAAATCATTGTTGTGCTTTTGATTTTCACTGTAGATAATCCTCCAAAAGGAGCTTTGAAGAAACTGATTCATGCTGCTAAGGTTTGTGCTATTAGATACTTAAAAAGAATAAGGAGGAAGAAAGAGAACGTGGATTACTCATGTCCCAGTAAATGTTTAAAAAGTCCATTTTATTGTTCCCATATAAATATATTTACAAATTATCAGAATTTTCATCATCAATTGCTTTTTCCTTTCAATTATTAACTTTAGAAATTTATATAATTTTTGGAATTTATCAAAATAAAAAATTCCAAGTTCTGTACTCATTTTTCGGATAAGACTATATTTAAAATGTTTCCTGTATTTTATCTTGTAGTTCCCTCAGTGCATTCTTTTTCTTCTAGTCTCAGTATTTTCTTACCCCTTCTGCCCTATATCCTATTTTAAGTAAATACTAGATGCCTTTTTTTCTGGTTTATTCCTTCTCTTTTCCACCCTAGTAGTGTGGTATCCTCATTTTTGCTGATCTATGTGAAGTCTTGGTAATGTAGTTTGAAGGCTGCTTTAATAAAAACTTTTGTTGAAAGTAAATAGAATGAAAATAGTCACTTTCTTAAGCAGCCAGTGAAAAGCATTCACTACTTTTCCCTGTCCCTTGTTCTGAGACTTACAAGCATTGACGACTTTGCTGGTTTTTTTAAGACGGAAGCTGCATTATGGTTTCTGTATTCCAGGTGATAATTTCATCAAAACGATAAAATCACTTAAAAAGTGTTAGGGGGGTCATACTGAGGTTTTATTTTTTATTTTTATTTTTTTGTATAACTGATTAATGTTACTTTTTTCCTTCTTCCCTTCTTTAAAGTTAAATGCTTCTTTAAAAACCTTAGAAGGAGAAAGAAACCAAATTTATATTCAGTTGTCTGAAGTTGATAAAACAAAGGAAGAGCTTACAGGTAGGTCATTGACATACATACTTTTAATGTTTTTCTAAGTAAGTACATCTCTTGGCAGAGAATGGTAAAAATGAATTGAATTAACTTTGGGAAGATCCAATTTTATTTTTTTTTAACTTTTGTTCCTGTTGGGTATTTGTGAAACATTAGTCCTGGTTTTTGTTGTCATTGTTGCTAAAGGCATATCGATTTCCTCTGTATTTATGTGAAGTTAAAATAAGGAAATTTTTTAAAAAACATGTAAAACCGTATTTATCTTCGAATTACAGTGTTATGTGTTTGAATGGTTTTAGATGTTAAAAAGTAGCAAATTGAAACTTAATGTTTAAAGTCTTTGTTAATTGAAAAATTGATCTTCAATAGTGGTACTATTTGCAGTATGATTCGTTCCTTTAATGTACATACGTAGTATATTAGTACATACGAGAGTGATGTTAGACCTGTAGAAATGAAGGTGTTGTTTTAATTGAAAACATTTATGTTTATTTTGCTGATAGTGTTTGTATTTTCAAAAAGTAAACAAGTTCTGTCAATATGTTTGAAAATTTTTAAAGTTGAGATAAATAGCATCTCATTTTGTAAAAATAAAAAATATAAAGATTTACCATATGCGTTTGCATCAGAAAAGACTGGAAGGACATACTCAAATGTCAACAATGATTATCTCTGAATATGGGATTATGGGCAGATTTTTATATTCTTTTTACTTATCTGTATTTTCAAAAACTTCTACAGTAAGTGAACTGCATTTATAATACTGTTTTAAAAGATTGAACCACCAAAGATAGAGGTTATTAAAAAATTATATCCCTACTCACATGATTATAGTAATTGGATTATTTTTGGATTTCAAGAAACATTAGTATTAGTTTAAGAGAATGTTGCTATATGTAAAGCATTGTACTAAAAACTATGGGAGATATACAGAAGGAAAAGATAGCTTACTTTCAAGGAAGCTGTATTTCAAAAAATGTGTGTAGAAAGTGCCAGAGTGGCAAGGAAATTTGCTCACCAGTTATCCCACTCCTTAATACAGTTTCCTGGCAAATCTTTGTTTCTTTCTTAGACTAATACTTGGAGACCTATGTCTCCTTGTACTCTTCTTTCAAATCTAACTTTGTTTTTTTAATGGATCATGAAAGATAAATTTCTGTAATTGATGTTTTATTCATAGCATGAAGATTTTCCTCTAAACTGTTTCTTCCTTTTCTGGTAATCATTTACAGTGGTCTTTATGTTACAATTTGAAACACAGTAGAAGTACAAAAATATGGCCAGGCGCGGCGGCTCACGCCTATAATCCCAGCACTTTGGGAGGCCAACGTGGGTGGATCACTTGAGCTGGGGAGTTCAAGACCAGCTTGGTCAACATGGTGAAACCCTGTCTCTACTAAAAATACGAAAATTAGTCGGGCGTGGTGGCACATGCCTGTAATCCCAGCTGCTTGGGAGGCTGAGGCACGAGAATCGCTTGAACATGGGAGGTGGAGGTTGCAGTGAGCCAAGGTTGCACCACTGCACTCCAGCCTAGGCAACCAAGCGAGACTTTGTCTCAAAAAAAAAAAAAAAAGTACATAAATATATTAAATAATTAAGTGTTGGGTTGTAGTTTTCTTGTTTGTTTTACAATAGGGATGATTAAATTTTAATAGAGATAATACCCAACGTTAATTTCTTTACGTGATTGTTCTTGGCAATGGCTTAAAGCCTAGGTCAATGAATTTTTTTTTTTCTGATGTAGATTAAAAAATTTCTGTGGAAAGATAGTTACGTACAATTTCCTATACATTTAATCATTTAATGTTTAGGTATTTATGTAAACTGTTCTTTTGGTTTGTATGTTTAATGGGTTATATTAGTCCGTTCTCACATTGCTGTAAAGAACTACCTGAAACTGAGAAGTTTGTAAAGAAAAGAGGTTTAACTGGCTCATGGTTTTGCAGGCTGTACAGGCTTCTGCTTCTGGGGAGGTGTCAGGAAATTAACAGTCATGGTGGAAGGTGAAGGGGTAGCTTCCTTACATGGTGGGAGCAGGAGGAAGAGAGTGAAGGGGGAGGTGTTACACACTTTAAAACAACCAGATCTCATGAGAACTCTATCATCTAGGGGGAGACAGCGCTAGGAGGATGGTGATAAACCATTAGAAACCACCCCCTTGGTCCAATCACCTCCCATCTGGCCCCACCTCTAACATTGGGAATTACAATTCAACATGAAAGTTGGATGGGGACACAAAGCCAAACCATATCATGAGGGTTTTAGAATAATTAAATACCATTACATGTAATTACTAAAATTTTCATGCTTGTTAATACTGTTTCCAAAACTTCCCTCTTTAGGCAGAGTGAGTTTTGTCTTTTAAGATTTGTGGTGGTGATTCATATACACGTTACAGGAGATGATGCCTTCCTTCATCTTAGAGGAGTTGAGGTTATTATCTTGATACCTTAATGTTAGAGTTGTTCAGAGTTGGTACTTCAATTTTAGAGGCGCTCAGAGTTGAGGTAATTATGTTAGAAGAGAAACGAGGTTTTTAAAAAAATTGATGCATAAATTATAAAGCATTCATAATTATTTAGAATGATTCATTTTTATTTTATAGATTTTTTTAAAGATGGCTTAGCGGTTGAAACAACGCTTAAAGTTGGTATTTTTCTCTCTGGTCTTGATCTGTTTTAAACTAGGAGTATGTTTGGGCATTTGTTATGAGAAGATCTAGATTTCTGGCTTGACTTATATGTCAAAATTTTAGCTTAAAAGGGAGGGCTAGGTAGAATTTAAGTATTATTAAGAGAGAAAGTTTTTACTAGATAAAAACAGGCATTATTCATCACCTGGAAATAGTTTTACGGGGAATGTTGAACTACAATATCTCCCTTTAAAACTCTTATCTCCAAAACCTTCCTGAGAACTTTAGTGGCGTTTAGCTCTAAAATTGAAAATTAGATGCTAGAATTAGAATGTTGAAGGTGTTGGGAATCCTATAAATAATAACAAAAGTTAAAAGAATTTTTTTTTTTTTTTTTTTTTTTTTTTTGGAGACAGGGTCTCCCTTTGTCATCCAGGCTGGAGTGCAGTGGCGTGATCTTGGCTCACTGCACGCTCTGCCTCCTAGGTTCAAGCAATTCTCCTTCCTCAGCCTCCCAAGTAGCTGGGATTGCAGGCACGCCCCAGCACGCCTGACTAATTTTTGTATTTTAAGTAGAGATGGTTTTGCCATGTTGGCCAGGCTGGTCTTGAACTCCTGGCCTCAAGTGATCCACCCCCTTCGGCCTTCCAAAGTGCTGAGATGTACAGGCGTGAGCCACCGTGCCCGGCCAAAATTAAAACAATTTATATAGCTCCTTAATTCAGATATTAATGCACTCAATGGAGCACTATTCAGCCATCAAAAAATAATGGGATCCTGTTTTGTGGCAACATGAGTGAGCCTATTTTAAGTGAAATAAGCCACACGAGAAAGAGAAATGGCTCATGTTCTCACTTATATATGGGAGCTAAAAAAGTTGATCTCATACAAGTAAAGAGTGGAATAGTAATAGTAATATGAGGGTGGGAAGTATAGAGGGTAGGGGGTTAGGGAGAGGTTAGTTAGCAGATACAAAATTATAACTAGATAGGTGGAACAATTTCTAATGTTCTATAGCACTGTAGAGTGGTTAGTTAAGTTGCTGTATATTTATATTTCTTTTTCTTAGATCTACTTTATTTGTCATATTGTTATTTTTGAATAGCTAGAAGAGAGGATTTTGAATGTTCATAACATAAAGAAATGACAAATGTTAGAGGCGATGGTTATGCTAATTACCCTGATAGGATTATTACACATCGAATACCTATATTGAAATATCACACTGTACCACATAAATATGTACAATTTTTATGTGTCAATCAACTAATAACAATAAAAGCATTTAGGTAAACAGAATCCCTTATAGATTTTCTGTTATTGGAAAGAGTTTAGTTTATTAATAATTTATTATTTTTAGTAATTTTTATCTTTCTGAAATGTTAATATGCAACTCAAAATGTTTCTCCTTTAATTATGACTTAAAATTTTTATATAGAGCATATTAAAAATCTTCAGACTGAACAAGCATCTTTGCAGTCAGAAAACACACATTTTGAAAATGAGAATCAGAAGCTTCAACAGAAACTTAAAGTAATGACTGAATTATATCAAGAAAATGAAATGAAACTCCACAGGTAATAAAAATTATGTTAACTCCATTGAACAGCAAGTAAAATAGCTTTAGAGATATATGTTACATAGTTAGCTATAGTGATTATTGAAAGTTCTC